>NC_000012.12:131921738-132223362 GCF_000001405.40 Homo sapiens | reverse complement strand
GTGTGTGGGGTGTGGGTTGTGTGGGGTGGGTGTGTGGGGTGTATGTGGGGTGTGGGTTGTGTGGGGTGTCTGTGTGGGGTGTGGGTTGTGTAGGATGGGTGTGTGGGGTGTATGTGGGGTGTGGGTTGTGTGGGGTGTCTGGGGTGCGGGTTGTGTAGGGTGTATGTGGGGTGTGGGTTGTGTGCGGTGTGGGTTGTGTGGTGTGTGGGTTGTGTGGTGTGTGTGTGGGGTGTGTGTGGGGTGTCTGGGGTGCGAGTTGTGTAGGGTGTGGGGTGTGTGTGTGGGGTGTATGTGGGGTGTGGGTTGTGTGGTGTGTCTGTGTGTGTGGGGTACGGGTTGTGTAGGGTGTGGGTTGTGTGGGGTGTATGTGGGGTGTGGGTTGTGTGGGGTGCGGGTTGTGTGGGGTGTGAGTTGTGTGGTGTGTGTGGGGTGTGGGTTGTGTGGGATGTATGTGGGGTGTGGGGTGCGGGTTGTGTGGGGTGTATGTGTGTTGTGTGGCGTGTCTGTGTGTGTGGTGTGCGGGTTGTGTAGGGTGTGGGTTGTGTGGTGTGTGGCGGGGGGTGCGTCCATAGCGTCCGTATCTCCTCCTCAGTCGTTCATGAGAAAGCGGCCTCCCAGGTCTTGCAGCACTCAGGAGCCGATGGAATGTGATAATTGTCACTTTTGCAATCACGACAGGCATGCAGGAAGTGCCTCTGCGGCGTCTCTGTGTTTCCTCCGTGGCTAACRAGCCTGAGTGCTCCACGCATCGTCGGCTGCATCTTTCTTCCTTTGCCAGCTGCTGCTCGCGGTGCCCCTTGTGTGCTTGTTCATGTGAGGAGCTCTTAGCCCTGGGGGCAGAAACTGCGTGTGTGACCAAGCGCTTTCCCTGTTGGTCTGGCTTCATTTTATGGTGTTGAGTTTTTGATACACAGGAATTAGTAACTGTGAACTGTATCTACTTTTTGTGAGGAGATGGGGTTTCACCATGTTGCCCAGGCTGGCCTTGAACTCCTGGCCTCAAGCAATCCTCCTGCCTCGGCCTCCCCAAGTGCTGGGGCCACAGTCTTGAGCCACTGCGCCTGGCCTGGTATGTGCGTTTTAATGGTGTGTGCCTTTGCTGTCGTTCTTAGGGAAGCCTGTTTGACCATCTGAACATCTTTCTGATACTCGTAGAATTCTTTTTTCAAATTAAAAGCCTTCATCCGTTTGGAGTTGTGTGTTTTCACATGAGGAAGCTGCTGATCTTTATCAGGTTTTAAGATGGTGGACGATGCCTTCTCAGGTCACTCATCAAATCTCCATCCTCAGCCGCGAACGGAAGAGCAGCCCTCGTCACAGGCTTACCCAATCCACTGTCTGTCTTGAGCTTTCTACTCTAAGCCATTATTTATACAATTATTTATAAAATAGCTGCATGTCTAGCGATTAAACCTGTCCCCATTACTATTTTAGGACTTTCTTGACTATTATTCTCTTGCTTTTACTCTCCCATGTGAACCTGAGAAACCTTTTGCTGAAATTCGATTCCAGCAAGTGCGGGTTGCATTTACCCGATGTCACCCAGCAGCGCAGTACCAGGAACGGCTGTGGGGTGGGCTTCTGGGCCCCCGAATTCCTCTGATCACAGAGCCCTGACGTTTGCGGATTCCTTTCTTTTCCGTTATGGGGCGTTGCATACATTGTCCATCTCAGGCTTGCTTGCTTTTTTTTTTTTTTTTTTTTGAGAACGTCTCACTCTGTCACCCAGGCTGGAGTGCAGTGGCATGATCACAACTCACTGCAACCTCCACCTCCCGGGTTCAAGGAATTCTCCTGCCTCAGCCTCCCGAGTACCTGGGATTACAGGCACCCACCACCACCACACCCAGCTAATTTTTGTATTTTTAGTAGAGATGGGTTTCACCATGTTGGCCAGGCTGGTCTTGAACTCCTGACCTCATGATCTGCCTGCCTTGGCCTCCCAAAGTGCTGGGATTACAGGCATGAGCCATCGCACCCAGCCCTTTTTTTTTTTTTTTTTTTTTTTTTTTGGACACAATCTCACTCTGTCGCCAGGCTGGAGTGCAATGGTGTGAACTCAGCTCACTGCAACCTCCACCTCCCAGGTTCAAGTGATGCTGCTGCCTCAGCCTCCCGAGTACCTGGGATTACAGGTGCCCACCACCACACCCAGCTAATTTTTGTATTTTTGGTAGAGACAGGTTTCACCATGTTGGCCAGGCTGGTCTCGAACTCCTGACCTCATGATCTGCCTGCCTTGGCCTCCGAAAGTGCTGGGATTACAGGCAAGAGCCATCGCGCCCAGACCTTTTTTTTTTTTTTTTTTTTTGACACAATCTCACTCTCACCAGGCTGGAGTGCAATGGTGTGAACTCAGCTCACTGCAACCTCCACCTCCCAGGTTCAAGTGATTGTCCTGCCTCAGCCTCCCGAGTACCTGGGATTACAGATGTGAGCCACCACACCCAGCTAATTTTTGTATTTTTAGTAGAGACAGGGTTTCACCATGTTGGCCAGGCTGGTCTCGAACTCCTCACCTCAGGTGATCCACCTGCCTTGGCCTCCCAAAGTGCTGGGATTACAGGTGTGAGGCACCAGCTGTGTGTTTCTACAAATCTGGACAGTCCTTAGTTTCTCAGTGCGTGGCCTCCCCATGTGGAAATCTTGTTGGAGGTGGGTGGGACTTTGACCCTCAGGGTTGCCGATGTCTCCTTCCTGTTTCTCATCTCCTTTCCATTCTGTGGGGTGTCCCTGGAAATTCCCCTGGTTCTGCACTCCAAGGAACAAGTCCTCTCTTCAGCCACATCCAGACAGCAATTCGAGCCACTTGCTTAGCCTTGGTTTCTCAAGTTACTGACTGCATCTTACATTTAGGAGACTTTCTTCCATGGGTATTTTTCATATCTGGTTCTTTTTTTATAGTTGTTTTGATCCATAAACTCATGTTTTTGATTAATGCTTTTCTCTCATTCCTTCATGCCTTTGGAAATTCTAACAGTCGTCCTAAGACCTCTTTAATTACTCTCTTTTTCTGTCTCTTTGGGTTTAAATTCACCAATTTTGTTGGATTTCTTGGCTGACGCTCCTAGAATTGGATTTCCTCAGGTGCTTTGTCTTTATTTATTTATCAGGGTATTGCTGTCATCCTGGCTGGAGTATTGTGGTACAGTCATCACTCACTGCAGCCTCCAACTCCTGGGCTTAGGTGATCCTCCCACCTCAGCCTCCTGAGTAGCTGGGACTACAGGCATGAGCCACCACGTCCAGCTGCCTTGTCATTTTGCTGAGTGCTCATCTTTTATGGAAGTTGTGGCTTAACTCCATGAGCACCCACTCTGGGAAGAAAGTTTCAGAGCGTCTCCTCCTGGCACTTCTGACTCCTGACGTGGAAGTCAGTGGTGGGTGCCGCCCTGGGGAGGTGCCCCTTCCCCTTACCCAGGCGGGTGTCACCCTGGGGAGGTGCCCCTTCCCCTTACCCAGGCGGGTGTCACCCTGGGGAGGTACCCCTTCCCCTTTCCCGGGCGGGTGTCACCCTGGGGAGGTGCCCCTTCCCCTTACCCGGGCGGGTGTCACCCTGGGGAGGTGTCCCTTCCCCTTACCCGGGCGGGTGTCACCCTGGGGAGGTGTCCCTTCCCCTTACCCGGGCGGGTGTCACCCTGGGGAGGTGTCCCTTCCCCTTACCCGGGCGGGTGTCACCCTGGGGAGGTGCCCCTTCCCCTTACCCAAGCGCGGGTGCTGCTGCCTCTCGCCATGGGACACTTCTGGCGGCAGCCCCAGGGGTCCATCAGAGCTGGTTTCAGTGTCTGTTCCTGCTCATTGAGCTCGTCCCCACCCTGAGTTCATGCCAGGATCCTGGCCGCACGCCCAGCACCTGTCCCCGCCAATGGACATCAGAGCCACACGCCCGGCACCTGTCCCGCCGATGGTCCCCAGAGCCTCATGGCTTCCATGCCACTCACTGCAGCCGGCTTCTGCTCCTCATGAGCTATGGAGAATTTCACCTTGTTTCCTAATGTTACTTTTAACTTTTAAAACAACTGATCTATCGTTTCTGTGTGTCTGAAACGGCAGGGGAGGGTTCTATGTCTGTGGTGCTGACCAATGTCTTCCCCACCATTTCATCCGTCACAGCTGCAGCGGGCCTGGGTCTGCAGAAATCATGACCTAAACTGTATCCTCATCTGTTTGAGGACAGAAGCAATCACAGAAAAAGCCACCAGGTGTCGTTCTGCCGATCAAGGGACAGGGCTTCAGGGACAGATGATTGTGTGGAGGGGGGTGGGACCGGGTGAGAAGCCTCAGGCACTTGGCTCTGCTCTCCTCGAACGGCTCCATCGGCAGCACCCCGAGAGCTCAAAATGCGGGGCGCCCCTCCCCGGAGCTTCTGACTCCACAGGTCCCAGGTGGGGTCTGGGAATTTGCGGTTCTTGGGGGTTCCAGATGAGATTGGTGCTACTGGGTCACTTTGAGAACCACTTGTTTGGAAGGAAGACGCTGTTTCTCTCATTTGTTTGAGATGCTCAGTGTTTGGTGAGGTGAGTGGGAGGGTCTGGACAACGGCTGGCCCTGGGGTGGGAATGCTGTGGCCACTGCCTTCTTCGCCTCCATTGTATCTGAAACCTCCGTCATCCAGGAAGAGATGGTTTCCTGTTGGACATTGATGAATGGCGCCCACTGCGCCCTGGGAGATGGGATTTGCCTTTCCAGCGATAAATACAGGCAGATCCTGCCCGGAAGATGGATCGCTGCTGCAGAACGAGGCATGTGTGTGACAAGAGGGTGGCGTCACCCACAGCCGTACCAGAGGAATTATCATTTCCCGAAACCGACCTGGGCTCCAGGGGCAGGGACACGCTAAGCAGATTGTAAATCTTTTTTAAAAATCAGGTTCAATGAAATCTCTCAAAGGTATGCACACAATTTCCTCCAGAGTGAATATGAAGCCCTGCCTTTTGTTAAAGGGGAAATTCCGTTCTGCCAAAGGGAAAGTGCTGACTAGGTACCTCTTGGGTTTGTACCAGGTGAGACAACCTGGGGGTCAGGATGCCTGGGTTTCCGTCCGCGTCAGCCTGGACCTCTGGTGCATCCAACCCTTTTCCTGGAGGCCTGGGCTGGGAACACAGGGCTTGCTTGGCCTCTAAGGTTGTTTTCCTCATCTTGATGACACAGCTTTGCACAGCGCCCAGACAGAGTCATGCTGGTTCTAGGGACTAATGCAGATGGGTGGATGGATGAGTGGGTGAAAGAAGGAAGGGATAGATGGTCGCTAGGTGGGCAAATGAGTGGGTAGATTGATGGATAAATGGTGGATGGATGGGTAGATGAGTGGCTGGATGAGTGGGTGGGAGGATGGATAGATAGATGGTGTCTAGGTGGGCAAATGAGTGGGTAGATGGATGAGTGGTGAGTGGGTGGGTAGATGGATGAGTGGTGAGTGGGTGGGTGGATGAATGGATGGGTGGGTGGGTGGATGAATGGATGGGTGGATAGAGATGGTGGCTAGGTGGGTGAGTGAGTAGGTAGATGGATGGATAAAGGAATGGATGGATGAGTGGGTGGATGGATGGGTGAATGGACGGATGGATGGATGGCTGGGTGGATGCAGGGATGGATGGGTGGATAGATGGATGAGTGGATGGATGGATGGATGAGTGCGTGTGGATGAATGGATAGATAGTGGCTAGGTGGGTGAATGAGTAGGTAGATGGATGGATAAAGGAATGGATGGATGAGTGGGTGGATGGGATGGGTGAATGGATGGATGGATGGCTGGATGGATGGATGGATGGATGAGTGGGGGATGGCTGGATGGATAGATGGATAGAGTGAGTGGATGGATGAATGGTTGGCTGGTTGGATGCAGGGATGGATGGATGGATGGGTGGGGATGCATGGGTGGGTGAATGGATGGCTGGCTGGATGCAGGGATGGATGGATAGATGAATGAGTGGATGGATGGATGAGTGCATGTAGATGAATGGATAGATAGTGGCTAGGTGGGTGAATGAGTAGGTAGATGGATGGATAAAGGAATGGATGGATGAGTGGGTGGATGGATGGGTGAATGGATGGATTGATGGCTGGCTGGCTGGATGGATAGATAGATGGATGAGTGAATGGATGGATGGGTGGGTGGGATGCATGGATGGATGAATGGATGGCTGGCTGGATGCAGGGATGGATGGATGGATGAGTCCGCGTGGATGGGTGGATAGATAGTGGCTAGGTGGGTGAATAAGTGAGTAGATGGGTAAATGGGTGGATGAGTGGGTCATTCTATCAGTTACTGTATCCAAGGAATATTGGCAAAATGGAAGAGAGGTGGGCTTGAGCAAATGGTGGCCATAACTTGAGAGGTGAAGTCTCATCCTCATTATTTTCAAAGTGAAAACCAGATTTTATAACAGTTTAGTGGATCACAACACCCAAAAGGAAACACACAGTTCGTCACACAGCTAAACCTATCAGTCAAGAAAGAGCCAAGTTATCCCCAAATTCTTCTTCCCACTTACAAGGGCAGACTGCCCACAAGGGCGAAAAGCCCAGAAACGCCGCCTCACAGGCTGCCTGGGAGCCAAAGCCTCGAGCTCAGAACGGTGCCAAGTGAAGAGGTGAACTTTGGCCACAGAAGCAGCCACGGCTTCTCTCCAGTCTTGTGAGTGGGCATCCCAGTCAGCGGCCCAAAGAGAAAACTGCTCATCCCCCCAGATGCTGGAACACCTCCCAAGGTAGCCACGTGGGCACGCAGATCTTAGGAAGGAAGACACCCAGCGGAGACCAGGGAGGAGCTGGACATGGGGGACACTCAGTGCCGCCTGCCTGTGGACCCCCTCCCTGTCCCATTCCTGCCACAGAAAACACCCCGTCCTCCGAGGCTGCAGACTGCGCTCAGCACCCAGGTCCTGGCTCCTCGCTGGGCCTGCGGCTGTGCCACGCACCGTCCTGCCTGCAGATGAGAGTGCTTGGTGCTGGTCTCCAGGACGTCGTCAGCAAATGACCCTTCCAGGAAAGCCTCCACATTGTTCTCCCTGTGTGAGGGACCCTGTGGGGAGAGAAGCAAGGGGCTGTGCCCCTCTCTCTGTCTCTCTGTCTTCCTCTGTTTGTGTGTCTTTCTCTGTGTCTTCATCTCTATCTCTGTCTTCTCTATAATCTGTTCCTTTGTCTCTCTCTCCGTGTCTGTCTCTCATGTCTCTGTCTTATGTCTCTATCTCATGCCTCTGTCTCTCCATCTCTGTGTCTCTGTATCTTTCTGTCTCTGTTTCTGTGTCTCTGTATCTTTCTGTCTCTGTTTCTGTGTCTCTGTCTACGTCTCTCTATGTCTCTGTCTATCATTAGATGGGCATGGACAAGCCCCTGTGTGTGCCCCGCCACCGTCTCCCTTCCCTCCACACGTCCAGCCACTGTCCCTTAGGAGTCCTTTGGCTGAGTCCTGGACAGGGGATTGGGGAGGGGGACGCAGCCCCTCAGGCCTGGCCCAGAAGCACCCCCCAACCCTACTCTCCGCCCCCTCACCCCCTCTCCATCCCCTGCTGTGAGTCAGGGAGGGCCAGCACCCAGGAGGTGATGGAGGGCACCTGGGTCCCGTGCTGGGTCCCATGTGGCCATGCGAGGCTGCCCCCCGCCCATGCCCACTGGCTGCTCTGTGCTGCCACGTGAGCCACGTGGTGGCTGTGATGGTGCCAGCCCGGCCTCGTGGGACCCGGGTGCTGGTTGGCATGTGTGTCCTGATGATACAAAGAGGGCTGGCTTCATTCTTGAACCTCGGTCTTGGAGCCAACAAGCAGGATCAAGTGGACCCTGGGCCACGCTAGCCTTGCCTGGCCCTCGGAGTGGTCCCCGCACTCGCCAAGCCCTGGCATGGCAGCGCTCTTGGGAAAGGGAGGAAGCACGCCCTCCCTGGAGGAGCTGCTTGTGCTCTCCGTCGAGGCCAGCACACAAACAGCCTCACCAAGAGCGAGGGCCACACCCAGCAATCCTCCCCGGGCTGCAGTGGCATCCAGGCGGTGCCGGGCGCCGCGTCCTGGCCTCCATTTAGAAACTGACTGTGTCTCGTGTGTGGGGCCTACAGCCCGACAGGAGGGCTGGTAAATTGCAGCTCGGTGTGCGAGGAAGTACTTTTGTCCCTGAGAGCCTGGGCTGTGTCACCTGCAAACCACGAGAAAGAGCTGGGGCTCCAGGCAGGGCCCCGATGAAACCTGTGTCTGTTCTGCCGAAGCGGCCACAAAGCCACCCAGAGCTGCGGAGACCCGGCGTCTGGAAACCAACAGCGATTGTGTCGCGTTTCCTCCCAAACGCCCTTAAACGGGCAGGACAGCGTGGCAGGTGAGGACGCTGACAGGCCAGTCAGCACCAGCGGAGGGTGCTACAGAGGCCGGCAGGTTTCTCCACTCTCACAGCCTCACGCTGGCTTTGCCTGTCAGCCAGAATCTTCCAGATCCGCGTAGAACAGTGAGATGGGCCTCTGTGACGGGTGTGCATCCCCTGCTCTGCAAGATCAGGAGCTGAGCAGGAATGGCGTGCCACAGAACTGAGCAGGAACAGGGTGCCACCGCCTGCCCTGGTCTCCAAGTGGCTTTATCGTTATTCAGGACAGCGCAGCCAGCAGGCCAGGAGACAATGGCCATTGGTGAGATGGTTTGTTACGCACGGATCCCAGAGAAGGGGGTACCACCAGGCAGGGCCACCCAGGAGGCACCAGGCTGGACAGGAGGCAGAGGGTATGAGGGGGATGTGGCCAGGAATGGGCAAGGCCGGGTGAGCAGGCCTGGGGGGCCTGGCTTCCATCGTCTCAGCAGCTCTGGGGCATGGGCCATCCTCCTGAGTGGTTGGGTGGGAGGATGGTAGCCCAGAGTGAAGGACAGAGGCAGTGGGCTGTGGATTCGCGTTGGCTGGTGGGGCGTGGACTCTCGTTGCCTGGTTTGCATTTGGAAAGACGCTGGGGGGGTGCTCACTAGCTCTAGGAAATCACTCACCCGGGAGGGGCAGGCCTCTCGGGCTAGTGAGGTTCCAGATGTCAAAGCATCAGATACAGAAAATATGAAAGCATGATTAATACACGGGCTCCGCTCCTGCTCGCCCCCTTCATCCCTGGGCTCCTGCTGACGGTGGAGTCGCCGGTGTGGTGAGGGAGGGCGGAGTCGCTGGCCTGGTTAGGGACAGTGGAATCACAGGCGTGGTTCTCCAGCCATCTCCAAAGGAGCCACCATCAGGGACCTCACACACGGCACCCCGGAATCGGCTCTCTCTTCTCCAGGTGCCCTTGGGGTCAGTGCCCCTCCTGGTAATCCTTGTGAGGGTGGTGTCCCGGCTTTCACCTGGGAGGACTGAGGGGCCCAGACCCCCATCCCCACGCCTGACCTGGCAGGGAGCGGGGGTGGTTGAGGACTCGGAGTCGCGGGTGTCCCTGGACTCATGCTGCAGGGAGGGTGTGCGGACATAGGGGGTGGGGTTGGGCCTGCATCTCCAGGGCTGCTCCGTGACCGGGCTGTTCTGGACTGTCAGCGCCCACGCGCACCAACTGATGCAGTCGAGGCTCTTTCTTTCAGCTTCTGGGACGTGTCTGCATTCTGCTCGAGAGAGCTGGCAGCAAGCTGGGGCCTCCTCAGGTCCCCGGTGCCACCTGGAGAATGCAGAGGCCACAGTGGGCCTCATGTCCCCTGAACACCCCTCCTCGGACATGAGGGCTGACCCCAGAACCCCTAGGTGCTCACAGAATGAGCTGTCCCTGCAGGTACATCAGAGGCTGACAGGAATGACAGCTGAGTGCACATGTGTGTGAGTGTGTGTGTGTGACTGTGTGTAGGTGGGAGTGCCTGTGTGTGACTGTGTGAGTGCGCCTGTATGTGGGTGGGAGTGCGTGTGTGTGAGTGCGCCTGTGTGTGAGTGGAGTGCGTGTGTGTGGGTGTGAGTGTGCCTGTGTGTGGGGGTAACAGTGCATGTGTATGCTTGACTGAGTGATTATGTTGCACACGTGTGCATCTGCGGTGCATTTTCATGTGTGTGTGTGAAGAAATTGATTGATTCTAAGAATTGGCTCACACAATTGTGGGGTTGCCAAGTCTGAGATCCTTAAGGTGGGCAGTGGGTGGGTTTTCTGTGTCATGGTCTGAAGGCTGCAGACCCGGGTGGGGTTTCCGTGTCGAGGTCTGAGGGCTGCAGAACCGGGTGGGGTTTCCGTGTCGAGGTCTGAAGGCTGCAGACCCGGGTGGGGTTTCCGTGTCGAGGTCTGAGGGCTGCAGACCCGGGTGGGGTTTCCGTGTCGAGGTCTGAAGGCTGCAGACCCGGGTGGGGTTTCCGTGTCGAGGTCTGAGGGCTGCAGACCCGGGTGGGGTTTCCGTGTCGAGGTCTCAAGGCTGTAGACTCGGGTGGGGTTTCCGTGTCACGGTCTCAAGGCTGTAGACCCGGGTGGGGTTTCCATGTCACGGTCTGAGGGCTGCAGACCCGGGTGGGGTTTCCATGTCACGGTCTGAGAGCTGCAGACCCGGGTGGGGTTTCCGTGTCGAGGTCTGAGGGCTGCAGACCCGGGTGGGGTTTCCGTGTCACGGTCTGAGGGCTGCAGACCCGGGTGGGGTTTCCGTGTCACGGTCTGAGGGCTGCAGACCCGGGTGGGGTTTCCATGTCACGGTCTGAGGGCTGCAGACCCGGGTGGGGTTTCCGTGTCGAGGTCTGAGGGCTGCAGACCCGGGTGGGGTTTCCGTGTCGAGGTCTGAGGGCTGCAGACCCGGGTGGGGTTTCTGTGTCGAGGTCTGAGGGCTGCTAGACCCGGGTGGGGTTTCCGTGTCGAGGTCTGAGGGCTGCAGACCCGGGTGGGGTTTCCGTGTCGAGGTCTGAGGGCTGCAGACCCGGGTGGGGTTTCCGTGTCGAGGTCTGAGGGCTGCAGACCCGGGTGGGGTTTCCGTGTCGAGGTCTGAGGGCTGCAGACCCGGGTGGGGTTTCCGTGTCGAGGTCTGAGGGCTGCAGACCCGGGTGGGGTTTCCGTGTCGAGGTCTGAGGGCTGCAGACCCGGGTGGGGTTTCCGTGTCGAGGTCTGAGGGCTGCAGACCCGGGTGGGGTTTCCGTGTCGAGGTCTGAGGGCTGCAGACCCGGGTGGGGTTTCCGTGTCGAGGTCTGAGGGCTGCAGACCCGGGTGGGGTTTCCGTGTCGAGGTCTGAGGGCTGCAGACCCGGGTGGGGTTTCCGTGTCGAGGTCTGAAGGCTGCAGACCCGGGTGGGGTTTCCGTGTCGTGGTGTGAAGGCTGTAGACCCGGGTGGGGTTTCCGTGTCACGGTCTGAAGGCTGGCATCCTTCTCTGGGAACTCCCCACCCGTCTTTTCTCTCAATGCCTGGCTGGGTGGGGCCTGCCTGCGTGCACGTCCGCTGCCATGCGGAGTGTCCACTGACGCAAGCATCACTCACAGCTGCAGACATGGTCCCAGCAGCACCTCACATCCACTGAATAATGGGACCTTCACCTCCTGAGCAGATGTAAAACCGTCACATGGGCCACAGCCCACAGGCGTGGATTGCAGGGCAGGGGTGCAGTGTGTGAGCACGTGGCCTGCTGTTGGGGACCAAGTTTGGAGTCTGGCTGCCTCAGGTGCTGGCTGGGTGACTTGGACATACTCCTCAGCCTTCCGTGCCCATCTCCTAATTCCCACAAATGCTCTTGAAGGACCTGCCCCAGGGTCCCCTCGACGGAGAGGGGGAAATGCTCTGGGAAGCTCTGGGCCTGCTGCCTTTCACAGAGAGAATATTCGGGAAAACCACGGTGGAGACAGAGGATGAGGGACACAGAATGGCCAGGTGGACGAGAGAGGGTGGACGGAGTGAGCGGATCACAGTAAGACTGCGGATACACGGCTGTTTCTGGCCAGCGCGAAAGGCAGCTGCATGTGGTTTGACCGAATAGACACGAGGTTGCCTCCTCACTGCTGTGGTGACAGCGTCTGAGGTGTTTTCTCGTACTAGGTCGGTGCAAAAGTAATTACAGTTTCGGATCATGAACTTTAAATCATTATAACTAGGCTCAAACACACCTTTATTCGTCAAAATAGGAAGCATTACAATCAACACATTTTTGCCAATGAGAAATAAGTTCGTTTATTCCTGTAGCATAAATATATCTGTGCTTCAGGATTTGACAAACTCTTGGAAAGCATTTTCTGCATCCTGCTGGTTGTGGAAGCGTTTTCTCTGCAAAAAGTTGTCGAGAGGCTTGCAGAAGCGGTAGTTGGTTGGCGAGAAGTCAGGTGAATGTGGCGGATGAGGCAAAACTTTGCAGCCCAATTCGTTCAGCTTGTGAAGCGTTGGTTGTGTGACGTGCAGCCAGGCGTTGTGGTGGAGAAGAACTGGGCCCTTTCTGTGGACTGAGGCCGGCGGCAGGCACCGCGATTTTTGGTGCATCTCATGGATTTGCTGAGCGCACCTCTCAAGTGTGATGGTTTTGCCAGGATTCAGAAAGCTGTTGTGAGTCAGGCCGGCAGCCGACCACCAGACAGCGACCTCCAGACAGCGACCACCCAGACGGCGACCTCCAGATGGCAACCGCCAGACGGCGACCTCCAGACGGCGACCTCCAGACGGCGACCACCCAGATGGCAACCGCCAGACGGCGACCTCCAGATGGCGACCAAGCCCTTTTTTGGTGCAAGTTTGGCTTTTGGCAAGTTGGAGCTTCTTCTCAATTCAACCATTAAGATGGTCAGCTTCCCTGACCGCAGCACAGCCTGCCCATGCCAGCTCTGCACAGCCCCACAGCCCAGGAGGACGGGGCTCGGGCCTCAAGCATGCCTGTGTCTCACCGCCAGTTAACCCCACTCGCCACCCATCTCCGCTCAGAGCTGGGGTTCAGGAAGCCGTCCCCAGCCAGGGCGCACCTCCTGCCCAAGCCTCATGGCCCCACTCAGTCCTCCAGCTGCACCCACACGTGATGAGTGTGACGTCTGAGCCTCGCCTGCCTCCCCTCTAGATGACAGTTTCACGATGAAGGCCGCATGTCCCCAGCGCTTCCAGGAGAACCCTACGAGCCCTGTTGCTTTGCTTGCCTTGACCAGAAGAACAGGTCCGACTTCACGGGACGGCCTCGCCCGCAGGCCCTTTGCCAGGCCCACAGCGCCGCCAAAGACAACGTCAGTCCTGAATGTACAGGGGGAGTTTTTGACCCAACGCCCACGCGCAGCAGGGCCCCTCTCCTGTCTCTCCTCTCGCTGTGATGTGCCAGCCCGGGGCCTGCAGACGACGGGCCCCAGGGACCCACCCATCTCTGGAGGAGTCTCCTGTTTTCCCATCTCTGGCCTCTGCAGTTAGTGACGGCCCCTCAGCCTTGGTGTGTCACCCACGCCACCCGTGTCTTCCTCGTGTGACCAGAAAGGGGTCCCCATCCAGACCCCAAGAGAGGCCTCTTGGATCTTGTACAAGGCAGAATTCGGGGCGAGTCCACAGAGTAAAGTGAAAGCAAGTTTATTAGAGAAGTAAAGAAATGAAGTAAAGAGAAGAATGGCTGCTCCACAGGCAGAGTGGCCCCCAGGGCTGCTGGTTGATTATTTACTAATTAACTTTTGTGGTTATTTTTTGATCATTTGCTAAACAAGGGATGGATTATTCCTGAGTTTTCTGGGAAAGGCAGCAGGATTTCCCCGAACTGAGGGCTCCACCCTTTTTAGACCACGCAGGGTAACTTCCTGACGTTCCCATGGCATCTGTGAACTGTCTTGGTGCTGGGGGGAGTGTCTTTTAGCAGCTAATGCATTATAATGAGCATAAAATGAGCCGTGAGGATGACCACAAGTCACTCGTTGCCATCTTGGTTTTGGTGGGACTTGGCGGCTCCTTTACTGGAACCTGTTTGTTTGTTTGAGATGAAGTCTTGCTCTGTCACTCAGGCTGGAGTGCAATGGTGCGATCTCGGCTCACTGCAACCTTTGCTTCCCAAGTTCAAGCAATTCTCCTGCCTCAGCCTCCCAAGTAGCTGGGACTACAGGTGCACGCCACCATGCCCAGCTAATTTTTTATTTTTTATTTATTTATTTATTTATTTTTTTTAGTAAAGACGGCATTTCACCATGTTGGCCAGGATGGTCACGATCTCTTGACTTCATGATCCACCCACCTCAGCCTCCCAAACTGCTGGGATTACAGGCGTGAGCCACCGCACCCGGCCTACTGCAACCTATTTTATCAGCAAGGTCTTTGTGACCTGTGTCTTGTGCCGACCTCCTATCTCATCCTGTGACTTAGAGTGCCTTCACCATCTGGGAATGCAGCCCAGTGGGTCTCAGCCTCATCTTACCCAGCCCCTGTTCACGATGTGGTTTGAATGGCTCTAATGCTTGGACTTCCGCCCTGGCTGTGGGGCCAGATGGTCAGGTAGCACGGGGGTGACCACAGGCATCGTCACCCAAACCAGGACACCTGAGAGTTACCAGAGGTGCTATTAATAATTACCCCAAGACAGGGGTATCAACTCGGATTGTCTTGGGCAGTGGGGATGCATGGCTAGTAACTAGCATTAACTGGTACTATGTGCTGCATGCAAGGAAGCCACAGGAGTGAGGGTCTTTGCCAGCTGTACCTGCCAAAGCAGCATGGATGGGTCAGCTCTTGGATGTGTAACAATCCACTCTGAAATGTTGCGGCCTAAGACAACCATTTCCTTGGCCCACAACTCTGGGTTGGCACATGGTCTATGTGGAGCAGAGCGGCTCTGCTCTCAGCTGGCCTTGCTGATGCCGGCAGTCAGCAGCCAGGTGAGCGGGGTTGGCTGGTTGGGGTGGGGAGGAATGGGCTCAGCTGGGCGGCTTCTCTCTGCTCCACATGGTCTCTCATCCTCATGCTGGCGGCCAGGTTACAAGACAGAGATCGGTGTGAGTGCAGTCTCCTGAGGCCCAAGCTTGGCCTTGGCACTGGGTGGGTTCTGGCCCTTTCTGTTGGTCCAAGCAAATCACGTGACGAAGGCCTAGGGTGATAGCGTCCCCCTCTCAGTGGGGAGAGCTGCACACACAGACGCCAGAAGGCGAGTCCAGCTTATCCCCAGTTGCTCTCAGTGCAGAGTGCCAGCCGGGCTCCGGCCTCCTTCACCTGATCTTCCTCTAGTGTGGCCAGGAAGGGGAGGGGCCCGGGCCTCCTGCCTCTTGAGAGCCCCTGAGAGGGGGGCCAAGTGCCTCTGGCTCCTGTGGGAGGATTTTGCCTGATCCTTAGGTGTTGGTCTCCTCTGGCCCACAGAGTGGAGAAGTTATTGCCAATATTCATCTGAAATTTATAGAGGGGTTAAACTGTTTCCCTTGAGACTGTGATGGGAGAGCCTTTAAATTCTCCCTCTGCATAAGCATCAATCTCCCGGGGAGCGCGGCACAAGGCAGATGATATACTGGTCCCTGGCTTCAAAATATGTGAAAAACTACACGGTCATTAACTCTGACGCAGAAAAGAGACCTGCCCCGGGTGTGGGGACGCCACACACCAGTGCTGCTTGCGCGAGGAGTCGTGGTGGGGGGTGGGGGCTGTCTTGTTCTTTCCCTGTTTTGCAGGGATTGGAAAGGGGATGTTGCTGAGGGCATGGGGGTTCACTCTCCGACTTTATCACTCCTGAGCTAATGGCCCTGCTGAAAAGCCAGGTCACGCAAGCCGTGGGCCCTTGTGCTTAGGGGGCACCTCACACACCCCGAAAGCTCAGGGGTCTGCGGCCCAAGCCCGGAGACTGAAGCAGCCCAGTCCCCGGCTGTGACAGGTCCTCAGCTAATGATGGAAGTTGGCCGACTCCCACCGCCCGGGAGCCTCGCCTCTCCCGTAGCTTCGGTCCTTCTAGAGACACGGTGGGGGACCCGAGGGCCGAGAGACCTGAGGCTGCATTCACCCAAGAAGGGGCCTCGGCACCACCCGCAAGCTCAGCACACACTGACGGGGCTGGCACCTGTGGAGCTGGCTTGGGGAGGCCTCGCAGACCGCCCAGCAGTCCCACCAGGTTCCCATGTGGAATCGCCCCAGCGCCACAGAAGGCCCCGGGGACAGAGTGGCCGTAAGTGGCTGTGGGGTTCCTAAAGGGAACACATTCGTTCCGCAGCTATTTATCAAGCACCTACTGTGTGCCCGGCCTCGCTCTGAGCACTGGGAGGCAGCTGTGAGCAGAAGCGACAGAAACCCTGTCCTGCGGAGCTGAGCCATGGGGAGGGACAGGCAGAGACGGGGACGGATAGCAGGCGGCGCCATACTGAGGGGTGTGAGCCTCTGGTCCGGACGCCCAGCTATGGGGCAAGGACGGCGGCTCTAAACAGGATGGAGGGAGAGGACTCACCCTGAAGACTTGATGGTGACATTTGGGGTTTATTTTTACTTTTTATGTTTTCAGACAGGGTCTCACTCTTTAACCCAGGTTGGAGAGCGTTACGTGATCTTGGCTCACTGCAGCCTCAACCTCCCGGGCTCAGGTGATCCTCCCGCCTCAGCCTCCCAAGCAGCTGGGACCGCAGGCATGCACCACCACACCTGGCTAATTTTGTTTTTTTCTGTGGAGGTGGTGTCTCACTATGTTGCCCAGGCTCGCTGGTTTTTTTAATGGACAAATAGGATTGTCCCCGTTCACGGGGTATGGCGTGCCGCACTCAGGTCAGCCGCCATCTCCACATTTGCCATTTCCTTGTGTGGGGGCTCGGCTCCTCCTCCCAGTTGCCGGCTGGGTCACGGTCAGGTCCACGGTCCTCCCTCAGCGGCACCAGCACTGGCTCCTCTCTGCCTGTGGTTTTGGTCCTTTTTTTTTTTTTTTGAGACGGAGTCTCGCTCTGTCGCCCAGGCTGCAGTGCAGTGGTGTGATCTCAGCTCACTGTCACCTCTGCCTCCCGGGTTCAAGAGATTCTCATGTTTCAGCCTCCTGAGTAGCTGGGACTACAGGCATCTGCCACCATGCCCAGCTAATTTTTGTATTTTTAGTAGACATGGGGTTTCATCATGTTGGCCAGGCGGTCTCGAACTCCTGGCCTCAAGTGATCCACCCACCTCGGCCTCCCAAAGTGCTGGAATTACAAGTGTGAGGCCCCTGTGCCCGGCTGGTTTTGTGCCTTTAACTAATCTCTCTGGCACTAGAGCTTTGAAGGCTGGAGGCAGTGGAGCATGCAGAGACCTGGGAAGGGCGCCCGGCGTGGGCACCACCTGTGCCAAGGCCCTGAGGGGTGCACGTGGGGGTGCTGGGAAGGCCAAGGTGCTTCGAACCCAGGGGGTGGGCAAGGCAGGCGTCAGGAGCCCTGGGGGGCTTCGTGTTCCCCAGCGTGAGGCCCGAGGACAGGATTCTGTGGTGGGTGGGGGGACCGAGTCACCGTGGCCTCTGTACTGGGGGTAGACAAGGAGGCTGAAACTGCTGGAGGTCGTCCCAGAGGCCAGTGTGCCAGGCGCTTCTGAAGACGGGTGGGCAGACGATGGAGGACGAGGCTCTGTCCCGCCCCTGCAGAGCTTCCTTCGTTCCGGCCCCTTCCAGCGAAGGGCAGGGCTCCGAGGTGCTTCCCCCCTCCTTCTCACGAAACCTGGGTGGTCTCAGGTTGAGGGTGGGAGACATCCGCGGAGTGGGAGGGCGGTGGGCGGGATTCACCAGCGGGGCCCCTTCCCGCTGCGAACAGAAATCCCGACCCTAGTCTGGAAGGCAGAAAGGAAGCCCCGGCTCAGGGGGCTGGAAAACCCCAGGCTTTTCTCAGGCAGGTTGTCCCACAGCAGAGACAACAGACAGAAACCCAGAAACCACCTGCCACGATGTGAACCTGATGCAGAAACGCGGTTCGCTCCCTCGGGATGCAAAGGCCAACTTCAGCCTGGCACGGCGGCGCCGCGGACTCCACCATCCCGGGGAAGGAGCCGGACCCCTGTGGGTGACGTGGGACTGTGGGGCGGGGGTGTCCCCGGCTGGGCTGAGCTGAGCAGCGAGGAGGCTCTGGGTTGCCGGACCGGGGTCAGGGAGCCTGGCGTTAGCTGCGTGCTGTGTGGTCATCTCGGCGAGGAGGGAGCGGCTCCCTCCTGCCCCGGACTCTGGATCTGTCCTGCGGTGGGCGGTGTCGGAGCAGCCGTAAGTGATCGGCGATACGGCCTCCCGGTTCTCTCTCTCCCTGGGACTCGGCTTCCTGAAGGCAGAGAGTCCGGGGGAGGGAGGAGCCCCCTGCTCCCCCACACAAGGGACTGGGCCTCTGGGGTGGGCTGGGCTGACAGGCGACCCCCGGAGGATGCAGCTAGGGGACGTGTGAGTGTGGCCCTCTTTGGGAAAAGGGATCTTTGCAGACATGATTAAGATAACGGCCTGGAGATGAGAGCAGCCTGGACGAGGATGAACCAGAGTCCAGGGATGACTGAGGGATCCGAGCTCAGCTGGGCAGAGGCTCCACCCCGTGCGCCCCTGCAGTTGGCACCACCCTCGGCCTCGGCACCTTCTCAGCACCGCGGAGGGAACGGGGCAATGCCAGGGCTGCCCACCCTTTCTCGGGTGGTGGGGGGATTCAGGAGATGAGGCAAGCACAGTGCCCGCCCTGGGCCTGGCACACTCGTCCAGCATGGCAGGCTCAGGGCTGAGGACCTGAGCACGGCGGAGCTTGGGCCACGTGGATCAGACCCATTTGTTCATAGTGATGTCAGCCCGTGGGTGGCATCGGCCTTTTTTTAATGGGGTGGATGGGATGGGACAGCACAGGATAGGGTAGGATAGGATGGGACGGGGCTGGCTCAGGGCTCTCCAGGGAAACAGATTAATAGCAGATGGTGGGGACGTGGGCTTAGCTGTGAAAGTTCATCTAAGGAATTGACTCACCCGGTTACGGGGGCTGAGGGTACCGAGATTGGCCGTCGGCTGGCAGGCGCCCAGGAGAGCCGGTGGCGTGAGCTCCAAGCCTGAAGGCAGGGGAGGACCCACGTCCCAGCCCGAATCGAGCAGAGTGTGTGAACACTCCCTGCCTCGGCCTTTCTGTCCTACTCAGGCCTGTAGGGGACAGATTTAAACACGGCTCCCACCAGAGGCCATGCACAGACCACCCAGAATCGGGAGAGCAAACGTCCCAGCACCCTGTTCCCTGCCACGCTGACACAAAACCAACCCTCACAGGCAGGACAGCGCGGGGGGACAAACCGGAGTGAAAGAGCACGTATAGGAAGGCTGGTATTGCTTAAGTGGAACGACACGGAAGGAAGCATAAAAGGATACGCAGTGACAAACACGTTTCTGCTGCGCGTGGGGGTTCAGAAAGCCAGGGGCTGCGGGGTTTTATTAGCTGGGGAGGCTGGTTGGGCTTTTGATTGTGTGTGTTCTGGGGATGCGTGGAGCGGTGTCTGCATGGCAAGCAGCTGTTTGTAAACAGATTGTTGGTGTGTTCGGGTGCTGGGGGAGGTGGCTGGTGCAGTGGGGCGGGGGGTTCCCTGCACAGAACAAGCACTGGGGGTGGGAACCACAGGGTGAAAAACCTGTTAAGTGTTGGGGTCGGTAGAATAAACCCCCCTCCCCACAGCCATCGTGTAACGCACAAGAGAAAGAAGTCCCAGAGAGGACGCAACCCAGACCTGAACTTTCTCTGTGGGCGGGGTCCCCTGAAAACAGCCCCCGAGAGGCAAAGCCCCGGGACCCACCAGGCCCGTCGGTGGTGGGGGTGCCCCAGGAACAGAGGGCCGGGCCCCTTGGCCTCTCACGGGCCCCTAGCTGGCCGGGCTGCCCGCTTCCGTTGGGAAGGACGCCGGCACCCAGCGCCGTCTCCCCGCAGGTGTGGCAGTGTGGCGGCAGCATGGAGGTGCTGCCCTGCTCCCGCGTGGCCCACATCGAGCGCACCAGGAAGCCCTACAACAACGACATTGACTACTATGCCAAGCGCAACGCCCTGCGCGCCGCCGAGGTGTGGATGGATGACTTCAAGTCCCACGTGTACATGGCCTGGAACATCCCCATGTCGGTGAGTCCCCCACAGGCCGGGAGCCGGGGCCATGCCCCAGGGTCGGGGTCAATGCCACGGCAGGGCTGGGCCGGAGGGAGGCCCCCTAGGGCCCCCTGCAGGTGTGAGTGGGTGTGTTGACAGGTGTGCACAGGTGCAAGCAGTTGTGTGTGCAGGTGTGAGTGGGTGAGCTGTCTGCCTGGGAAGGAGCCTTCCTCACACTGGGAAGAGACCAGCTCACACCCACCCCGGTGTGGTGGGCGTTTTTCCTCTCAGCCTAGAGCAATTGCCCCGTGGTTAGAAGCCAGGGAGGGGCGGCCTCTCCCCAACCTGGTGCCGCCGCCTCAGCCAGGGCCCCACTTAGTGCCCTGCACAGCACCTGTCAGCCAGTGCGGACCCCTCCCCAGCCCCGGGCAGCCTCAACTGTCTGGCGGTTTCATGAACGGCTCATACGCTGTGTGGCTTCCCGTCCTCAGCGCCACCTTTTCCAGGTCACCCCCACCATGGCTGAGTCACGTCCACAGTGTGAAAGGGCCCCTCGTGTGGATCCACTCGTCCGTGGATGGACGTTTTTGGTTGTTTCCTGTTGGGCTTTGGCCTATGAGTGGCTGACCCGCTTCAAGTTGAGGATTGCTGTTTGTTTTCTAATTTGTAATTTCCCATAAAGAGCCTGAATTCTGGCTTTTCTCAAAGCGCCCCACCCCCACAACCCTAAGAAAGGCAGGTACTGAGACGGGTGGCCGCGACCCATCCCGCCACACCCCAGCGTCTCTGGAACCACCCCCTTCCTTCCCTGGCCACTGCAGGCACTGGGTCCCTGAGTTCTGGGAGGGCTCATCTTAGAAACGGGCTTGTCTGCATCAACCCTAATGAGCCAGATCTTAAGTCATGACCCAGCGCACACACGCATACATTTACATCTGTCCACATACAGCGCTTTGTGTACGTAGCACCAAAGTGACCCTTCTCATTTACAATATTACTACTTCTTAAAACTTCCCACCACAGCCCCTAAATTGGCTTACCACCCCCTGCTAGAGTGCACCCCAGCGTGTGGGTGACACGGCCTGAAGTGGCCCCGGGCTGGACCATTCACTGCAAATCCAGCATCCAGCCCCCATATCAGCTCCCGCCAGGCAGATCAGGAGCCGTAGACACGTGCACTCGTGTCTGAGAGACGAGAAGAGGGTACCCGGTGCTCCTACAGCCTTGTTTTCCATGAAGTGATAAGGAAAACGTGCAGGGTGATGACCTCCCCAAGTGTGTGGGCAACTGAGTGAGGTGCTCCAGGCCCCCGGGCAGTGAGGCCGGCAAATGCCTGTCACCTCCGTGTCCAAGGGCCCTGGTGTGAGCCCCTTGGCTGATTAAAACCTCATAACAGAGCAACAATGAGTTTCTGGCGTGATCGTCCCCACTTTACCAATGAGTAACTGAGGCACAGAGAAGATAGGGGACTGTCCCAGGCCCACATACCAGAAGGTGACGGGATTCAAGCCCAGGCCGTGAAGGCCAAGTCGTCTGCCCTCCCCACAAGGCCTGAGCCTGGAGGGTCCCTGGGCAGGGTGCAGGTGCTCCCTCAGGGCTGGCTGTCCGTCAGAGAGTGCTGGTCCCTACAGCCTCTCAGGCCCCACAGTCCCAGGAAGACACAGACACCGCACTCGGCTGTGGGTTCTCACGGCAGAGGACACGGGTCAAAGTCAGCAGAGGGAAGAGACGCCTGGGCAGGGACCAGGAAAGGCCAGGTACAAGCTCTCAGGTGTCCCCCCGCGGGGGGTCCCAAGGACTTGATTCTCCGGCACCCATGCGTGACAACACGTGCCAGGCGGGGCCAGCCAGGAGCCCCCAAGCCTCAGTATCCAGGGTCCTCACCAGGCTGGTCTCTGGATATGGCTGACCTCAGTCTCCACCCTCCAGAGGTCAGGCTGATGCCGTGCAGTAAGGCCAGGTGAGCAGGGCCGTCTTCTCAGGCAGGAGGTTCCTGGGCCCGGGTGGGTGTGGACGAGCCGGCTGCAGCAGGGGCCGTCTGTCCAGGCCGGGGCTGGCCTCTGGCAGGGTCCTTCCCATCAGGAGCAGCTGCCTCAGACCCTCTGTGGATATTAGGAGGCTGGGGGGTCCCAACTGGATGGGGCCTCAGCATCTGAATACTGGGGGGGAGGCTGCTCCTGTGAGGGCACTTGGTCCCTGGAGACCCCCAACCTCATTATGGGGAAGACCCAGGTCATGGTGACACCCATGTACCCTCTCACCTACTTCTGGCCTTGCAGAACCCAGGGGTGGACTTCGGGGACGTGTCTGAGAGGCTGGCCCTGCGTCAGAGGCTGAAGTGTCGCAGCTTCAAGTGGTACCTGGAGAACGTGTACCCGGAGATGAGGGTCTACAACAACACCCTCACGTACGGAGAGGTAGCACCTCCCCCGAGGGCCCCGTTCGGCCCGACAGGCTTTCTGCCCTGACTCCTGCACACGTATGCATTCAGGGTGATGCAGGCACATCCACATGCACACGGAGAGGTAGCGCCTCCCCCAGAGGGTCCCACTCGGCCCGACAGGCCTTCCGCCCTGACTCCTGCACACACGTGTGCATTCACGGTGATGCAGGCACATCCACGTGCACACACAAGGTGCAGGTTCACATAAACACACGCACCTGCAGACCCACATGTCCATACACACCCATTCCTTCACATGGACCTCCCTAGAGGCAGGCAGGTGTGTAGTCACATCCATGCGTGTTCACATGCCTGATTCAATGTACCTACGCTCTCACGTATGTGTACATAGGGATACATGCACTCACCTAGATGTGTGTACAGAGACATTCACAGGCAGGTACGTAAATCCATGCAAACACTCATATGTACAAGAGCACGCGGACACGAGTATACATTTGCACCCAGTTTTGCTAATGTACACAGCTCTTCCTACACAGATGTATGTTTCACTAAGTGCATGAACCCCAAAGGCGCCTGCCTGTGCACAGATAAACACACAGGCCCTTGTTATCAAGCAAAATAATGTGTGTGTGTACACGTCTGTGCATCCACATATGCGGAGCCACGTTCATACACCAGCGTGCATGCATGAAGGTGCCCCCACAGATGCACACAATGGGTGATATGCACACTCACACAGGCCCATCAGCTACACAGAGACCCCCGTCTCCACTGGCCCCCACATGCACAGCACTCCGTAAAGCCAGCGAGAAGGTGCTGCTCTTCTGCCCTCTCCCCAGTCTGTGCAGGGGATGGGGTGCCTCCCACCATGAGACTCGAGCGTCCCAGCCCTGAGCTGGCACTCGGATGGGGCAAGGAAAAGGGTCCCTGGGGTGGATGGTCCTCGCTGAGCCTCCCCTCCTGCAGCTCCTGGTCCACCCTGCGCTGACTCCAGTCCCTTGGGCACAGAGGTTTCCCAGGCAGTGCTGAGTGTGCATCGGGGCACCGCCCCTCTCCCCCAGCCTCCCTGTGCTTCTACTCTGCCCACTCCATCCTCAATTAGCCAAGTGCAGGCACCCCCAACCCAGAGCAGCCGTAACATCCAGACTCTGCTGGGCTTCCTCAACGGTCCCAATTCAAACCTGTGTGACCTCTCGTGGTGGCCGTGGTGGATGGGTCAGCTGCTGCTGCAAACCCAGCAGCCTGGAGACGCGGTGGACAAAAGCAATAAGCATCTACACTTGCTCACGAGCCGGGGCCACCCAGGCAGTGCTGCTGGCCTGATCCAGGCTGTGCTGATCTCCGATGGGCCTGTTCTGGAGGCTGGAGGTTGGCTGCCCGATGACAACACATCCCCCAGCAGTCTGGCCCGGGCTTGTTCTCAGAGGGCTGTCAGGGTTCCTTCCAAGACAGAGTGGAAGCTGGAAGGTCTCCCAAGGGTCCAAGCCAAGGCCAGCCTAGACTGCAAGGCTGGCGAGCGGTCTCTACCCACTCAGTGGGAGCCGCAAGGGCACAGGGAGCAGGCGGCAAGGCAGGGAAGCCACTCCACAGCCTGGGGCCGTCGTCCCTGCTGCTCAAGTGTTCCCCTATGGAGTGATGGCCAAGTCTCCATCTGTGCATGGCGGACACTTCCATGTCTCCATCAGTGACAAACTCGGTCAGCCACCCCTTCCCAGGCAGCCCACCCGGCCAGAGCATCCCACACGCCCCCTCCTCCTCCCGCGGGCACCTCCTTAGGTGCTGGCTGCAGAGCTGGCTGCGTGAAGCTCCCTGGGGCCGCACCCTCGGGTGACTCTGGACTTTCTCCTGGGGCTTCTGCTTGCAGGTGAGAAACAGCAAAGCCAGTGCCTACTGTCTGGACCAGGGAGCGGAGGACGGCGACCGGGCGATCCTCTACCCCTGCCACGGGATGTCCTCCCAGGTAGGAGTAGCAGCGGCCACCCATGCAGCTCCCAAGGGGACGACCCCAGGCCACCCGGACCCTACACCCTGGGGCAGAGGCACGGGTCCAGCCTGCTGGGGTGTTCTGAGGCCACCAGGGCTGCATTCCAGGGCTTGGAGCAGCCTGAGGGCCCCTCTAGAAGAGGCCTCCCAGCCCGCCCCACCTGGAAGGT
Organism: Homo sapiens; assembly: GCF_000001405.40. Taxonomy (NCBI): domain Eukaryota; kingdom Metazoa; phylum Chordata; class Mammalia; order Primates; family Hominidae; genus Homo; species Homo sapiens. Next base: position 132,198,980 of record NC_000012.12, on the reverse strand, counting down.
AGCAGAACACGGGGAATTGAAAACAGCCTGGGCCGGGTGCAGTGGCTCACGCCTGTCATCTCAGCACGATGGGAGGCCAAGGCAGACAGATCACTTAAGCCCAGGAATTGAGACCAGTCTGGGCAGCGTGGCGAAACCCTGTCGCTACAAAAAATACAAAAATTAGCCGGGCATGGTGGGGCATGCCCGTATTCCCAGCTGCTCGGGAGGCTGAGGCAGGAGGATCACCTGAGCCTGGGATGCGGAGGTTGAGCTGAGATCACACCAGTGCACTCCATCCTGGGCAACAGAGCGAGACCGTATCTCAAAAAATTAAAAAGGAACCAGGCCTTTGGGGTCAGATGGGCTGGGGGTGCATCACTCCCCCCTCAGTCAAGAGAGACGGCAACAGCACTTACCGCTCAGGACTGTCGCGTGATTGAAGCGAAGTGTGGGAAGCATTGGCTCGGGGGGTGGATTAACACGGCAATAGTGCTGTTGACCTCCGAGCACTCCCCACCTGGGCAGGACTCACCTGCAGCACAGGCCCAGGCCCAGCCCCAGCCCCAGCCCCGCAGAATCACAGTGGTCAGGGGCTGGCCGTAGTGAAGGTCCAGGCCATTCTGACCATGACCCCCATAAGGAGCTGGACGTTTCTAACCCCACGGGAATGCGTGTTCCGCTCACACACGGCACTGCATGTTGCCCAAATTAAACCCAACTCCTGTCCTCCCCGAAACGAGTGGGGCCGCGCTCTGGGTCTGAGCCACATTCATGACGTCTGTCCAGGCGGAAGACCAGCCAGCTGTGCAAGCCGGGAGCCTGGCCCTGCGGAGCATTTGGGCGCCGTCCAGCCCGCATCCCCACGTGGGCCCTGCCCGGCGGTCCTCTCCCGCCCGCAACAGCGTCCCCGGGGTGGGAGGCTCCAAGGCAGCCGCGCAGGGCCCCGTTTGCAGCTCAAGGCAGCTCGCACGGCCTGTCAGTGCTCACTGGGGAGAGCCTGGGCGCTGCTCACACACAGTCCCGGTGGTCCTGTCCCCAGCTGGTGCGGTACAGCGCTGATGGACTGCTGCAGCTGGGGCCTCTGGGCTCCACAGCCTTCTTGCCTGACTCCAAGTGTCTGGTGGATGACGGCACGGGCCGCATGCCCACCCTGAAGAAGTGTGAGGATGTGGCGCGGCCAACACAGCGGCTGTGGGACTTCACCCAGGTCAGCCTCTGGGGAAGGGGGGCCGTGGGGTTGGGGCGGGGCAGGGCTGCTGGGACCCCTGGGTGCCTCTGCCACTAGAGCCAGCCCATTGGGTGGGAGCTGGAGTGCGGCAGGGGGTGGTCAGGGGACCGGGCCTTGGATCAGCTGTTCCCTTATGGGCCCCGACGCTCACAGAGAGGGCAGGTGACTGGTCAGGGTCACACAGCCAGAGAGGGGTCGGGCTGGACAGTCTGATCATAGCCCTGCATCTGCCTCTTCCAGCCTCAGGTGCCCAGGGTAGAGGGAGGATTTAGGAAGGGGATGAGGTATGATTCCAACCTGGGCCGCTAGCCCTGCAGGAAAGATGGGAAATCCTCGAAGCTCCACTGAAGTCAGCCCCTTCCCGGCCCCCCTGGGTGCTGCTGTGATGCTGGCTTTCCATTCAAGCTGCCCCAAGAATGAGCACGAGGGCTGAGAGCACGAAGCAGCCTCCCTGAGGTGGGGGGAGGGGGAACAAGGACGCCTGCACCTGGCTGACTTGATGTGCCTGTCCCCACAGAGTGGCCCCATTGTGAGCCGGGCCACGGGCCGCTGCCTGGAGGTGGAGATGTCCAAAGATGCCAACTTTGGGCTCCGGCTGGTGGTACAGAGGTGCTCGGGGCAGAAGTGGATGATCAGAAACTGGATCAAACACGCACGGCACTGACCCCACCTCCGCCCGGACCCCCACAGACCTCGGGAAGGCGCTGGGCCGAGCCAGTGTGGCTGAGTGACCGGGGTGTGCCCGGCAGACACAGCAGGACAGGGCTCTATGTGCGGCCAGGACAGCAGAGGCTGAGGGGCCGGGGTGTGGCTGAGTGACCAGGGTGTCACCCACTGCATCTGGAGTACAGCTTCTCCTAGGACAGGCGGCTCTACCCGAGGGAGGGCGTCTGGGGACAGTGATGCCAACTCAAACACGTGCCTTCTCCACGGTATCTCCTGGCCAGGCTGCTGGGACAGCCGCCGCCTCTGCATGTACCACAGCCCCCCACGCCCCATAGGGAGGCCAAGCCCCGGACCATGCACCAGGCTGCACCCTGGTGTCTTCCACCCGCAGGCCTCCCATGCTCCAAGCAGCCTCCCCCAGCACTTGCGGCCGCTCAGCCCTCCAACCAAGACCTAAGTCACACATCATAATGCAGCTCCTTGTGGTCTGGTAAGAGGGGTGCTGGAGGACATGGACAGCGACAAACCTGAGGCCGTGTCTAGGAGGCTGGCACGACTGCTTCAGCAGAGACCAAATAAAGAGAGGATTAGGCAGCAGCACTGTGTGTGTCTTCCTGGGAGCCGAGCTGGGGGTTGGGGCCCGGTCCCACCTCTTTCCCAGGCACCTGGGCCCTGCCGCAGCCCAGCCCCTTGCCTGTTTTAATAAATACAGTTTTATTGGCGCCCAGCCACACCCAGTTGCTTACTATTGTCTGTGGCCACCGCTGCGGGGCTCTCGGCACAGAGTCAGGCCATGGCCGCGTGGCTCACAAAGCTGCAGACGCAGACTCTGGCCGATGAGGAAATCACTGGATGACGCCTGTGCTGGGATGTGGCCTGGCAGGTGGCCTCACGTGTGCAGACAGACCATGAACTCGATGCAGCCGGGAAAATGGAGGAGAGCACGTCCCCTGCAGCCACACATGCAGCTGGAGGCCGTCAGCCTGAGAACTCAACCCGAACAGAAAACCAAAACCACGTGTTCTCACTTATCCATGGGAGCTGAATGCTGCATGCACATGACGCAGAGAGGGAATAGCAGACGCCAGGGACTCCAGAGGGGCAGGTGGGAGGGGGAGGAGGACGAGGACGAGGGCTGGAAAACCACCTGTTGGGAGCTGCGTTCACTCCCTGGGTGATGGGATCGTTAGAAGCCAAAACCTCAGCATCAAGCTATATACCCACATAACAAACCCACACATGTACCCATGAATCTAAAATTTTTTTTTTAAAAGGCCAGGCACGGTGGTTCACGCCTATAATCCCAGCACTTTGGGAGGCTGAGGTGGGTGGATCATCTGAGGTCAGGAGATTGAGACCATCCTGGCTAAGGTGAAATCCCATCTCTACTAAAAATACAAAAATTAGCTGGGCATGGTGGCAGGCACCTGTAATCCCAGCTACTCAGCAGGCTGAGGCAGAATATAGCTTGAACCTGGGAGGTGGAGGTTGCAGTGAGCCGAGATCGAGCCACAGCACTCCAGCCTGGGCAACAGAGTGATACTCCATCTCAAAGAAAAAAAAAAAAAATGGGCAGGTGCCAAATTTGGCAAGTCCAGGCTCCGAGTCTCCAGGGAGTGAGGACGCTGACCCGTTGTCACCAGTCGGAGTTCAGCCTGCGGGGACACGTCACTGTCCGCTAGCCCTGGGCAGAGGCAATGGGGCTGGGAACACTTCACTTTCCGCTAGCCCTGGGCAGAGGCAATGGGGCTGGGAACACTTCACTTTCCGCTAGCCCTGGGCAGAGGCAATGGGGCTGTACTTCACTGCTCTTTCCAAAGCCCGCAGGGGCTCATGTTCCTCCCCCAGCACCCTGCCTGCTGGGGTGCCCACCCACCACACGGCCCCTCTGCTCAACGCCTTCCTCTGGGACTCCCCAGTCGTTGCTTCCTGTTCCTGTAAGAAGCCCTGAGGGGTCCCAGTTTCTCTGTTCTCAGCAGAGAATTCTCCCAACCCCAGCCCAAGCCTCAGCCCTCTGTCTAGTCCAGATCTTGCCAAAATTCTAAGATCATGGAGGCAAAACACGGGCAGTGAGTGAGGCCCCAAAAGTGAGTGGCTTGCCAGGGACCCCCCCCACCCCCAGCCAGACTCACAGGAGTCCAGAAGTTTCCCAGGTGAAGTTAGGAGTCCAGAAGTTTCCCAGGTGAAGGATGTGCAACGTCCCTTATCTTGCAACGTGCAGTGCCTGTAGTTTAGACCAAGAGGATGGCAGGTGCAAACTCGGCTCGCTCACACACCAATTCATTAGGCAAATTGACAGGCAAGTCAAAGCTGGCTGGTTCATAGCCCACACAGGATCCCACAGAAAACCTGACACCTGGAAAATTACTCTCGAATCCTCAGTAGAACTCCCACCCTTCAGGGAGGTGAGTGTTCCCTCCCACTGAGGGAAGCCTATGGCTGCTCCGCCTCACCTGGCCCAGCCCCTCCTCCCTGGCACCAGGAGGAGTCCCGAGGGGAGCACCTGGGATGGCAGATCCCTGCAGGGCAGCGGAGGTGAGGTGCTGTCCACGCTGTCCGGACAGGAGACTCTTCAACAGGCATGACTTTGACTTGCCAAACACTCTGCTTCACCAAATACACCTCCAAGTGTCCTTATTTCCCTGACTATTCCCCTCTGTCCTTACCTGCCTAAGTGGCCACACGCCTCTTGAGAACTGCCCCTGTTCTGGAGAAAGTACCCACGAATCCTAGAGATCATGTAATCCAAAGAGCTCCCCACCCTTGCATGGGTGGGGCAGAGCTGGAGATGTCCCAACGTCCGCTGCTGCCTTTGCATCTGCTGCCACACGGTGTCGCTGTTGAAGATGGTCCCTGCACGGCTGCATGGCCAACACTCGGCCGTGGCCACCAGGATGTCCTTGCTGGCCTAGACTCTCACGCCTGCCTCAGAGGGGTGCCCCACATGGGAACCAACCATACTGTTTAAGTCACAGTGACATGCTGATGTAGATTGGATGTTTGTCCCCTCCAAATTTCAGGTAGAAATTTAACCAACATGGAGGTGGTGCCTGCTGGGACGTGTTTGGGTCACGGGTGGATCCCTCATGAACAGTCCAGCACTGTCCTCATGGTAACTAACATCCACTCTAGTAGTTCCTGAGGGAGCTGGTTGTTAGAAGGGTCCTGGCACTGCCCTCCCTGCTCCCTCCCTCACCACGTCCCCTCTGCTCTGAGAAGAAGCTCCCTGAGGCCTTCCCGGAAGCAGATGTTGGTGCCAGGCTTCCTGTAGAGCCTGCAGGCCCGTGAGCCACTTACACCCCTTTTCTTCACGAATTACCCTGTCTCAGATGTTCCTTTATATGAATAGCAAAATGCCAAACGGATGGAGACATGCATTTGCCCTGACCCCAGCACAGTCCCTGGGCTCAGGAAAACGTGCAGTGCAGTCCGTGGGCTGTGCCATCTGTAGGCTGTGCCGTCCGTGGGCTGTGCTGAAGCCACCGTGATCCCCTAAACCCTTTGACACATGTGGATACGTCCCTTCCTGTAAGGCACAATCACTCCTCCTCATGGACTTCTGTGTCCTGTTTTGTAACCATAGGTCCTTGGTTGGGGCCACCCCAATTGTATCAGGTGGGATCCAACCAGTCAAACAAAAGGGATTTAATATGGAGGACCGATTGCCCAAGTGAGGGAAGAGCTGAGGCTTTGACCAGGCTCACAACTGCCGAAACCGCCTACCAACACCCACAGGCTGGAAGGGCTGGGAGCTGGGGTTCCGGCAGTCGGTGGGGGGCCTACAGCAGGCAACTCCAAGCTTGGAGACTGCGTGTTGGTCGCCTGGAACGGTCCGTGGTGGAGAGACAGACAGAGATACAGACACTATGATTGGCAATGCTACACGCCACGGCTGCGCTTCCAACAGCCTATTGTCAGACACTGGCCAGCACACCCCCAACTTGCTCTCCCAAAACCCCCAGACGCAGAGCACCTCCCCAGTCCGACGGACGCGACCGAGACACGCAGAGAACCTCCCCAGTCCGACGGACGCGACCGAGACACGCAGAGCACCTCCCCAGTCCGACGGACGCGACCGAGACACGCAGAGCACCTCCCCAGTCCGACGGACGCGACCGAGACACGCAGAGCACCTCCCCAGTCCGACGGACGCGACCGAGACGCAGAGCACGCCCCCAGTCCAACAGATGTGACTAAGACAGGACGCACAAGAGATTCCTTTCAGAGCAAAGGTCTACAGAAACGCCAGCTCCTGTCCCAGGTACTCGGGAAAACTGCTGCCAACCATTCTCTTCTCCTTAGAGGAGGAGGAGGAGGGAGGACAGAGGAGGATGAGGGAGGACACAGGAGGAGGATGAGGGAGGACACAGGAGGAGGACGAGGGAGGACACAGGAGGAGGACGAGGGAGGGAGGAAGATGTTTATATACGGCTGAAATTTTAATCCCATTTAATTCTTCAAATACCTTAAGTAGTACTGAGCACTCCTGTGCCCACTTAAGGAGAAACAGAGGCTCGGAGGAGTAAAATGACTCCATACAAGACACACGCATCACAGAGGCCGACCCAGGGGGTCCCACCCAGATCCATGTGACCCCAAACCTGCGACCTTCAACCCTGCCTGGCTGCCCAGTATTTTTTTCTTTTTAAACAGTCATGTTTTAAATGGCAAGGATACAAGCAAATAGAATTTAATAAAACTTAATAGCAGGCCTGCTTCTCCCATTGATTCAATTAAAATCTGGCTCTGCAGCAGATTCAGAAAAATCCACGTCATCTGTTTGACATGGTTCATTGGCACCTGACGACCGGGGCTCGGAGCGGCCGGTACAGGAGCAGGCACTCCCCCAGCCCGACGACAGGGGCTCGGAGCAGCCAGTACGGGTGCAGGCACTCCCCCAGCCCGATGACCGGGGCTCGGAGCGGCCGGTGCGGGAGCAGGCGCTCCTGGTGGAAGCAGTGAACAAATACACACGTCATTCTTCTCCTTTCTCTGCTCTTGATAGAGATCCTGGGCATCCGAATTTAATTTTGCCTCTAATAAAAATGCCCATTGCCTGATGAGTCTCATTTATGGCTCAGACCGACTTCAAGAGTGGGTCCTACAGGAAGCAGCATGCGGGGGGGGCCTGTCCCCAGGAGCGGGGCAGCCTCGAAGGGCCCCAGCAGGGGTGCAGGCCGGGCTGGTGTTGACCAGGGGCCCAACCACACAGAGCGTGGGGGTCTCCCAAACACTCCCTCGTCATCACAGGCAAGTTTAGCTCTGGTCGAAGCAAGGGGAAGGTGAAGGGCAGACTCCAGGGCGGGGGCCCCCTCTGAGAGGGCTGCAGGGACAGCTCTGGGGTCTGCAGAGAGGGGCAGCAGCAGACACACCTGGGCGCCCTCTCCTCACTGGGCAGCTTTGGGGAAATTACTTTCTCCTTCTGAACTGCATTTAATTCAAACAAGAAATAATACAGGCTCCAAAGCTTTGCTTTGAAGATTAGGAAAAAAGCACATCATAACTGTTATATTCCTGGGTGGTTTTGATTTTTTTATTTGCTTCTTGTATTTCCTAAATTTTCTGCAAAGAAACTTGTCTGCAACGAAGGATAATTGGCTCTTTTGTTTATTAATATTCATTTGACACCCACTGCACAGCGGGCGCTCTCCCTCACAGCAGCGGCCCATTCCCGAGCGCGTGCAGTGCCTAGCTTCCGGCCCGAGACACAAGGAGGGCTTCTAGAGGGATCACCGTCCACGCTGACACTGCTGTCCGGTGACCAGTCCCCGTGCTGGAGCTCACTGGCTGGTGACCAGTCCCCGTGCTGGAGCTCACTGGCCGGCCCGCAGGCCGCCTCTCACACCATGTCCTCCCCACCTGCCAGGCACCGGCTCACCAGCCTGCCGGGCCTGTGAATGCCCCAGTCCCAATCACGAGGCCCTCCCATGTTTGTGCCCAGCGCTGCTGTAACACAGGACCACAGCAGGTGGCTTCAGATGGCAGAATTGATTCCCTCACAGTCCCAGAGTCCAAGGCCCAGGTGCCAGCCCGGCTTCCTCCGAGGGCTCCGGGGCTCCTCCCACCTCCTCCCTCGCTGGGCCTGACCCGTCTCTGCTGCCGGTGGCCTGTTCCTCACCCCACCCCCATGTGTCTCCTCCACGCCTGCACCCTCTCGTCACCTTGCAGGGACAGCAGCCTCGGATTCAGGGCCCACCCTGCTCCAGGGTGGCCTCATCTTAATGTTCCATCAGCTAAGGCCTTCTCTTTAAATAGGTCTCATTCGGGGGTTCTGGGTGGACGTGAATTTTGGAAAGACAGCCCATGACCTTCTCCTATTGCCCAAATAGGCCCAGAAACTTCCCCGAGTCCTCCGAGGTGCAGAGCTGTGCTGAGGTCTGTGGGGAGAAGAGAAAGGCTGACCTGCCCCGCTGGACACGTGCTATCCCCGAGCCCCTCAGTCCATCGTCAGAACGGCCCCTCGACATGTGCGTGGCCAACGAGCACACGGAAAGGCACGACGCCAGCAGGCACCGGGGGCTGCAGAGGAAAGCCACGGCGGCCGGACTGGCTGAAGCACCCACGGGCAGCACGGGCGAGCCTCGGAGCGCCCCAAAGGCCCACCCGCTGCTGGCGGGGTCACGAAAGGCCACGGGCACTTGGAGCCACCATGGGTCACCACCTCCCTATAACCAAAGGTAACTCACAGCACCCCGGCCCGGCAATCTCACACCTGGATTCACCCAAGGGGCATGAAGACACGTCCCCAAAGACTTACAGTAAAATACTCACACCGGCCTTATTCACAATAGTCCAGAGCCGCAAGCAGCCCGGTGCGTGAGCCCTCAAGTCAGGGGCAGCCTCGGCGGGGCCTGTGCCTGAACCGGCCCTTGGCGGAGAGGAGGAGCGGCCGCGCGGCGGGAGAGGGGCCGGGCAAAGCGCACATCCGCCCCTGGAACCCGCACAGCCGGTCACCGCGCGCCCGGCGGGGTCGGAGCCGAGGCTGCCTGTGACCCCGGGAGCTGGGCGGAGGGCACAGGATCCGTCCGGATTTTCTGTGCAACGTCCTGGGAATCTAAAACTGCGTCAAAGTAAAAAGGTCTTTTGGTTTTGTTGTTGTTTATTCTACTTTAATTTCTGGGGCACATGCGCACAACGTGCAGGTTGGTTACAGACGCCCAGCGGCTTCGGAGGTGCCGTGCAGAAAGCGGCTGCCCGAGGCCGGGGGAGGCGCCGGGGAGGGCGGGGAGACGCCGCGGGAACATTCGTCACACCCCGCGGACCTGCCCCCGAGACGGGCGCCGCCTGGGACCCGCGCGCAGTGACTTAAAAGGGCGAAGGGCCGCCCCAGGCCCCGCCCTCGACTCCTCCGTCGCTGCGTCTCCTCCGTGCTCCGTCCCCGGAAAGACGGGCCCCGCCCCGACTCCCTCGGCGAAGAGGCCCCCGCGGCCGGCCGAGCTCCGTGGACTCCGCAGGAGCGGCCCCGCCCCTCACACTACGCCGGGCGGTTCCCTCCGAGCCCCGCCGGGACAGCGTCGACGCTGCACACACCCCAGAGAAGCCAGAGGACGGCGCCTGCACCGGACACAGCGCAACACCGGCACAGCACAGCGTCCACACCACAAGTGAGCCTAGGCAGCTGTGTCTACACTGCAGACGCCGGCCTGAGCGCACGCGTCTTCATGCAGGCTCAGCAGAGGGGGAAGAACACCTCCCCGAGGGTGGAAGAGCTGTGGCCAGCAGACAGATGGACGGACAGACGGACACAGGCGAACAGGCAGCGCAGGGGTGAGCCGAGCCGGTCAAATGGGCCAGGACCCGGCTCCGTGTGCCCTTCACAGTCAGGATGACAGAACCCCGTGGAATATGAAAAATGCCGGGAGACAGACCCCGGAGGCACAGCCCCTCACCGGGCAGGGAGGCCGCCAGAGGGAAGCGCAGCTCCAGGTGCGCGCCCCCCCACGCCCACCCCATCCCCCGCTGGGCAGGGAGGGACCCCACCTGCGCCCTCAGGCGGTGCTCAAGATGGGGATAGGGTGAGCTGCAGAACCGATTTCATCTCTGGAGTGAAATGGAATGATGGGTTTGTGTGAAATCAGGACAGAGCTGGGGAGGTGGCGGAGCCGGGACGGGAAGAGGGCAGAGCAGTGGGCTCATTCCCCGGAACCAGCATCTCCTGGCCCGGTTTAGCCACTGAGGGAAGCTTCTCTGTGTATTGAGCCTGGCTGCCCAGAGAGCAGCCCCACCCTCCCTCCTGCTCCTGCTCCTCTCCCTCCCCCAACTTCTCGTCCCCTCTTCCTCACCCCTGCCCCCACCTCCAGCCTGACTCTAACGCTGCACTGGCCTTTAGTGTCTCAGAACACAGAGCAGTTGCTGGGCAGAATCCCCCGTGCCACGATGCGTCCACGCACAACACGGGAACTAAACCACCCGAAACGCAGCAGGTTAAAGCAGCGCTGGGCTCCTGGTCCTCACAATTCTCTGGGTCCATGGGGGCTCCCTGGGCTGGCTCATGGGCCGCCATGGTCACCAGCAGGGCTGGCCAGGCCGGGCAGCAGACGGCTCCTGGCAGCTGGCGGGTGGGGCTGGCCGTCGCTGCGGCCTGGGCTGTCCTCCGCACGGCCTCCTGCCTCAGTTTTCTGTTTCTGATGAGCCCCGTATCTAGCGGTTCAGAGCAACGCCAGTTCATCCCCTGGCAGCTTCCATGGCCAGGACTCAGCCACGGTGTGGGTGGATTTGCCACTCAGGGCTCACAGCCTGGAGTCCAGGTGCCAGCAGGGCAGGTGCCGTTCTGCAGGCTCTGGGGAAGAACCCGCCTGCAGGCTCGCGGGGGGGCCTGGCAGCTCTGGGGGCCTGCAGCGGCAGGGCTGAGGTCCCGGCCTCCTTGCAGGTTGTCAGCCGGGTCCCCTCTCGGCTCCTGAAGGCTGCCGGCATCTTCCTCTCAAGGGCCCTTCCCATCTTCCAACCGGAAACAGCATGGCCAGTTCTCCTGGCTCTGAGGGGCTAGTGAGCAGGCGAGGCCACCCCGATGACCCCCCTTTTGAGTTTAACTGAGGACGGCGCACGTCCTCACGTTCCAGGGCTCCTGTGGAGAAATTCCGCACACCACCCTCACCTTCCTGTAGGTCAGGCCGGTTCCTTCTGCGGTGGGCGTGGGAGAGCCACAGCCCAGTGGAGAGGCGTTGCAAGGCCCCACACCCCTTCCACCATGTTCTACCAACCACGGCAAATCAAAGGCCACCGAGACCCAGGGCCTAGGGACACAGACCCATCCCGGGAGGGGAGGTGCCGCCCAGTCACAGTCCCACCAGTGCATGGACACAGGGAGAATTGCCCGGGCCCCGGGTTTGGTGAATCCGGCAGCCCGCCCTCTGCCCCAGCGAGTCCCTTCCCCTCTCATAAAACCGCATTCTCCCCTCCCTAGACCACCAGAGCCCCATCTGATTAAGGCATCGAGATCAAAGCTCAGCAGAGGGCGGCTCATGATGGGCAGCTCAAAAAAATAAACCCACCAATCAGAGTCCGTGTTCCTGTGACCGGTGGCGGGTTCGGATGCAGAGGAGGCTTCTCAGTGCGGTTCCTCCTCATCTCGGAACCTGCCACCCCACTCAAGCCCGACATAGGCCAGGACAGCCAGGACGGCCGCAGCGAGGGCAACACGAGGCCCGTCGACATCCTGAGGCCCCCGGGCCTGTCGCCGAGTCCCGGCTTGGGGAGTGTCCCCGGGCCACACTGGTCCTGCTCCCGGCTGTGTGGTCTCCCAGGCGCGTGGCTCCTCCCTCCGGGGCCCAGGCTCTGGTGTGAGCCACTTTTTCCATAGGAGACGCCCATACTTGCAGCTCACGCCTTTGTCTGGTGCCCTGGCCTCACACCTATAGGAATTGGGTACCTGGGGGCCTCTTCATCTTTACTTGTCTCAGCTTAGAGAAGCCCAGCTACACTTCCTCCATGCCTGGATTCATGCACGGCCCCACAGGGTGAGGCCTGGACACCCTCACGGGCACTGGGGCTCCACGGATGCAGAAGGCAGCCTGGCCCGGTAGCTCGGGGGTCTGAGATGGAGGTGGAGTAAGACAGAGTGACAAAGGCTGCGTCCTGGAGGCAGGCTCGGAGCCTCCCTGAGCTCAGAGAGCCCGCGTGCGCCAGGAAGCCACACCTGCAGGACCCGAGTCGGAACTCAGAGGCTGGTACAGCCGCGGTGCTTGTCCTGTAGATAAGAATGGCCTCCTCTGGCGGCCAAAGTTAATTAAACTGACAATCTTGATAAGTTGCACAGTTACCTGCTCGGGGACAAAGAAGATGGGAGCCTTGTTTGTGGTTTCTTCTTGTTCTTTCCTGTGCCCCACAGTCATTTTAAAATTAAATTAAATGGCTTATCTGCACTAACCCAAGTTGACCGGCTGGTATTTCCTGGGCGGCGAAGTGCTGGCTGCCCGGCCTGTGCCCTGCACACGCTCCCCATCAGAGCACAACGTCGCCGGGCCACGCTTACAGGGCTTTGAAGATGGATTTCAAAACTGGGATCATTTCCCCCTTAACGGGCATAGTTCAGTGAGATCTGATTTTTTCCCTTTCTAACCTCAGAACGTGGCCTTCCTGGGGGTGTCCGGTGGGTGGTCCCGATGTCCCCACAGAAATGAAAGCGGCCTCCTGGGCAGTGCTCACGCTTCTCTCTGTCTGGCTTTGGGGGCTGCAGGAAGCAAGAGGTCCTGTCTCAGCAGCAAAGTCGACGCCAGGGCTCAGCTGACCGCAGCCCTCCCTCCCTCCCTCCCACCGACTCCGACCGTGGCTCAGAGGGAGGTCAGGAGCCGCGAAGGGAACAGGGAAATTTTACTGGTTCTGACCCAGTGAAGACATGGGGACTTGCTACATATTCAAATGAAACAAAATAACACAGCAGCTCTTCAGATGTGTAAGAAAAGGAGGGAGGGAGGGAGGAAGGAAAGAAGAAAGAAAAAGAAAAGGAAGGAAGAAAGGGAGGGGCGGAGGGAGAGAGAAAAGAAAGGGAAAGAAAAGAGAGGAAGCAGAGGTTGCCACAAGACAGAGAGCCATTCCGGAAGAAAACAGCCCCAGGAATGGAAGAGCACTGCGCAGGCACCTCTCACTTCAGAAGATCGAAGCTGGCAAACTTGTAACAGAAGACCACGGGGTTTAGGTGACAAAACTGAAGAATGAGATGAAAACAACCGATCACAGCGTTGAATAAACGAAAGAACACCCAAAAAACACCAAGATGAAACGAGAAAACCCAGAGGAGCGGAAACCAGACTAAGCACAGCTGAAAACTGAGCTGCCGACGAGAAAAAATGCTTGTGGCGGGGGCGCCGATTCGAGATGGTTTTTAGTTTTTGACACCAGGTCTTGCTGTGTCACCCAGGCTGGAATGTAGGGCACGTTCTCAGCTCCCTGCACCCTTGACCTCCTGGGCTCAGGTGATCCTCCCGCCTCAGCCTCCCAGGTAGCTGGGACCACAGGTGCACGCCACCAAGCTGGGCTCATGTTTTTTTGGAGAGATTGGGTCTCACTGTGTTGCCTGGGCTGGTCTCAAACTCCTGGGCTTGACCAATCCACCTGCCTCAGCCTCCCAAAGTGCTAGGATTACAGGCATGAGCCACAACACCCGGCCAAAAATGTTTTAATACATAGGGTAAAGCAACAGAAAAAACGATAATGAATTATTTGGAATACACACAAAGATAAGTCCGCACAGGGAGAAGAGGTGCCTCTAAGAAGGAAAACCTCAAAAGTAAAACGGGAGAGCTGCTTAAAGCTATCACACAAGAAAATTCACCTGACATGAAAGAAGGATTAATCCGTACATTGAAATAGACTGTGTTTCAGGAAAAGATGACACAGAATTTTATATTGGCACATGATCCAGGTGGAATAAATACAGCCAGACCCTGACAAGAGGGAAGTCAGCCCCAGGCATCACGCCAATGCTTGATGTCAAAAGTCAATGGGTGCCAGGTATGGTGGCTCAAGCCTGTAATCCCAGCACTTTGGGAGGCTGAGGCAGGTGGATCACGAAGTCGGGAGATCAAGACCATCCTGGCTAACACGGTGAAACCCCGTCTCTACTAAAAATACAAAAAATTAGCCGGGCATGGTGGCCGATGCCTGTAGTCCCAGCTACTCGGGAGGCTGAGGCAGGAGAATGGCGTGAACCCGGGAGGCGGAGCTTGCAGTGAGCCGAGATCGCGCCACTGCGCTCCAGCCTGGGCAACAGAGCAAGACTCTGTTTAAAAAAAAAAAAAGTCAGTGGGATGGGTCTTCTGCTCCTGGGAAGATAGAGCAGAGGTATTTTTCTCTATTCATCTCACTAAGCATGGCATAAAACTCTATATGAGAAAACTTAGGACCCTGCAGGGTGGAGAGAAGCAGGCTGGCTAGGGACCTCAGGACCCAAAGGATGATGTGGTGGTGAAGGCCTTGGATTTTCTTCTTGCTTCATCGATCCCATGCTTGGACTTGAAGAAGCTGGTAATCCAGAAACAAGGATCAAAAAATAAAAATTAAAAAGCTCCAGCACTAGCCTAATCAATTCAATCATCAAAGCTCCCACCTCAAGAAACTATGAAAGAGGAGCAAAATCAACCCAATGCAAGCAGACAGAAGGAAAGAAAAAATGACAGAAGGAAAGAAAAAATGACAGAAATCATGGAAAGCAAAGCAGAGGAACAATACAGAAAGTCAAAGAGCTGGTTTCTTTAAACATATGTAAATGGGTGAACCTCTAGCAAAAATGACCAAAAAAAGACACAAATCACAAGTATCAGGAAGGAAGGAGACACACACCAACCCCATAGATATAAACATGAAAAGAACAAGGGCAGCTGGACACGGGGGCTCACGCCTGTGATCCCAGCACTCTGATATAAACGTGAAAAGAACAAGGGCAGCTGGGCACAGTGGCTCACGCCTATGATCCCAACACTCTGGGAGGATCACTTCAGTCCAGGAGTTTGAGACCAGCCTGGGCAACATAATGACACCCTTTTTGTACCAAAAAAAGTTTTAAAATTAGCCAGGTGGTACCTGCCTGTAGTCTCAGCTACTTTGGAGGCTGAGGTGGGAGGATCACGTAAGCCCAGGAGATTGAGGCTGCAGTGAGCTATGATTGCAGCACTGCACTCTAGCCTGGGTGACAGAGTGAGACCCTATTTAAAAAAAAAAAAAAAAAAGGAATAAGGAAATATTTGACAACCCAGTTGAAATAGACCAATTCCTAAGAAAACACAGCAGACCACAACCTACCCAGCATGAACCAGACAGTGTGACTACCCCGTAACTATGAAGGAAATGTAATATATAATTATAAAACTCCTAATAAAGGAATCTCCAAGCCCAGATTGTTTGGCAAATTTTACCACACATTTAAATAAACATTTACCCCAATTCTATGCAGCTCTTCCAGCAAATAGAAAAGTAGAGAACATTTTCTAGTTCATTTTATGGATTAACAGTACCCAGATACCAAAACTAGATAAAAATCGTACCAAAAAAGAAAATCAGACCAATATCTCTTATGAATATAGATGGAAAAATCCTTAACAAAATGTTAGCAAATTCTGCAATATATGAAAAGAATCATATGCCACGTACAAGAGAAGGTTAACCCGGGGACACAAGTCTGGTTCAATTATTTTTAAATCTGTCAATATAATCCACAATTCTAACAGGCTTAAGAAAAAAAATCACACAATCTCACAGAAAAAAAGCGTGATAAAATTCAACATGGATTCATGACCAAAACTCTCAGAAGGAACAGAGAGGAGCTCTGTTCCCCCAGCTCAGTAAGGAGCATTGACAAAAATACCCACAGCTGGTATCTTACTCAACAGTGAGAGAAGACCGCTTTCCCCAATAGAGGAGCACAGCCAGGGTGAGTGTGTCACCATGCTCTCTCAGCCCAGCACTGGAGCTCTCATCACCGGTGCCATCATGCCAGGAAAGAAAAGAAAAGGCGTCTGGCTGGAAAGGAGAAAGTGGCACCATCTGACACTCATGCTCAGCCCCCACACTGGCTCGGTGAGGAGCTCCAACCAAGAATATTCTGACCAGAATGACTCTTGGGACACTCGTGGGATGGGAAAGACTCCCAGAGGCTGGAAGTTGTGGTGACAAGAGCTTGAAGCCACCAGGGGCTACCGCACAGGCCCGAACATGGAGCCAAACCAGAGAAAGCAGAGGTGGCCATTTGAGCCCTGGATCAAGCCACACCTGAAGGCAGTTACCAATAGGAGTCAACACACTCCCGATTGCCTGAATCAGTTTTGGTTTGTTTTTCTGTCACTAGCAACCCAATGACTCCTAAGTAACATAAAGGGGGATGGTTTCGTGTTTGGAGGAAGAGCGAGGCCTGGGGGGACATTTTCTGTTGTTGTTAGGATGGGAGGTTTGGACTGTTTGCCAGCTGAAAGGGAGCAGTGCCTGGGAGAGGCAGATCCAAGAGGCTGGGCTCTCAGGGAACCCAGAGAGAGGAGAAACAGCCACAGAGAGTGAGAGAAGGAGAGGAACACCAGGGGGACACAGGGACGTCCGGCCCCACTCCTGTTCATCTGAGGACAGACACACAGTTCCACGCACCATTCACCCGAGGACAGCCACGCGGCCCCACGCACCGTTCACCCGAGGACAGATACGCGACTCCACACATTCATTCCCCAGGCACTTATCGAGGGCATACTGTGCACCCGCGCCGCCCTTAGCTCCTTCCCCAGAATTTCCCATCGTGAGCCCCTCTCCCACCAACACCCTGGGCCATTGCCATCTTCTCCAGGAATACTCAACTGTGGAGAGCAGAGAAACCGACTTCCCACCCGCATGGACCCTGCGGAACCTGTGCACCTGGGAGTGCTCAGAGTCAAGGCTTTCCCCCTCCTGCCGCCCAGGGGCAGATGGTCAGTGGCCACGGCTGCCTCCACCAGCACACGTTCAACCATGCCACACATGCCACACACGCCACACACGCAACACACACATACACAATACACCACCCATGAAACACATCACACACGCCACGCAGCCACACGAGGCTCACACACCACACACTCTCCAGCCCTCCTGCCCACCCAGGGGCGCCACAACTGCGGTGCTGTCCCGGCCACACCTGGGCGGGTGGGAAGGTCAAGGTCAGCCCCGGGGCCCCCAGGCCTGGAGGGTGCAGGGAGAGGAGGAGCGGAGGTGCAGGCACCGTGGCCGGGCAGTCGGAGGCGCCCCATCACTCGGGGGGGGGGGGGGGGGAGACAGACTTCACCAGCGGCAGGAAGACAGCGTGGCGGGCACACGAGGTGGAAACAGTGAAGGGACACACCTGTGCTGGTGGCCTCACCCCTCACCCCCTCCAGTCATCGCCAGCCAAGGCGGCCGCTATGCAGGGGCTTGGAAGGACGTGGACCCCAGCACCCAGCGCTCACCGCCCGCCTCCACCACACCCTCCAGCAGCTGAGGCTGACGGCTGATGCCAGCATGTGAGAGCATGTGCTGTCTGCTGGGTGTGTGCGCGCTGGGCTGTGCAGGGTGCGAGTGAACGTGTGCTGGGTGGGTACATGTGCTGGGTGTGTGTACTGAGTGTGAGTTGTGCTGGGTGTGTGTACTATGTGTGCGTGCTGGGTGTGTGTACCGAGTGTGTGTGTGTGTGCTGTGTGAGTTGTGTTGGGTGTGTGTACTGAGTGTGTGTGTGGTTTGAGTTGTGTTGGGTGTGTGTACTGTGCGTGTGTGTGCTGTGTGAGTTGTGTGGGGTGTGAACGTGCGCTGAGCATGTGTGTGTGCGGTGTGAGTTGTGCAGGATGTGTGTACTGAGGTGTGTGTGTGTGCTGTGTGTTGTGTGGGGTGTGAGCCTGTGCTGAGCCTGTGCTGGGTGTGAGCGTGCATTGTGTGTGTGCTGTGTGTGTTGTGTGGGGTGTGAGCATGTGCTGAGCCTGTGCTGGGTGTGAGCGTGCGCTGGGTGAGTGTGCCATATTAGTTGTGCAGGGTGAGTGTGCAAACATGTGTGCTATGTGTGCACTGGCGATGGGAGTGTGTGTTAGGTGTGTCAGGGGGTTGTTGCATGTTGCTGAGTGTGTAAAAGGCTCAAGGACAAAGATGGTGTAAAACATGAGAACTCGGCGTGGCCGTCGGGGATGGGGCAGGTCCCTACCCCAGCTCTCCCCTCGGGGCCGACACCTGCCCTCCCTGGAGCCCACACTCCCTGCAAACCTGGAAGTGCCCAACACGAGACCTTTCAGGGCCGTGGTGTCCACGTGCACCCCACACAGACACCCCCAAAGCCCCACAGAATGCAGGGGCACCCGTGGGCCGGAACGAGTGTACACCCCGAGACCCACAGGCCCTCCCAGCAGTGAGGAGGCTTCCCGCAGTGGCCGTGACGGAGACACGCGGAGCTGCAAGTCTGCTAAGTCCTTCTCTGTTTCAGCAGCTGCGCTGGCTTCGTTTCTATTTTCATTTTTTAATTGTGTAAAATTATATGTATTATAATACACGTAATATGCATTTTATGCAGATATTGAATACATACAATCATACATATATCATTTCATTTAATAACAGAAAACTCACCATCGTCACATTTTTCAGTGCACTTTAGCAGGATTAAGAGCAGTCAGGCCTCTGTGCAGCCGAAATCCCCACCCCCACCCCCAGAACCTGTCATCTTCCAAACTCAGGCTTTGTCCCCATGAGACACGAGCTCCCCAGCCCTAGGAGGGCCTGTTTCCTGGCTCGTAGACAGCCACCTTCTCACCGTGCCCTCACATGTCCAAGAGAGCAAGAGGGGTATGTGTGCATGGATATGTGTGTGTATGCATAGATGTCTGTGCGCATGTGTGTGCATGCATGGATGTGTTTGTGCATGGAAGTGCGTGTGCATGGATGTGTGTGTGTGTATGTGCATGCATGGATGTGTTTGTGCATGGAAGTGCTTGTGCATGGATGTGTGTGCATGTGTGTATAGATGTGAGTGTGCACGGATGTGTGCACGTGTGCATGGATTGTGTGCCTGCATGGATGTGTACATGAACGTGTGTGCATGGATGTGTGTATGTGTGCACGCACGTGTGCGTATGTTTGCAGCCCTAATCTCAAGGAAGGACTCGAGCTGGGGCAGCCTTGACGAGGAGCAGCTCCTCCTTCCATCGACCTCCAGGCAACCCCGCCAGGGGCTTGAACTCTCACCCATTCCCTACAGCAGGTGGTGGGTGACAGAGAAGGAAGGGCCTGCCCTGCCAGCCCCACTCCCAGGCCCTGCCTGTGCCAGGGGTTCCAGCCAGTCCTGAAGAGCCTGGCCAGGCCCCCAGCTCACATAGACATGGCTCTGCAGAAACACAACCTTTGCCCACCAAAGCCACGGAGGCCGCCCACCATGGACAGAGCTTCCTTCTCCCTACCCTTTCCTGAGCTGTCAGCATCCCCATCAGCCATTGCACAGACAACTCTAACAACCAGTTAAGCAAAGAGCAAGCTGCAGGCATGGGTGGATCCAGCTGCTTTGCCTTCTGTCCCCAGCTCCTCCCTGGGGGCCCTGTACCCAAGGGGACATCTCTGCAGGACCGTTCAGCAACTGTGGCTCCGCTGGGACCACTATTAGCAATAACGGCAGCTACTTGGATCGGGACCTTGCTTTGGGGCAGGCTGTGCCCCGCTTTGTGCATGCCTTCTCATTCATTCTCACACCAACCCTGTTAACAGATAAGGAAACTGAGGCCAGAGAGGTAAAGCACTGGCCCCAAGCCCACAGCAAGGGCGTGGAGCAGCCGAGATTCGCGGTGACACTGGCCCCAGCCACACGCACGGTGTCGGCCACAGCACCCTGAACTGGAAATGTGCTGTCCTTTGTGGAGGCAAGAGGGACTGGAGCTCATGCCCTGGGTCTGACACGTTACCTGAAGCCAAGAACTCGGCAGAGCTTCCTGCTTGGTGCTTCGGCTGCGCTGGCGACAGCAGGAAGAGTAGAAACCCGAGAACGCCCACAGCACGCCAGTAACTTGGAGGGGGCGGGGCTCGCCAGGGCACACGAATGGCACAAATGTTAAGCTGAAAACATGATACATCCCTAAACAAACAACAGCTCTGAGAACGGCATTTACGCACAACAGAACGGGCGCGACTCGGAGACACGGAGGACACTCGCTGAGAGAGAGAAGCCAGACATGGCACGCAGGGTGGCAACGACACAAGATGCCAGACACGGAATGCAGGAGAGGCAGGTGCGGCCCGGGGCGCAGGCCCACATGGTCCTGGGCGTGAACGCTGCTGTCTGGGTGGATGGAAACGTCCGGCTCCCCCGGTGGGGGCTGCCTGTGGCTGCGTTTGTCAGACTCGCCACCCTACACGTGTAAAGTGGGTGCGTCTCCAAGCAGGGAACAGCCTTGCTTCAGTGGCTCTGTCACCAAAGCTGGATTCCCTGAATTTAATCACAGGGAAATGTCAAAAATCCAGATTGAGAGGTGTTCAGCAGGACAGCTGGTCAGCACTCTTCAACTGGTCAGCAGGTACATTTGAGGCCCTGAATCCCAAGGGACAGCCCAACCTGCAGTCATACAATCCTGAGGTCACGAAAGGGAAAGGCTGGGGGCAGCCACAGCCCCATGTAAGGGGAGTGGGGGCGGGGGGAGAATCACAAGCCACAGATCAAGGAACAGGAAGTGTTCTCAGGGACAGCTGGAGACATCTGCATTATTTTTCGACTTGGGCCAGCCGGAAACGATTTCAAAAACGAAAAAAGTCAGAAACCAACACTTTTCAGGGGTCTCATTCTGTCGCCCAGGCTGGAGTGCAGGGGGTGGGGGGGGCGGGTTCTGAGCTCAGTACAGCCTCAAACTCCCGGGCTCCCCACCCTCCCGTCACACCCTCCCCGGTCACTGGGACTACAGGTGCACACCGCCATACCCAGCTAAGTTTTTAATTTTTTTTGTTGCCATGTTGCCCAGCCTGGTCTCGAGCTCCCAGCCTCAAACACTCCTCCCACTTTGGCCTCCCAAAGAGCTGGGATTACAGGCGCGAGCCACTGTGCCCGGCAGAAAAAATACTTTTTTAAATGCACATTTTATTGTACGTAAATCATACCTCAATAAAGGTAATTTTTGCCTTTAAAGTATATAAACGATAATTCTACCTAGTAAATAAAATATGTACTTGTATATGCATATAAAAAGGTTTGAAATAAACATACCTAAATACCACAGTGATTAAATAGCACTAGTGAGTTTACAAAGACTTTTTTCATGCCTTAATTTTGCTTTTCTGTTTTGTCTGTAATAAGAAAATATTCTACCATTTTTTCAGTTATAATTGTAAATAGTAATTATATATCATAACTATGTTATTCATTTTAATAAAGTTGTAATTAGTTGTAAATTCTATAGTTTTTCTAAAGTAAGAAAACATTCTTTAGAAAAAGTAAGAAAACATTCTTACTTTAGAAAAAATAAGAAAACATTCTTATTTTAGAAGAAATAAGAAAATATTCTCTTTTCTTATTTCTATATCCCTTCTTTACAGGGATGAGTGGAATGGGGCCAAGGGGTCTCTTCCTGGCTGAGGGACCCTTGCAGCAAGGTGGTCGGCTGTGGGTCACCCATGACACCAGCCAGGCAAGGGGTCTGGGTGCAGCCCCTCCTGGGCCCGTCAGGCCCCTGCCTGTGACTCAGGGCATGGCCGCCTCCTCCTAGAGCCTAGGGGCTCTGGAAATAGACCCGGCGTGCAGCCTCCCCACGGAGCCCAGCAACCCATCAGCCCACTCCTTTCCTCTCAGGGAAGTGGGCACAGACCCCACGACCCTGCAGTGCCACTCAAAGGTGAGTCCATCAGTCTTGCGCCCAGCCCGTGACAAGCTGAAAGCCGCCGGTCTCAGCTCCAGGCTGTCCCTGCTGCGTCTGCACAGTCCACGGCACTTCCAGTCACTCCCCACCGCCTCCTCCCCCTCGTGACTGCCCTCTAATTTAATTTCCTGTCAATCCCCAGAAAATGAGTTGTAACTGCTCTAGGAAACATCATCCATCCTTACAGTAAGAGCAAGTTTTATGTCTGCCCGCAGCCAGTCGCCGGGCAGAGCGACGCCTCTGAGCGAACATTCTCCACCAAGCCTCAGTCTCCGCAGGAGGGACCCTGTCCTCAGACCAGCGATGTGGGGGAGAGGGCCGCGATGGGGTGCTTTGGAGCCAGCACTCCCCAGAGCCTGCAAAAGCGCAGATTGCAGGCCCACCCCTGGAGCTTCTGAGCCAGAAGGACCCCAGAACTAGCATTCCTAACAGGCTCCCCGGGGCTGCTGTGCTCCAGGGACCCCACTTTGAGAATCAGGGGTCTAGAGCACCCCCGGCTTCTAGAAGCTAACACCCCGGGCCTCGAGCTCCCAGGAGGCGGCTCCTTTCGCCTGGACTTGGTTTCAGAGAGTCCTGCTTGTCAGCCACCCCATCTCCAGAGCATCATCAGGGTCCCCGCAGCTGCCTCTGACCTCACCCCTGCAGCCCCATTCCATGCGCCTCCCCTCTGCCGGGAGGGCGGCCTGGGTGACAGGGTGGGGCTGCATGTATTCACCCCCACGGGACAGGAAGTCAGTGTCAGAGGGGACAGGGCATGTGGTGACAGAAGCGGAGGCCAGGAGGGAGGGGAAGGGCCCAGCCCAGGAGTGCGGCCTCCGGACGCTGGGAAAGCAGGAGCAGCTCCTCCAGGAGGACCGTGGCTGCCTCCGCACTGCATTTTCTGGCCCACGGAGCCGAGAGGATCAATGGGTTGTTGAAGCCACCAAACAGCTTCCAGCTACTATTGTATTGCAGCAGGAACAGGGGACCAGCCGGGCCGGGAGCCTGGGTTGGGGCCGTTTGACGGCTCGGCGGCGGGGTAGGAGGTGTGGGAGCAAGGCCCCAGGAAGGGCAGCCAGCGCCCGTGGCGTCGGGGAAGAGCCTCCAGGCAGAGAGGGCCGCCCTGCGGAGGCAAATGCCGGGGTGTTCCCGGAGCAAACGGGGCCTCAGGGGTGCAGCCAGGGCCAAGGTGAGGGCTTTGGCTCTGGCTCTGAGGGGGTGGGAGCTGCTGGAAGGCTCTGGGCTGAGGCTCCCTCTGGCTGGGAGTGGGCAGAGCCAGCCAAGGGCGAGGTGAGCAGGCTCTGGGTGTGGGGAGACCTCGGGCGGCCAGGCCAGGCTCCCCAGAGCAGCGGCTCCGCCCAGGACCCACGTGGGGCAGGTGGACAGCAAGTCTCAGCCCTGACGGTGGTGCTGAGCTGGGGGCTGAGCAGGGAGCTGAGCTGCGGGGTCCGAAGCCTGGGTGGGATCCCCTCAGTGGGACCCGGCAGCCCTGGGGGGTGGGGGGGCAGGGGCGGGCCCAACACTGCCTCCTCCTCCCGTGTGGGGCTGGCACTGGGGGTGCCCTATCAGAGCCCCAGAAACCCAGGCCAGGGAGCACGGCCCTGCGCAGCCCTCAGCAGGCTCAGCTCTGGGGACTCTCAGAACTCAGCCCCTCCACAAGAGCCACGTCCAGATGCCACAGTCCCGCGGGTTAAAAAGAGGCCCCCATGACCCACGCACACCAGGATCACATCCGCTAGCTGAGGGGCTTGGGAAGAGACCACCCTGATTTAGGGTGGGGTCCTGGTAAGGAGAGGAGGGGAGACAGAGACACACAGGCCAGAGCAGGAGGGACGCAGCCACGGGACACGAGGTACCAAAACGGGGCACCCCAGAGAGGCCTGGGATGTACCCTGCCCTGGAGCCCCAGGGAGACCAGGACCTCCCACACCCCAGCTCCAGGCTTCAGGCCTCTGGTGTGGAGGGAACACATTCCTCTGCACGGCAGCCCCAGGGCACAACACCTCCCACAAGGCCTGTGGTGGGGGTGGGGGTCGCCCGGCAGTGGCTCAGCAGTTAGCCCTGAAAGCCGCTGGGAAGCTGACAGCCGCCCTGTCCGCTCCTCGCCGAGGTGGGCAGGGACCTGGGGGCCCCCCTCTCCTCCTGAGCTCGGCCAGCCCTGCAGCACCCCCCCGCTTTGCCTCAGTTCCACCACAGGGCCCTCACAGCCCAGCCCAGCCCTCCTCACCTCCCAGAGCAGCCCGGCTACCAGGGTTTATTTTGCCGTCCGAGGCGTTTCCTTGTGTTCTGAGATGAATCGGGAGCATGTTTTCCCACTTCCCGAGACCACATCGTTGAGGGTGGACCTGCCTCAACCAACAGCTCACGCTTTTCAATGCGCTCACCTCACTTGGCAGGTGATCTACCGTCTTATCTAAAGCAGCTCAACAGAAAACACGCCCACAGCTGAGCTGTATTCTAACTAAGCTAAGATCACGAAGCAAGTTCCACTGGCTCCAAGTTCCAGACACCCACTTCCTAGTGAGTCCTCTTACAAAACCCAAATTATCGTCCTGTTTGGCAGAGGGGATGGGCTAAGGGTCAGCTTCAGCTGTGAGAAACAGAAACCCCTACAAAACGGTGCCTTCCGTAAATCAGGTGCTTTAGTTCAACATCAAAACCAGGTGTCTTCACTTCCTTTCTCCCTTCCTGGAGGTCTCACGGCGGCTGCTGCAGCCCCAGCCCTTACTTTCACATTCTAGGCAACAAAAAGGAGGAGAAAGCCGCCATCTCTCCCAGGACAGCCTCTCCCCGCAGCCCCCGGAGCCCTGTTTCTCTCCCATGGCCCCTCTGGCGAGTGTCCTGGTTTGGCAGTGGAGAAAGGTCCCCAAAGGCCGAGTGCTGGGTGAGCAGCCTGCAGGGTGGTCCACATGCCAGAAGCTCGGAGAAGCCGGGACAGCAGGGCGCAAACCCTCACGCCCGCTCCACTGCTGCTCTGCCTGTCTTTCCAGAAGGTTCTGGAGGTTTCTGGATTGTTGAAGACAGTGGGCCTGGGGTGGACATGCGCATCCAGGAGTAGAGGGTGGGGTGGCCCAGTGGACACCCGGCACCAGCAGAGGCAAAGCCCAGGCGTCCCAGGCCGCAGGAGAGGCTCCAGCCGAGCCCCTTCTCCACGGAGTCCCGAGGCTCCCAGCCCCCAACGCCACGTGGCCACGTGCCCTCGGCCGGGGTGGCCGGGCTGTGCGGCAACCCACACTGGGGGCTCAGGACGTGAGAAGTGGGTCCCAGTCAGCAGAGGGGGCTCAGGATGTGAGAAGTGGGTCCCAGCCAGCAGTGGGGGCTCAGGGCATCAGAAGTGGGTCCCAGTCAGCAGAGGCCGCTGAAAACCCAAGTGTGTGTCTGCAGCCTCCCAGTGGCCTCCCATTGCCGGAGGGACACATGGAAAATGGGTCCCGGGGTTGAGTGCAGCATGAACCATCCAGCCCGCTACAGCCCCTAGGGGACCCCGAAAACTCCCCTCCTCTCTGCCGCTCCTGGCAGACACCAAAATCCCCAGCCTGACCCCTGGAGAGGGCCTGGCCTCCCCCAGCCCTTGTGGGTCTCTCCATGATGCCTCTTGTTTCTGGGTGTCCAGAAAGCCGGTGTCGGAGCCCCGCCTCGCCGCCCCGCACACCTGCCTGGGTCCGGCCTCGCCGCCCCGCACACCTGCCTGGTCCACACGGGCCCTGCAGACTTCACAGGTCCATGCTGCTCCCCACAGGAAGACCCTGTTCTTCCCACAGTGCCCCTCCCAGTGAATGCCACCCCGCCCATCCCTCAAGCCAAAGACCATGGAGCACCTTTGGTTCCTCAGTTCCCATCACCCCAAAATCCATCCCAGCAGCCCCCAAACGCCCGTGCTGCCTGCTCCTCCCCTCCCCTCCCCAACAGATCACCGGGTCACACGCGCCGTCTCCCTGTGCTGGGAAAGGCCAAGGGAACTAACTGCACCTGCTTCCTTGCAGAGCGGAGGCGTGCAAACCTTGCAGACCTGTGGGCGGTGTGGGAGGGCGCCTCTAACCACGGATCCTCGCGGGACTCCAGGCCTGCCCTCTCCCCGGGGCCTCGCCCTGTTTGTGGCTTTAGAAACCATCCGTTACCTGTCATCTCCAAGTGGTACCTGCTGCTGCCTGGACCTCTCCATGAACTGCAGCCTCCTAAATCCACCCGCCACGTGCCTTTCCGTCTGGACCTCTCAGAGACACCCAGGTCCAGCATCTGCAAAACCAAACCCCTCCTTTCCCCAGCCTCAGAGTCCACTCCAAGCCCCCCATCCCATTAGCGACCACTTTGTCCCCACAAGTGATCACACCAGGGCGTCGGGTTCAGCCTTGGCGGCTCTTTCCACCCATGGTGGCTGCTGCAGCAAATTCCGTCAGCTCTGCCTTTGATGCACAGCCTGACCTGACTTCTCAGACCCCCACTGCCCCCCAGGTCCAGGCCGCCCTGGGCTCGAGCTGGAGTCCCTGCAGCTGCTTCCTCATCGGTCCTGGCCGCCGCCCTCGCCCCTGCGGCCTCTTCCACTCAGCAGCCAGCGTGAACCCAGGAAAGCACACGGTGTCCCCCACCCCTGCCCAGGGCTGCTGGGGAAGTGGCTGAGTCTGGGCTGACCACCTCTCCGACCTGAGGACTTGCTCAGACAGTGACGGGGGCATTTCAAGGACACAGGGGACAGGCCTGGCACCATTCAAAAGGGCAGAGAAACAGTAAAAATATCTAATTACAACAGAATCCTTGAGTCTAAGAAAAGGGATGGGGAGGGGAGTTCTGCTTCCCGGAGGAACGGCGGGCTCCGGGCTCACGGGCAGCGGGAATGGCGGGCTCCGGGCTCACGGGCAGCGGGAATGGCGGGCTCCGGGCTCATGGGCAGCGGGAACGGTGGGCTCCGGGCTCACGGGCAGCATGGAAAATCCCCACTCAACAACAGACCCACGTCAGGCCCTCCTGGGTGCTCAGCCGCCGGGTGGGAGGTGGACTGGGATGGGATACTCGACTACCCAGAAGTGTCACCCACAGGTCACCTTCCAGTGCACAGGGAGGTGTCGCCAGGACGGAGAAACCCCCCGGGTCACCTTAACCGAGTGAGCAATAATCAGACAAGCAGCCTGTCTGCCCCAGGTCTGATGCACGAATCCCCCCGGCCAAGAGAGTGGCATGGAGGCCAGTCCCAGAGCGGGATCACTGGCTCCAGAGGGGAAGCTCCACTGGGGCCCACGGTGGAACGGCCTCAACCCTGCCCCGCCTGTGCTGCTGTGCCACGTTGGGCCAGCTGCTGTGCCTCTCTGGGCCTCAGTTTCCTCCTCTGTAAGATTCAGCATCTGCCTCATAAGCTTGTGGGGTAAGATGAAGCTGCACTCAGGCGTCTGGAGCAGCCTCCGGCCCTGAGCAAGCCTGAGATGGAGGGGCATGGTCGTGTAATTCCCTCTTTCCTCAGCAGCCGCACAGAGGGTCGGCCAGTGCCCTGCAGGGCCCCTGCCCTTGCTGAGCTCAGCACCCAGCAGGGAGACAGGAGGCCCACGGGCTCCAGGCCAGGCTGTGTGTGGAGAAGGAGGCGCAGAGACATGTACAGGTGGCTGACGGTAAGAGCAGGACTTCCGCATGGGGCAAGGGTAGGAAAATAACCTCCACTCCCACCCGTGATACCTTCGCTCTGAGCCCCACAGGGCCAAGAAAGCGCCTGAGCCTCCATCGGCCCTGGGAGGGCCCTGCTCTACTCGCCCCTTTGCAGATGAGCAAACACAGCTTCCGAGGAGTGGGGCTGCCTTCCCAGGGCTGCACCTGGGAGGGCCCGGGTGGCTCCGAGCTCCTGGCCTGGCCCCCTGGGGAGGTGACAGTGGGCAGGGCAGGGGCCTCTTGGCTACAGGCCCAGAACGGCTGAAAAATGTGGCCCTTCGGGGACTTTCGGATGCTTTGGAAGGGCTTCCAGTGTCCCTGGTGCCCCCTCACCCCCTGCCAGGTCTTCCCGGTCCCCACCCCCGACACCCCACACATCCCCACGTCTGTGGCCTCGAATGTGCAGGACACGCCTAGGCACGAACCCGACCTCGTCGGAAGCCGTCTCCACCAACACCATCATAGGTGGCCAGGCCTGGTCCCCCAGAGCTGCTCCCTGACCGGCAGCATCACAATTCAAGGCAGATGGAAACCGTCAACGTCTCCACATCGTAGCTACCATGCACGCGGCTGGGCAAGTTCCTCGGTGGGTCCCACGCAGCACTGCACAGCCTGATCTGGCAACAGCTCCACGGGCCCCAGGGACAGAAACTGAGGCCACACCGGTGTCTGCACGCGCGTTCTGCCTGGTGTTGGAGGGTGTGAGTGCACCTGTGCCTGCCTGTGTGTGCTGGTCTCATGGGTGTGCACATGTGTGATGTCCAGTACTCCTTAGGTGGCCAAAAGTCAATGCCCCTTGCTGACGCCCCAAGGTGCCGGGGTTCCCTCCCCAAAACGTGGTCGCGTTGGCTCTCTGGCTCAGCGTCATCGGAACCCGGGGTCCACCAGCCTCCCGCTGGACGGGGCATGGTCCTCGTCCTCATGGGGCTGCAGGGCAGCCAATGTCCTCTTGTTCCCCCCCTCTCCACACACACACCGGGGGACTTCATTTGTGGCCACAGGGTCCCCTGCCGTGCAAACTGTCTCCAGCTCACTCTTTGGCCAGTGACAAGCGTGTTCACCTCCAGCACGGGACAGAACCTGGGAGTGTCTGCCAGGATGGAGAGGGCCCAGCCAGGGCCTGCCCAAGGCACCCCTGTGTATTAAAGGGACCTGCCCCGGGGACATTGGGGGATGGGGACAGAAAGGGGCTGGGGCCATGGCTCGACCACAGTGTGCTTGGAAAAATGTGACTGGAGGATGACGAGGCCGCCCCCGCCCAGCACCAGGCAGTACAGACCCGTTTCCCAGGAGGAGCGGGCCAGGATGTGTGTGGCGGCCAAGGCTGGGGCTGGCGACTTTCTACTCATCTGCTCATTAGATCCGCAAAGTAAATTGCGTTTCTCATAATTCTGCTATCGACTGCCATGTACTTTGTGGTCTGGCACGGGGAGAAAAGAATTTACCCAGAGCAGAGAAATCTGTGTAAATAAATGCATCATTAAGAATTCCTGTAACCGTCAGAAAGGCTGATTAATGGCACTTTTGCTAGTGCAGGAAGAGGGCTGACATCACAACGTTCCTTACTGAGAATGAGGCCTGAGCCCAGCCTACAGAAGGAGGGTGTGAGCCCCGAATCGCTCTCCTGATTAGAACTTGTTCCAAGTATTGACTGGGTCGAAAGAAACAAAATTTAATTTGAAATCAATTCCAGAGCATAAAATTGACCTCAGTTGTGTGTGCTCAGAAGCCACCAGGCCAGTCTGCGAGTTCTTGGTCCAGGCTAGGGGCATCAGACCTCCAGCTGCCCTCCCCACCAGGGAACATGTCCACCCTGCAGAGACTCACAGGATCCCCTCTGCCTTTGCCCTTCTTTTGGGGCGTGGTGGGAGTGCAGAGAGAGCGCCCTCATGAGACCCAGGGTCCTTCCACCCATGCCCCTCAAGCCCACGCCCCACTCAGGTCAGCTCTCCTACCAGGACCCAGGTGCCATGGGAGGTGGGGGGCCAGCAGCCTCAGGGGCCCCCGTGTCAGATGGACAGAGGTTATGCCGCAGACGTCCTGGCCGACATCCGGGGTTTGGGGCCACCTGCCAGTCTCACCTGCCACTGCCCGTGCTGGACACGTGATTCTGGCGGTGGCCCAGGCTCAGGGAGGAACTCAGGCCAGCAGCCAGGAGGGGCAGGTGGGAGCTGCTCAGAGGAGCTGAGACCCCTCAGCGTCCCCGCCCTGGGGTGCCTGCCACGGGCAGGGGCTGTGTTCCCTAAAGAACACTGGCCGGCTCCGGCCCTGGCTCCCCGCTGTCTCCCCCTGCCACGCAGCCCACCCTCCCCGAGGTCTCCCCCTGCCACGCAGCCCACCCTCCCTGAGGTCTCCCCCCTGCCACGTGGCCCACCCTCCCCGCTGTCTCCCCCCTGCCACGTGGCCCGCCCTCCCTGCTTCTCCCCCTGCCACGTGGCCCACCCTCCCCGCTGTCTCCCCCCTGCCACGTGGCCCGCCCTCCCTGCTTCTCCCCCTGCCACGTGGCCCACCCTCCCCGCTGTCTCCCCCTGCCACACGGCCCACCTTCCCCAGAAAGCACCTTGGGGTGGGGCCAGGACCAGGGGCCCCTGGCACGTGGGAGTCACACCCAGGACTCAGTGGCCCCCAGCTCGGTGCACAGACGCCAGGGCCAGCCGGGAGGGGCAGGGTGCTGGCCACCACAGGGGCTCCTATCCCCCAGATCCCTCAGTGCACTCCGCCAGAGGGCCGGGACCCCACCAGAAAGGGAGCCGGTGCGGCACAGCAGGCAGGGTGCACCCGGGACTCTGCATTTCTAAGAAGGCTCAGCCGGTGCTGGTGCTCCTGGCCCTGTGACCACGTGGAGCCATCCCACCACCCGCCGTGGGAGCAGACGCCCTCCCTGCTGGCCCCATGAAAGGCCCACGGGGTCCCTGGCCCACAACCCAACTCCTTCCCAACCCCGCATCCTGCTCCCTGGCATCAAGAAAGGATGTACCCCCAGAGCCAGGGACAGCCTCAGCCCCGGCACCATCGGAGTTGGGGCCCCGGCTTCTAAGCCTGGCGCCAGCACAGCCCAGGCAGCTCCTCCGACGTGAGGCTCCTCGGAAGGGCAGGCTTTGCCGGGCTCCTGCCGTCTGGGTCTGTACTGCAGTCGGCAGTCCCCACCCACGCTCAGCAGCCCTGGCCCAGCAATGGACTATCCCGTTATCCCGGCCTAGACCCCGTCTCAGCATCGGCCCCCAGAGGACCCCAGTGGGCCCCCCTCCCCACAAGCTCACTGTGCTGGGACGTGTGGCCGGCCTCACTGTGACTTGCAGAAAGCCCATGGAGAAGGCTGTTCCCAACCCGTTTCACTCAGGGGAAACTGAGGCTCAGGACCTCAGTGGCGAGCAAGAGGGCTGGCTGCAGAGCCCCTCCTCCCAGCTTGTTCATCTCCTCCAGTCCAGCCCAACCAAAGGCCACAGCTGGGAAGCCCCGTGGGCCTGAGGCTCAGCAGCGTTCCTGGGGACCCTCGTCCAGCCCCGCTGACGCTGCCGCCAGACCAGCTCTGACCTGGGAAGAGCCCAGAAGGCTCAGCCCCCAGGCCAGAAAGTGACTGCCCCCACATCCTGCCCTCCACAGCCACTCCAGCGCCTCCCCGACCCCTACACTCAGCTGTGTCTCGGGATCCCCAGGTTTCAATCCCTGCCAGGTTTCCAGAAATGCTGATTCACCTCGGAAACCGCACGTGCTGTGGGCGTGCACATCTGGCGAGAACAAAGCCATCGTGGGCAACCCTTGGGGACGCTGTTTCGGCCTCGTGTGTTGTTATTAAACCTACCGATTTCCGCCTGGGTTCTGGCCCACGTGACCTCCTCTGCTGCTGTGTGAATGGCCCCCGTCCTGCACACTTACCGCCCCAGCAAATCCCAATGCCAGCTCTGCCTCCCTGCCACCGGCCACTCTCCTTCCAGCTTGCCCTTGAGAGGCTCAGGGCTCCGGGCAGGGAAGAGGCTGCAGAGAGGGAGGGTGGCCCCGAGCCGGGTGTTTTCCCAAAAGCTCCTCGCTTGGGTGCCCACCCTAGGTGGAGGAGTGACCCCTTCAGGCTCACAGCTGCGGCCGCCTACTGCCTTCTAACAAGAACCCCACAGCTGAGTGGCTTAAGCAATGCCAATCACTTTATCTCCTCCCTTGGATTCTGTGGTCGGAGTGTCTGGCTCAAGGAGAGGAAGAGTAGGGCCCAGAGGTCTCTCTGCGTTGCCATTTCAGCATGGCAGCTTCGGGTGCCTGTGCTGCTCGGTGGCCTGGGACTCTGGAGGAGGGAGTCCCCAGACACACCTGCAAACAATGCATGGCTGTGCCCAACAGCCTCAGCACGCACAGGCAGAAACGAGGTTCCGCCTCACCAGCCATCAGAGAGACCCACTCAAACCACAGGGAGACTGCACTTCACCACCAAGGGATGGCGCAGATGGATGATGAGTGGATGGATGGGTGAATGGGTGATGGATGGATGGATGGATGGATGGATGGATGAATGAATGTATGATGGATGGACGGCTGGGTGGATGAATGGATGGATAAGGGATGGGTGGGTGGATGGATGATGGATGGGGGGGTGGATGGATGGATAGGTAAATGGATGGATGGGTGGGTGATGGGTGGATGGAAGGATGAATGAATGTATGATGGATGGCTGGGTGAATGGATAATGGATGGATGGGTGAATGGATGGATGGGTGGGTGATGGATGATGGATGGGTAGGTGGATGATGGATGGATGGGTGGATGGGTGGGTGGATGGATGGATGGGTGGATGGATGGATGGGTGAATGGATGGATGGCTGGGTGGATGGACGGATGGATGATGGATGGGTGGGTGGATGGATGGATGGGTGAATGGATGGAAGGGATGGATGGATGGATGAATGAATGTATGATGGATGGATGGCTGGGTGGATGATGGATGGGTGGGTGGATGGATGGATGGGTGAATGGATGGATGGATGAATGTATGATGGATGGGTGGGTGGATGGATGGATGGGTGAATGGATGGATGATGGGTGGGTGGGTGGATGGATGGATGATGGGTGGGTGGGTGGGTGGATGTATGGATGGCTGGATGGATGGATGGATGAATGAATGTATGATGGATGGCTGGGTGGATGAGGGATGGGTGGGTGGATGGATGGCTGGGTGGATGGATGATGGATGGATGGATGATGGGTGGGTGGGTGGGTGGATGTATGGATGGCTGGCTGGCTGGATGGATGGATGGGTGGATGGATGAATAGATGGAAGAATGTATGATGGATGGCTGGGTGGATGAAGGATGGGTGGGTGGATGGATTGATGGGTGGATGGATGGATGAATGGGTGATGGATGGATGAATGAATGTATGACGGATGGCTGGGTGGATGGATGATGGATGGATGGGTGGGTGATGGGTGGATGGATGGATGAGTGGATGAATGGTGGCTGGATGGATAATGGATGGGTGGGTGGGTGGCTGGATGATGGATGCATGGATGGGTGAATGAATGGATGGATGGGTAGGTGATAGTGTGCAGGAAAAGTTAAATATTAAATTTGAACTAAATTCAACGTGGAAACTAACAATGGTCACCAAGTCCTGGAACAGGTCGTGTGAGTCCCTTGAGGCATTCATCCAGTGCTGTTTCAGAGAAATCTCTATTTCAATCTATTCCTATACATTAGTTATTGAAAAACAACAGACAATTGCAAGAACAAGTTGACCTTTTTGCGTTCCTTGAGCCTGGTCGCGAAGGGCCCTTGTGACTAGGCCTCATGAAAAAACAACTCGTTACAAAAAGAGCTCAGGTCCCAGACCGTGCCAAAGATTCATGAGACCTCTCCCCATCTGTGCACAGACAGGCAGCCGACTCTGGAGCCCAGGCTGTTGCTTCCCAGTCTGGTGGTGAATCCTCCATAGTCTGGTGAGTATACATATATATATATTTAAATATATATATAAATATGTATATTTAAATATATTTATATATATTTATATATTTATATATAAATATATATTTAAATATACATATATATAAATATATATATTTAAATATACATATTTAAATATATTTAAATATATTTAAATATATAAACATATATAATATATTTATTTATGTATATAAATATATATAATATATATTTAAATATATTTATTTATGTATATGAATATATATAATATATATTTAAATATATTTATTTATGTATATGAATATATATAATATATATTTAAATATATTTATTTATGTATATGAATATATAATATATATTTAAATATATTTATGTATTTAAATATATATAAATATATATTTAAATATATTTATATATAAACATATATTTAAATATATTTATATATAAATATATAATATATATTATATATTTATACATAAATATATATAATATACATTTATATATAAACATATATAATATACATTTATATATGAATGTATAATATACATTCATATATAAATATATATAAATGTATATAATATACATTTATATATATAAATATACATAATATACATTTATATATATAAATATACATAATATACATTTATATATAAATACATATATTTATATATTTATATATATAATGTATATTATATATAATATATATTTATATATTATATATAATATACATTATATATATAAATATATAAATATATTATATATGTAAATATGATATATATTTAAATATGTAAATATATGATATATATTTAAATATGTAAATATATGATATATATTTAAATATGTAAATATATGATATATATTTAAATATGTACTATATTTATATATTATATATTTATAACATACATTATATATATTTATATAATATATAATATATAATATAAATATATATATATTTTTTCCCTTTTCCCCTTCCCATTGCAATTTGCTTATTATATATCTCCACTGCCATTTACGTGGAATAAAGGTTGTTTACCGTTACAGGTATTGTGTGTCTTTTCTTCTCCCCTCACGCATCTCCTGCACAGAACAGATGGATGGGTAGATGGATGGATGTGTGGATGATGGGTGGATGAATGGATGATGGATGGATGGCTGGATGGATGATGGATGGGTGGATAGATGGATGGCTAGGTAGACGGATGATGGATGGATGGCTGGGTGGATGGGTGGGTGGGTGGACGGATGATGGATGGGTCAACGGATGGATGAGTGGTTGATGGACGGATGGGTGGATGGATGGGTAAGTGATAGATTAGCTAAGTGGCAGATACAGATAGATAAATGATACAGATATATATGATTGATCAATGAATATAGATGATAGACATAGGATAGAGATCATCAATATAGATAGATGTGGCAGACAGGTAAGTAATAGATTGAAATAGACAAATAGAGATAGGTAGAGAGATAGAATAGATAGCAGATATGATAGAGAGATCACAGAGATAGAGAGATAGGGGAGAGAGATGATTGAGAGAGACAGAGAGAGATGGAAGGGACCAGTGCTGGCGGGGATGTGGAGAACTTGGACCCTTGTGCCCTGCTGGTGGGATGTCAATGGTGCACCCACTGTGGAAAACTGTCTGGAGAGTCCTGAACACATTAGATGTGGAATTACCACAGGATGGCAGCCACGCGGCACGTCCCTGAGCAGCCGGGAGCCCAGCGACTCTTCTTTAACAGTACGAACACGGTGAGACTGCTGGGCCATTTATCCAGTTAGTGACAGGACAAAACCAAATTCCAGAGGCCGTGCCACCTGCACGCCCAGGCTCTGCGGTAATTCCTGGCTTTGTTAGCCATGGGGCTAACCAGGGCTGAGCCACCCATGAGGCACCTTCCTGGAGGCTGGGGTGTCACCCTCTGCGCCCCGATGCGGGCCCCATTATGTGGGTGACCTGCGCCCAGGGGACCCTGGGCAGCCTGCAAGTGAGCGTGGTTCAGGGCTGGGCCACACATCCTGGCTCTGCACAGCACCTACCTGGTTTTTGGTTACTCACCTGTCCTTTAAAATATGTGTAGAGCAGGGAGAGGAGCTCACATGGCAGGGGCAGCCCACGCAGGGTGGCAAGGGCACAGGTGCGAGCTCAGGTGATGCTGCTCCTCTGGGGCAGGCCAGGCACCCGTCCTGGGGGGCGTCCTGCAGCCCCTATACCCCCTGGCCTGAGCAGCCCCCATTCTGCCAGAGCAGCAGGGCCCCACCTTCCTGCGGGGCACCTGCCCTCCCCACGGGCAGCTCAGTGCATGACAGCTCTGACCCAGCATCAACTGAGAATGCTTCTGGGGGAAGGAAACTAAAAGGCATTGGAGTGGCTCGGACCTGCAGGATGGAGCTGCGCCCAGTACAGGGCGGAGTCGAAGTGGCTCGGACCTGCAGGATGGAGCTGTGCCCAGCACAGGGCGGAGTCGAGGTCCCACAGGTGGGGAGGACCCGGCAGCTAGGGATGGAGCCACCTGGGGCTAGAAACAGAACGACAGGGTCAGGGGAGGAACAGACATGCAGGAGGGACAGTGAGGGAGGTGACGCGGCCATGGGTGAGGTCAGGGCCCAGGGAAGCTCCCAATGGCTCCGGAGCCAGGGCTCACCAGCAGCCAAGCACCGGGATGGAGGGGATGCTCAGCAAGGGCTTCCCGCCTTCCAGAAAAGGCGACATCCACCCTCATGGCCCAAATGGGAGGGTTTGGGGAAGGAATTTCAGAAGGGCCCCTGCCCCCGCCCTGCCCATGACTTCGGTGGCTGATCCCACTCTCCATGAGGCGTCTGCTGTGGCTGCATTGCCCGGGAGCCAGCTGGGCTGGGAGGGCAGGGACAACTCGGACTCTGTGTGCCCCCACTGCCTGGGAAGGCGGCCAACACCGCTTTTGAATTTTAAATGAAACCAAAATTGACTGCGGTAGCGGGGAAATATTTCCTAACACAGTAATTTCCCTCAGAGTGCAGTTGCCACATCAATAAAAATAAACAGCTCTGTAGTGGCCACAGCTCAGGAAGCAGGCAGAGCACAGGCTGGCCCAGGAGGCTGCTTCCCTGGCTCCTACCTGCCTCCCACCTCCCCACGGGCCTCCCCGAGCCTCCTCACGGCAGGGCGGCTGGTGACCCGAGAGGGGTGGCTGGGGACAGCATGGAGGACAGGACAGCACCTCAGGACCGGATTCTGGATACACTGCACCCTCTCGTGCCAGGTGTTGGCAGTTCCGACCAAGCCCAGGCATGAGGGAGGGCCAGGCGGTGTGAGCCCGGGGGCATCCTGGGGGTCGTTCTGGAGGCCAGAAGCTGCAGGTGACAAAATAATGTGTGACGAGGGGGATTTGAGAGTAGCAGAGAGGAATGTGTCCTATGTCTGCCAAAAAGAAAGAAAAGATGAGGGGAGAGGGGAGAGGAGACAAGAGAGGGGAGGGGAGAGGGGAGAGAGGAGAGGGGAGAGAGGAGAGGATCTGTGCAGGGCACATGTTTCCCGTCCCAGGGCAGGGAAGGACAGCCCCCAGGGCAGAGCTGTGGAACGCTGTTTTCTTCCCTCCTTGATGCTGTGGGTTGGCGGTGGCTGGATGCAGCCCCACCAAATGGGGGCTTCAGGTGGCTGCTGGGGTCCCAAGACAGCCAGGCTGAGAAAACCGAGGCAGGTGTCATGAGCCATGGTGGGGCTTCGGCTTTCTCACGATGTGGCGTCTCCACGCAGTGGAGGGCAGGGCAGGGCAGGGCCTCTGATGACCCAGCCGCAGAGTCCAGTGCGAGGAACAGCTCAGTGAGGAGGGGCTGAGTGGAGAGGAGCTGAGGGAAGAGGGGCTGAGTGGGGAGGGGCTGAGTGGGGAGGAGTGATGACCCAGCCGCAGAGTCCAGTGCGAGGAACAGCTCAGTGAGGAGGGGCTGAGTGGGGAGGAGCTGAGTGAGGAGGAGCTGAGGGCGGAGGAGCTGAGGGAGTAGGAGCTGAGTGGGGAGGAGCTGAGTGGGGAGGAGCTGAGTGAGGAGGAGCTGAGGGAGGAGGAGCTGAGGGAGGAGGAGCTGAGGGAGGAGGAGCTGAGGGAGGAGGAGCTGAGGAAGGAGGAGGTGACGGAGGAGAAGCTGAGGAGGAGCTGAGAGAGGAGGAGCTGAGGGAGGAGGAGCTGAGGGAGGAGGAGCTGAGTGAGGAGGAGCTGAGTGGGGAGGAGCTGAGGGCGGAGGAGCTGAGTGAGGAGGAGCTGAGGGAGGAGGAGCTGAGGGAGGAGGAGCTGAGGAAGGAGGAGGTGACGGAGGAGGAGCTGAGGAGCTGAGGGAGGAGGAGCTGAGGGAGGAGGAGCTGAGGGAGGAGGAGGTGAGGGAGGAGGAGGTGAGGGACGAGGAGCTGAGGGAGGAGGAGCTGAGGGAGGAGGAGCTGAGGGAGGAGGAGCTGAGTGGGGAGGAGCTGAGGAAGGAGGAACTGAGTGGGGAGGAGCTGAGCGAGGAGGAGCTGAGGGAGGAGGAGCTAAGGGAGGAGGAGCTGAGTGGGGAGGAACTGAGTGGGGAGGAGCTGGGTCCAGGGCAGAGCCAGGATGCTGGAGGCCGCAGCATCTTTATCGGTGGGGTCAGGGGTCACCACACGGAATCTTTTTGCCGGGATCTGAGGCTGGAGACTGCGGGAAGCTCTCAGGGGAGGGCCTGCGGTGGAGCAGGCCTGGTGGGAGGCGGCCAGCAGGAGAAGAGATGAGGGCCCAGGGAACGGGAAGGGCGGGGGCTTCGGCCAGAGGGGGCCAGGAGCTGGGGGAATGTGGGAGGAGGACAGTCGGTCCCAAGATCACTCCCTGTCTCCGGGCCCCTCTGGCCACCAGGTCCTGCCACCAGGTCCTGCCACCATCCAGCCTGCCTTGCTTCCACCGCCCCGTCTGTGGGGCTGTCAGGCACTTCCCACATGGGCACGCAGGGCTCCTGAGCCTGGCTGTCCTCCGACACCAGCTGGGGGAACCTGCCAGCACCCGGCTCTTCCTTCTTGATCACACCTTGCACAGGTATTGCAAGGACAGGCGGAGGGCACTGGGCTGTGAACTCTCACGCCACCGTGCCGCACGCACTGGGACAGTGGACACTGCCTCTCCGGACTTCCTGAAGGGCTGACAGGGAAGGGGACGAGGCTGTCCCACCAGGGACAGTCCCCCCACCACCTCTGTGAAGAAGCTCCCAGCCTGTCCTGAGGGTGCTGCAACCCTGGGCTGGACCCTCTGTCCCCTGGTTTCCAGGAGACCCCGACAGAGCCCCCCGAGCCCACCCACTCCACCCCCTCGCTTTCTGCCGGTTCCATTGGGCTCAGGGCCTGCAGATCTGGAAGAGGATGCCTGGTCCCGTGGCCCCCGCACCGTTATCTCTTCATTACTTTTTCCTCTTATCTACCCAGTTTCCATTCTCTCATGCAGCCGGAACCACTGGACTAGAATGACAGCAGGATCAGCCCAGCACCGCGCCACCGCCTCCCCGTCTGCCTGCCAGCCAGTAGGGCTTCAGCCACTCACCAGCTGTCCCAAGCAGCAAAGCCCGTCGGGCCTCGGGGAGCACTGTCTGTGGCAGTTCACAGCTCCTTCCCCGACACTGTCACGTGCCTGAGTGGCCCAGACAGCAATCGGCCAGCATGCTGAGCAGAGCTGGGAGCAGGGTGGACCTGGCAGAGCACTCCCCAGCTGGGGTGAAGAGGGCTCGCCCAGCGTGGGCATGGGCGGCTGCCTAGACACCCACGTGAGCACTGCCCAAGCTCTGGGGAAACGAATGAAAGAAGGAAAAGGGGCCGAGAGAGGCGAGAAGAGAACAATGCTGTTTCAGTCCCAGGTCCAATCACACCTGCTGCCAGCCCCATCTGTTCACATCTCATTCCCCAGAGCCCGTGGCTGTGTCCCCCACGGGGCAGAAGAGACTCTGCAGGTGAGACCGGCTGAGGGTCTAGCAGGGGGTCCTCCTGGATGACCCCGGCCCAGTTCATCACATGGTCCTTACAGGATGGAGGCAGGAGAGGCAGAGGGAGCAGTGGCCGCAGCAGCAGAGGTCGGGGTGACAAGCAAGGGACCATGCCAGAGCCCAGGAGCACAGCAGACTCTGGAGCCCAAAGAAGTCAGCAACGAGTCTTCCCAGAACCCCCAGAGGTGCCCAACCCGCCCACACCTCCACACCCCGCCCTTCCACGCCCAGCCCCGCCCACATCTCCATGCCCTGCCCACACCTCCATGCCCCTCCACGCCCAGCCACACCCCGCCACGCCCATACCTCCATGCCAGCCCAGAGCAAAGCCTCTGACTATGCCTTCAGGGGACCTGCCACCTGCAGTATCAGAACTCGGACCACGAGCCCCCAGAGAACAGTGCTGCAGGGGACAGACCCCGGGGGGCCACAGCGAACGGGGAGCTTCCCGAGGTCTTCGAGGGGCGCCATCGAGACAGACGTGGTGCGGAGCACACAGGGGCAGTGGAGGCTCCGCGAGGCACCATCCTCAGCACAGGATGCCACCACAGAGACACTGGGACTGGAGGCATTGGGAGGGCAGCGGGGCCCCAGGGGTCTCCTGAAGGTCACCCGCCCAGCACCCCCCAAGACAGGCGCTACCGTGTGAGCTCCCCACAGCTGATGCAACAAGTCACCACAAGCCAGTGGCCTAGAACCATGCATCTTCATCACAGTCTGGCAGCCAGGAGACCGAGATGCTGTCCTGAGGCAGGTGTGGGCAGGTTGGGGCAAATATGGGCAGGTGTGGGCAGGCGGGGCCCTCAGAGACTCAGGGAGGACCCATTCCTGCCTTTTCCAGCTCCCAGAGGCCCCTGCTCCACCCTCGGAGCCGATGGATAGTTCCGGCCTCCGCCCTCCTCTTCACGCCTCTGACTAGGACACCGGCCACCGGACTGATGGCCCACCCTGAATGCAGGATGATCTCAGCTGGCTCCTTAATCTGCAAAGACCCTATTTCCAAATAAGGTCCACTCGCCGATGCTGGGGGCCAGGACGGGGACATCTCTTTCCGGGGGACACGTTAGCCCCCGTGAGATCCGAGGAGTGAACCCCACCCCCTGTGAAGGCTGCGGGATGAGGGGTCCCCGTAGGCACCCTGAAAACACCAGCAAAGCTGGTGCAGAACATCTAGGAAGACCAGGCAGGGTCAGAGGCATTTTGGGGGCCACCGCGTCACACGTGCAGGGAGGGCGCTGAGGAAGGTGGGTGGGGGCCCAGGGCCTGCGTGTGCGCGTGTGTGTGTGCGCATGTAGTGGTGTGTGTGTGTAATGGTGTGTGTGTGTAGTGGTGTGTGCATGTAGTGGTGTGTGTACGTAGTGGTGTATGTAGTGGTGTGCGTGTAGTGGTGTGTGTGTGTGTAGTGTGTGTGTAGTGGTGTGTGTAGTGTGTGTGTAATGGTGTGTGTGTAGTGGTGTGTATGTGTAGTGTGTGCATAGTGGTGTGTGTGTGTAGTGTGTGTAGTGGTGTGTGTGTGTAGTGTGTAGTGGTCTGTATGTATAGTGTGTGCATAGTGATGTGTGTAGTGTGTGTAGTAGTGTGTGTGTAGTGTGTGTAGTCGTGTGCGTAGTGTGTGTGTAATGGTGTGTGCGTGTAGTGGTATGTATGTGTAGTGTGCATAGTGTGTGTGTAGTGTGTGTGTAGTGTGTGTGTAATGGTGTGGGTGTAGTGATGTGTAGTGGTGTGTGTAGTGTAATGGTGTGTGTGTGTAGTGGTGTGTATGTGTAGTGTGCATAGTGGTGTGTGTGTAGTGTAGTGGTGTGTGTAGTGTGTGTAGTGGTGTGTGCATAGTGGTGTGTGTTGCGTGTGTGTAGTGGTGTGTGTAGTGGCGTGTATGTGTAGTGTGTGCATAGTGGTGTGTGTAGTGTGTAGTGGTGTGTGTGTAGTGTGTAGTGTGTGTAGTGTGTGTGTAATGGTGTGTGTGTAGTGGTATGTGTAGTGTGTGCATAGTGGTGTGTGTGTAGTGTGTAGTGGTGTGTAGTGTGTGTGTAGTGGTGTCTAATGGTGTGTGTAGTGGTGTGTATGTGTAGTGTGTACATAGTGGTGTGTGTGTAGTGTGTAGTGGTGTGTGTAGTGTAATGTGTGTGTAGTGGTGTGTGTAGTGTGTGTGTAATGGTGTGTGTGTAGTGGTGTGTATGTGTAGTGTGTGCATAGTGGTGTGTGTGTGTAGTGTGTGTGTAGTGGTGTGTGTAGTGTGTGTGTAATGGTGTGTGTGTAGTGTGTGCATAGTGGTGTGTAGTGGTGTGTGTAGTGTGTGTGTAATGGTGTGTGTGTAGTGGTGTGTAGTGGTGTGTGTAGTGTGTGTGTAATGGTGTGTGTGTAGTGGTGTGTAGTGGTGTGTGTAGTGTGTGTGTAATGGTGTGTGAGTGTAGTGGTGTGTGTATGTAGTGTGCATAGTGGTGTGTGTAGTGTAGTGGTGTGTGTGTAGTGTGTGTGTAGTGGTGTTTGTAGTGTGTGTGTAATGGTGTGTGTAGTGGTGTGTATGTGTAGTGTGTGCAGTGGTGTGTGTAGTGTGTGTGTAATGGTGTGTGCGTGTAGTGGTGTGTGTAGTGTGTGTAATGCTGTGTGTGTGTAGTGGTGTGTGTAGTGTGTGCGTGTAGTGGTGTGTGTAGTGTGTGTAATGGTGTGTGTGTAGTGGTGTATGTGTAGTGTGTGCATAGTGGAGTGTGTAGTGTGTGTAATGTGTGTAGTGTGTGTGTAGTGGTGTAGTGTGTGCCTGTAGTGTGTGTAGTGTGTGTGTAGCGTAATGTGTGTGTAGTGGTGTGTATGTGTGTGCATAGTGGTGTGTGTAGTGTGTAATGGTGTGTGTGTAGTGGTGTGTGTGTAGTGTGTAGTGGTGCGTGTGTGTAGTGGTGCGTGTGTAGTGGTGTGTGTAGTGGTTGTGTGTAGTGTGTGTAGTGGTGTGTGTAGTGTGTGCGTGTAGTGGTGTGTGTAGTGTGTGTGTAGTGGTTGTGTGTTGTGTGTAGTGGTGTGTGTAGTGTGTAGTGGCGTGTAGTGGTGTGTGTAGTGGTGTATGCAGTGGTGTGTATGCAGTGGTGTGTAGTGGTGTGTGTGTAGTGTGTGTAGTGTGTGTGTGTAGTGGTGTGTGTAGTGTGTGTGTAGTGGTGTGTGTAGTGTGTGTAGTGGTTTGTATGTTGTGTGTGTAGTGTGTGTACTGTGCGTGTAGTGTGTGTAGTGGTGTGTGTAGTGGTGTGTGTAGTGGTGTATGTAGTGGTGTGTGTGTAGTGGTGTGTGTAGTGGTTGTGTGTAGTGTGTAGTGGTACGTGTAGTGGTTGTGTGTGTAGTGTGTGCGTGTAGTGTGTGTGTAGTGGTTGTGTGTGTAGTGTGTGTAGTGTGTGTAGTGTGTGTAGTGGTGTATGTAGTGTGTATGCAGTGGTGTGTGTGTAGTGGTGTGTGTAGTGTAGTGTGTGTAATGGTGTGTGTGGTGTGTGTGTGGTGTGTGTAGTGTGCGTGTAGTGGTTTGTATGTAGTGTGTGTGTAGTGGTGTGTGTACTGTGTGCGTGTAGTGTGTAGCGGTGTGTGTGTAGTGGTGTATGCAGTGTGTGTGTGTAGTGGTGTGTGTAGTGTGTGCGTGTAGTGTGTGTAGTGGTGTGTGTAGTGGTATGTAGTGTGTAGTGGTGTGTGTAGTGGTTTGTATGTAGTGTGTGTGTAGTGGTGTGTGTAGTGGTATATGTAGTGGTGTGTGTAGTGTGCGTGTAGTGGTGTGTGTGTGTAGTGTGTGTAGTGGTTTGTATGTAGTGTGTAGTGGTGTGTGTACTGTGTGTGTAGTATGTGTAGTGGTGTGTGTAGTGGTGTATGTAGTGTGTGTGTAGTGGTGTGTGTAGTGTGTGCGTGTAGTGGTGTGTGTGTGTAGTGTGTGTAGTGGTTTGTATGTAGTGTGTAGTGGTGTGTGTACTGTGCGTGTAGTGTGAGTAGTGGTGTGTGTAGTGGTGTATCTAGTGTGTGTAGTGGTGTGTGTGTGTAGTGGTGTGTGTAGTGTGTGTAGTGGTGTGTGTACTGTGTGCGTGTAGTGTGTGTAGTGGTGTGTGTACTGTGTGCGTGTAGTGTGTGTAGTGGTGTGTGTAGTGGTGTAGTGTGTGTAGTGTGTGTGTGTAGTGGTGTGTGTAGTGTGTGTAGTGGTGTGTGTAGTGGTGTATCTAGTGTGTGTAGTGGTGTGTATGTAGCGGTGTGTGTCATGTTGCATGGTGAGCTCTAACGACCCCAGCCCCCAACACCCAACTCTACCTCCTGCCACCCGGAGTGCAGGCGAGCCGTCCCCACCAAGTCCACACTGCAGGTTCACGAGCGAAATCAGTGCTGCTGCAGTTCCACACCGCTACGTTCTGAAGTCACTTTCTGAGCATAGACCCTGGCAGCACACTCTGCAGATGGGACAACTGAGGCCTGGGGCCGTGCCACCCTCCCAGCCGGGAGTGGAGCCCGCGCCGTTGGAGACCGGCATGGCCTTCACCGTGGGCTGCTGGCCCCAGTGGGGGAAGACCCAGACACCGCAGGGAACGGACACGCTCCTCGCTGTCCAGCGGGAATCGCTTACCGCCGGGGCCTTCGCCACAGCTCCCAGCACGACCGACGCTCGGGAAACGACTGCTGATTCTCCGCAGCTGATTTCCTCAACGCCAATTAAACGCTCCAGCGTCCCTTATCGCCGGAACGCGCGCTCCACAGCTCTTCAGCTATCCCTCATTACGGATGTAGCTGTGACTTCACTGTCCGGCAGCCGCGTTCATTTCCTGAAGGGAGACCCGGAATCGGGGGACGGGAGGAGAGGGAGAGACAAGACAGAGAGGGAGCGGGGGAAGCACAGGGGGAGAGAGGCCCCACTGGTGCGGCGCTGTTCTCCGTGTGCAGTGAGGACACCGCCGGGTACACGCAGGTGCCGGCTGGGTATTGGCCTCATAGGTGATTGAAGGGGCCCCTGGAATTTCTCTAAGATTCTGGAACTGACGGTGTCTCAGTCCGTCTGCACCACTGTTACAGGTTACCTGAGAGCAGGTAACTTCTAAAAAGTGACACTGTCTTCTCTCCAGTTCCGCAGGCCGGGAAGTCCAGGATGAAGGCACCAGCCTCTAGCGAGGGCCTCCTGGCTGCGCCCAACCTGACAGGAGGCCAAAGGCCAGAGAGCAGCCGGCTCAGCACCACGTGAAGAATCCACTTTTACAAAGGCCTGAATCCCATTAACAAGGATGGCGCCCTTGCGGACGAGGCACTCCTAACACCGCCTGGTGGGCAGCACCTGGATCTGGGAGGGCAGGCGCTCCTCCACAGCACAGGGGACGTCCCCGTGCTCTCGGGGATGGCGGCAACACCTGTATTTCAGAGGGCATGCGCTCCTCGGGGGCAGCACCTGGATCTCGGAGAGCACACGCTCCTCCACAGCACAGGGGACGTCCCCGTGCTCTCAGAGATGGGGGTCACCAGCCAGGGAGAGGGGACCTCAGGCGGTGAAGGAGGTCCCTGTTCATGCCCGGCTCATGCGGGGAACACAGGGAGCAGAGGACCGAACACGGTTACGTGGAGGTTGCTAGACACAGAGCCCCTCTGACGACAGAATCCAAGCCTGGCTGACTCGGAGGCGCTTTCACTCTCCTCCTGGCCTCGCCCATCATCCGAGATCCGCCTAACAGCCCAGCACAAACCCTCCGTGATGTCAGGAGGGAGGCCCTGGCTGAATCCGAGCAGGAAATACTGCAGACCCCGGCGAGGTGAAACCTAGCAGGGCAGCTCGGGCGCTGCAGGCCTGGGCAAGGCTGCAGCGGCC
This sequence comes from Homo sapiens, assembly GCF_000001405.40. Lineage (NCBI taxonomy): Eukaryota > Metazoa > Chordata > Mammalia > Primates > Hominidae > Homo > Homo sapiens. The sequence continues at coordinate 132,154,036 of NC_000012.12, read as the reverse complement.
TCTGGTGGCCGCATGAGCTCAGGATGCCAGCACCTAGGCCCAGCCCTGCCCCAGGAGCCCAAGGAGGGCGGGGAGGGGGGCCAGGGCTCTGGAGCGTACCCGGTGTGACAGGCTGCCTGGGACACAGCAAGAGGACGGGCCCTGTCTGCCCTGCTGCAGCGGGAGTGCTGAGAGGGCTCGGGCGGGACAGCATGAAGAGTGGGGAAGGAGGGGCGCCTGTGCAGGACTACCACGCACGGGGTACCAGGGAAGGCCTCCCGGGGGGACGGGGACGGGACGTTCAAACCAGGGCAACACAGGGAAAAGCGGCAGAGGCCACAGCTGTGGCTGGTGCAAAGGCCCTGGGGCAGGAGCCAGTTCACTTGAGGAGCCCGCTGGGGCAGAGGGAAGCAGCCAGGGGGATGCTGGGAGCAGAGGCAACATCTCCACCATCACTCTGCCCCCCAAAACCCCGCTGGGCACACGGAGGGTCCCGGCCAATGCTGGGCCGGCAGGGTGACACCCCCAAGCCACGGCCAAGGCACTCCCCGCCCTCCCCAGCCACACCCACGCGCACCAAGCTCTGTTCCAGTGCCCCATCCCACCCTGTCCTCGAATAAGCAGACTGTCAAAAGGAAACTGGGGGTCACTGTGTAGACAGAAAACCTAGTTTGTTTGGTATAAATTTGGTTCCCTAAAAATAAACACCCCGATAACAAGGCTGTGCTGCAGCCGGACCAGCGCCTCCCACAGCGGGGGAAACTCCACTGCAGCTGGACCAGGGCCTCCCACGGGGGTGGGGGCAGGGAACTCCAGAGGGGCCCAGGCACTGCCTGTAACTCTACGCAGCATCTACCCGGAACTCTACGCAGTATCCACCCGGGGCCTCTACACAGCACCCACCCGGAATTCTACGCACCATCCACCCAGAACTCCACGCGGCATCCACCCGGGGCCTCGCGGGGCTCCCAGAACGAAGGCCAGATCGGCAGGACACAGCCAGCGTGGGATGCTGACACTCACAGGAACCCCCGACTCACACCAACCCCCCACTGACACCAACACCCCCCACTCAAACCAACCTCCCATTCACACTAATCCTAACCCACCCCCCACACACACCACCCCCCCATTCACACCAACTCTCCCCTCACACCAACACCCCCACTCACAACCAAACTCCCCCCAGTCACACTGACCCCCCACTCACACCACCTCCCCTCACTCCCACACACACCATACCCGTCTACACCACCATACACCTCCCACCACAACTGACCCAGGCAGAGAGAACCCCCCCAACCCTGCTCCCTCCCAGGTGTCTGGAGTGTAACCTCAGCAGAGGCCCCGAGCTCTGCCAACAGGGAGGTCACTGGGGCCAGGGGATGAGGGAGGCTGGGTGACCGGTGACACTGGTGGGCCGGAGGCCCTGGGAAAGACCACGCCTCAGGTTCCCCACCATCCCCTCCCAGGCTGTGGAGTCGGCAGGGGCCTCGCTTTGCCATGTGCCTGGTGGGCTCAGGCAGATGTGAGGCCCTCGGCCTGGCAGAGGCATCCAGCCGCCCCAGTCCACACTCCCTGAGCCTTTCTCCTGCAAAAACATTTATTCACAGGTGGGCTGGGGTCAGCTGAGATTTATTCACAGGTGGGCCAGGGTCAGCTGAGCGTGAAGTGCTGGGCACAGAGTTCACCCGGCCGTCCCAGCAGGCCCTGGGCTGGGATAAACTCCAGTGGCACCGGCTCGGGCCCCTTCTTCTTCAGGTCCCGCTCAAAGATCTGCAAAGCACAAAGCACGGCGGCTCTCAGGCTTGGCTCAGCGCCCCGTGGCCCAGACCCTCGCACCCTGGCCCAGTTCCGCACCTCGTAGGCCGTGAGCTCCAGCAGTGGCGCGATGCTGACCTCAGGCATGGACAGGGCCTGGTTGATGACGCTGGCGGCTTTGGACACCTCAGGGTGGTAGTGGCGCTGGAGGGCCTGGGGCAGTAGGGCCGTTAAGAGGCAGCTGCCCCAGGCCCCCGCCCTGTGCCCCCAGCCATGGCCTCCCTGTGCTCCCAACCAGAGTGGGCGGGGTCGGGACGGAGCCACGTGAGAAGGCCAAGCACCCAGCACCCACAAACCCAGGTGGCCAGCTGGGGACGCAACATGAGGCTATGCGGGAGGTGGCACGGGGAGCTGGGCTTTCTGAGGGGCCGAAGGATGGCTCGGGAGGCCCCAGGGTGTGGCAGCAGCGCCCTCACCTGAAGCTCCCACAGGGAGCTCTCCAAGGCCCGGCTCTGGGCTGGGTCCTCCTCTCCAGGGTCGTAGGGGTCGGCGTCCAACTCTAGGAATGAGACGTGGGCCCTTGTCTGCCGTCCACAGCACCAGGCACCCCCGCCCCAGCTCCAGCCCAGCCTCCGAGGGCCCCGCAACTCACCAGGGCCGTGTGGACGGTGCACGAGGACCCGGCAGGCAGGGTGCCGGCGCAGCAGGTTACAGATGAAAGGCAGGACCATGAGCAGGGCCTCAGGGGGAGCCGTCAGGGCCAGGCGGGCCAGCCGCTTGGCGAAGGCGGCCACCAGGTAGGCGGGGAGGTGGCTGGGCAGGGCAGTGGTTGTGAGACAGGGCCCGGACTGCTAGCCCCCACCACCCTCCCCTGGCCCCAGGCTGCAGCCGCACAGAGCAGGGCAGAGCCAGGTGCCCTGGTACTCACGAGGAGGACAGGAAGAGGTCAGCCAGGTGGAAGAAGCGGGCGCGGTACTTGACGTGAAAGACAGAGGGGTCCAAGAGGCCGTAGAGCTTCCGGTAGAAGTCAGGGTACTCCCTGCGGGCCGGGGGGAAGGAGCAGCGGATGGAGCAGGGCCCGGGAACTGAGGCCTCCAAGGCCAGGGTCTCACTCGGCGCCCCTTCCTCCCGCCCAGGGACTCCAACACCATGGCCTGTGAGGAAAGCGGGGACCCCGTGGGGCAGGGTGGGAAGGGGACAGAGGAGCAGGGCTGGGCAGACTGGGAAGAAGACCTGCACCCCTGGTGACACTCACAGGTTGTGTTTGTGAATCAAGATGAACAGCCCGTTCAAGGCCAAGAGGCTGAGGGCCCCCCCTGCAGACAGACAGACACAGGCTGGAGCTGCAGTGACCTCGCTCCCACCCTACCCCCTGCCCACACTGAGTGTAAGTCTGTGGAGTGTGGCCTCTGCCCCTGCTGTCCCCTCCCACAGCCCCCACGGACACAAAGCTGGAGACCACATGCAGGGCAGGGGAGTGGGGGGTGGAGGCAGTGGGATCGGGGAAGAGGTGCTGCGGGGTGGGGGTTGGGGGTGTGAGCGAGGCGGCGGCACTCACCGAGGGGATTAGGGGTGTGGTGTGAGCGAGGCGGCGGCACTCACCGAGGGGATTAGGGGTGTGGTATGAGCGAGGCGGCGGCACTCACCGAGGGGATTAGGGGTGTGGTATGAGCGAGGCGGCGGCACTCACCGAGGGGATTAGGGGTGTGGTATGAGCGAGGCGGCGGCACTCACCGAGGGGATTAGGGGTGTGGTGTGAGCGAGGCGGCGGCACTCACCGAGGGGATTAGGGGTGTGGTGTGAGCGAGGCGGCGGCACTCACCGAGGGGATTAGGGGTGTGGTGTGAGCGAGGCGGCGGCACTCACCGAGGGGATTAGGGGTGTGGTGTGAGCGAGGCGGCGGCACTCACCGAGGGGATTAGGGGTGTGGTGTGAGCGAGGCGGCGGCACTCACCGAGGGGATTAGGGGTGTGGTGTGAGCGAGGCGGCGGCACTCACCGAGGGGATTAGGGGTGTGGTGTGAGCGAGGCGGCGGCACTCACCGAGGGGATTAGGGGTGTGGTGTGAGCGAGGCGGCGGCACTCACCGAGGGGATTAGGGGTGTGGTGTGAGCGAGGCGGCGGCACTCACCGAGGGGATTAGGGGTGTGGTGTGAGCGAGGCGGCGGCACTCACCGAGGGGATTAGGGGTGTGGTGTGAGCGAGGCGGCGGCACTCACCGAGGGGATTAGGGGTGTGGTGTGAGCGAGGCGGCGGCACTCACCGAGGGGATTAGGGGTGTGAGCGAGGCGGCGGCACTCACCGAGGGGATTAGGGGTGTGGTGTGAGTGAGGCGGCGGCACTCACCGAGGGGATTAGGGGTGTGGTATGAGCGAGGCGGCGGCACTCACCGAGGGGATTAGGGGTGTGGTAGGAGTGAGGCGGCGGCACTCACCGAGGGGATTAGGGGTGTGGTGTGAGCGAGGCGGCGGCACTCACCGAGGGGATTAGGGGTGTGGTGTGAGCGAGGCGGCGGCACTCACCGAGGGGATTAGGGGTGTGGTGTGAGCGAGGCGGCCGCACTCACCGAGGGGATTAGGGGTGTGGTGTGAGTGAGGCGGCCGCACTCACCGAGGGGATTAGGGGTGTGGTAGGAGTGAGGCGGCGGCACTCACCGAGGGGATTAGGGGTGTGGTGTGAGCGAGGCGGCGGCACTCACCGAGGGGATTAGGGGTGTGGTGTGAGTGAGGCGGCGGCACTCACCGAGGGGATTAGGGGTGTGGTGTGAGTGAGGCGGCGGCACTCACCGAGGGGATTAGGGGTGTGGTGTGAGCGAGGCGGCGGCACTCACCGAGGGGATTAGGGGTGTGGTGTGAGCGAGGCGGCGGCACTCACCGAGGGGATTAGGGGTGTGGTGTGAGCGAGGCGGCGGCACTCACCGAGGGGATTAGGGGTGTGGTGTGAGCGAGGCGGCGGCACTCACCGAGGGGATTAGGGGTGTGGTGTGAGCGAGGCGGCGGCACTCACCGAGGGGATTAGGGGTGTGGTGTGAGCGAGGCGGCGGCACTCACCGAGGGGATTAGGGGTGTGGTGTGAGCGAGGCGGCGGCACTCACCGAGGGGATTAGGGGTGTGGTGTGAGCGAGGCGGCGGCACTCACCGAGGGGATTAGGGGTGTGGTAGGAGTGAGGCGGCGGCACTCACCGAGGGGATTAGGGGTGTGGTAGGAGTGAGGCGGCGGCACTCACCGAGGGGATTAGGGGTGTGGTGTGAGTGAGGCGGCGGCACTCACCGAGGGGATTAGGGGTGTGGTAGGAGTGAGGCGGCGGCACTCACCGAGGGGATTAGGGGTGTGGTAGGAGTGAGGCGGCGGCACTCACCGAGGGGATTAGGGGTGTGGTGTGAGCGAGGCGGCGGCACTCACCGAGGTCGCAGGCGCGGGTGAGGAAGTCGATCATGAGCGTGGGCTGCGCCAGCTGCGGCAGGATGGCGTCATGCACAATCAGCAGCACCTTCTTGTAGAGGCTGAGGGGCAGCTGGGCGGGGGCCGGCAGGTGGGGGTGAGGGGCGGGTGGGCGGGGGCCGGCGGGTCGGGGTGAGGCCTCCGCCCTGGGGGAGACCCGGATGCCGCCCCCGCCCCCTCCCCGGCCTGGCCCCTACCTTGTGCTTGAGGAAGCTGAGCCACATGGCCTGGAAAACCCTCCTGTGCTCCTGCAACGGGGTCCAGACTGCACTCGCCGCCCTCCCCACCCCAGACCAGAGCCCGAGCAGCTGCCAGGGCACCCCGAAGCCCAGCCTGAGCCAACACAAGCCTGCTCTCCACTTTTCTGACCCTGCCTTCCTTCTTCCTGTCCCCATTCAAGTCAGGTACGCCTTGCCCTCGAGGCTGGAGTCTCAGAACAGCCAAGAAAGCAGCTTTGGCAAGACCATGGCCAAGAGGGGGGCTGCGCCCAAAACAGCCCACGGGGCCCACAGGTGGCACCAGAGGCTTGACTCCAAGAGGCGGCGGTGGCCTCTGACCCAAGGGAGGGTCCCGAGTTCACAGGTCTCGTCACCTCCCACACTTCGAGTGACCTGGTGGCCGTGCAAGCTGCCACCTGTACCCTGGGAGTTTCCTCTGGTGAGGAAGGCGGCAGCCTCCATGGGGTCTCACATGCACCCCACACACACCCCCAAACCCGGGAGGGTGCCCGGCTCTCCAGAAGCAACTCACCTTCAGGTGAGCAACCTTCCAGGTGTCCCACAGCTCTGCAGGGAAAGCGAGGGCAAAGGTCACCTGACCCGCAGGGGAGGCAGACCAAGGCTCAGCCCTGTCCGCCCCTGACTCTCAGCACACTCACCCGCCCGCTTCACATAGAAGCTGGAGACGGTGGGCTCCCGGCGGGGCAGGCTCACGGCAGACAGCAGCGTGAAGGCATTGTTCCAAAAGGCGGGGGGCACCTGCGGAGCCTGGCCTGAGTGCCTGGACGCCGCCCCCCAGTCCCTGCCTCCCTGGGAGGCAACAGCATGATGCTGGCGACAGGACCCCATCACCCACCTCGGGGTGCTGGCCAGTGACCCGGGCCACGGCATCCACGGCTGCCTGCATGGTGTGGTAGCGGGTGTCGTCGTAGTCCAGGTACTCCCGGAACTGGGACAGGAGCAGGCTCTGGTCCTCCTCAGGAGACAGCAGGCCTCCCACCACCAACTAGGGGCAAGGACCAGTGAGCAGCCCTGCCCGGCCCAGCATACGCCAGCAAGGTCCAGGCAGGCAGCCCTGCCCCATCGAGCCCCCCAGGCAGACTCCTCCTGGTTGGGTGGGCCACAGGAGCCACAGGAGTGTCCCAGCCAACAGCCAGGCTCAGCTCAGCAGGCCCCGCCCCCACTACGGGGCCATCCTGGGATCTGGCCAGCCAGCCAGGCCCTCTGGGAGTCCCCAGCAAGGCCCTCACCTTGAAGAGCTCTCGGGGGAACAGGTAGTTGCCTTCCCACTTGGACTTCTCCAGGGGGTGCGCTCCTTCCAGCTGCACGAACTTCAGGAGTGCGCTGAGGGCCAGCTCCTGGGAAGGGGGCAGTGCAGGGTGGCTGTGATGCCCTCACCCCACGGATGGGCCCAGAGCTCAGCCCAGTCAGGGAGCCCCTCCCATCTAGGCCCAGAGCTGAGAAAAGGGCGGCCGGGCCTTCTCTTGCTCCACACGCCACCAGATGCCACTCTGGGCTTCCGTGTCCCACCCATGACGTAGAGATGACAAGATCTCTAGTTAAAGAGATCCAGTGCTCACGACAGAGTCTGGCGGGGGAAGGGTACACAGCCCAGGTCTGCTTTATGGGCCACCTGACTGCTCTCTCGTCACCTGTGTCACGGGAATGCCACCATAACCCTTGGGAACAGCTGTGAAAACACAGGCGTGTGATGCCAGCATGGTGCCCAACTCAGACCCAGGCTTGGAAGCTCTCATCTCGGGGTGGCAAACTCAGTGCTTTCAGGGCCCAGGCAAATGACACCACAAAGCAAAAGAGCCTCGTGCGGGATGACAGGAGCACACGGCTGTCTCAGAGCTGTCTCTGACTCTCCCTCCAGCCAATCGCAGCCATGAACAAACTTAGACCCCGTGTTGACAGAACTGATTATTTCTTTCTGAGAAGGTGGAAACTGGTTATTTTCACGTGGTATCTCCCCAACATTTAAAAGTCTGCAGCTCGGCTATAATTATAGACAGACGTGTTGGCGAGGATGTGGAGTATGGAACTCTCAAATGCTGCCAGGGGGAGGGTAAGATAGCGCAGCTACTATGGAAAACAGTCTTGTAGTTCCTCAGAACATTAAAAACACAGCTGCTGTGTGGCCTTGTAATTCCACTGATAAGGCATATTCAAGCAAAAGAAACATCACACAAGAGTTTGTACGCGAACGTTCACAGTCCGCTGTTCGTAACAGCCAAAGGTGGAAACGACGCAAATGCCCAGCAACCTACGAGCGGCTGAACGATACGTGCTGTGCTATACGACGCGCTGCTACTCAGCCACAAAGAGAACGAACTTCGAACACGCCGATGAGTGGAAGAAGCCACATACCGTATGATCCCCCTTATGAGGAGCGTCTAAAAAAAGCAAACCCATTGATCCAGGAAGTAACCACTGATCCAGGAGTGGCTGCCTGGGGCTGGGGGTGGAAAGGGGCGGGATATGGAAGCGATGGTAACTGGTACAGGATTTCTTTTCGGGGCGATAAAGATGTTCTGGGATAGCGGCAACCACTGCACAACACAGTAACAGATGCTAACTTCTCAGCTTTAAACGGTAAACTGTGCCTCAGTTATTCCTCACTACAGATTTTAAGAAAGCTCATAATGCATTCCCATGGCTGCAGACCACAGTGTGATCTGAGCAAACACATCTGTGGACTGGCACGAGGCTTGGTGTGCGTGCTCTATGCAAACACAGAGATCCCCGTGGATGCCACTGGAAATGAACACGGATTCTGCGTCTTCAATATTCACTACAGGACTCGATAGCCATGTTTCTGAATGGGACTGAACACCCACAGGGTGATGCTCCCATGAAGGAAGCAGCTTTGCCTGGACAATTGTGGGAGCCCCAGACCTCTGCTTTGTGGATAACCTGGGAGTTGGGGTGCAGGGGATGGACAAGGATGAGGCCAGCCCAATGACCCACCTTGACCTGAAAGGAGGGGTGGCCCAGGAGCTCTCCCAAGCGATTGCAGCAGCTGTGATAGCGGTGTCTCATCCACACCTTGTACTTCCGTGTGGCTCCCTGGGACCCTGCAGACAGGTTAGGGTGGTCAGCCCACGTGAGGCCCACATACGCCACCCTGGGCCCAGCCCAAAATCTCAGGCCTGGCTCCACCCTCCCATTGTCTTCTACTCAGCCTCCGCAGGTGGAAACAGGTCGCTAAGGCCCCCAGACCTGTGCTGAGACCAGCACATTCCCTGAGCCCTGCAAACAGGAAGAGCACCTCCTACCCCAGGACTGCCCCAGCCAAGCTGCCAGGAGCAGGATCCACATCCCCTCTCTTTACTCCAAGACCTGACGTCCCCAGGATGGGGACATAAAGGAAGCTCCGAGTTTAAGCGACCGTGTCAGGATCAGTCAACATCAAATTACAAAAGGGGTGCAAAGCACACAAAAAGTCGTACCTTGTCCAGTGTTCATCTACACTCAGCTGCAGGGCACCCATGTCACCCCTGCCCCAACGCCACCATCCATCTTCCACGGTGGGCTTGGTGCGTCCTCCCACCAGCCTGCACGGCCTGTGCCAGGGTTGGGGGCGCTCATCCCATGGTGACAAAGCCTCCCTCCGACCCACGGAAAGAGAAGAGCAGCCCCGGGGCCCTCCAGGGCTCACCTGTCATGACCATCTCCTCAGAGGGCAGCTGGCCCACAAACAGCTCTCCCCGCTCCAGCAAGGCCCCGAAAAGACGGCTGCACGTGCGGACTGCTTCCTGGATCTCCTCCTGGTCCTCAGACTGCAGGAGAGGCGGCGGCAGGGTGCCCGGCCGCCAACTGTCACCTTCGCCCCTGCCTAGGCTGCCCCCAACCCGTTCCCTTCCCCCTCGGGACGCCAGCCCCGTCACCCCCGACCCGTGACCCACACGCCTCCCACCCTGACCCCCCAACGCCGTCTCGGAACCTCCTGGGGACCTGCCGCCGCAGCCCCCCATTCAAGTCCCGCTCCCGTGCCGCGACTCCGGCCCTGCGACGCCGCCAGGCCCACCTGCAGCACGGCCAGGATGTCGAACACGGCGTTGGCCTCACTGCGGCTCGCCAGCACCGCCTCCAGCCGGCGGCCCAGAGCCCGGCGAACTCCCGCGGCGCCCGGCTCCCGCTCCATGCCGCCCCCAACACGGAACAACGCGGATTCTCAGCCGCCGGCGCTCCCGTGACGTCACCACTGCGCGTAGAACCCGACGTCATCTCTACGCGCCGTACCCCAACCCCATCTTTTGCGCGGAGCCCGAGTCGCAGGCGTGCCGCCGACGTCATCGCAGCGCGCCACGCCCGAGTCCCAGGCGTGCGGCTGGCCATGGCGCTGTTCTACGTCGCGCGGTACCCGGGCCCCGATGCGGCAGCTGCGGCGGGGCCGGAGGGCGCGGAGGCCGGGGCGCACGGCAGGGCCCGCGCGCTGCTCGAGCGGCTGCAGAGCCGGGCCCGCGAACGGCAGCAGCAGCGGGAGCCCGCGCAGACCGAGGCGGCTGCATCGACCGAGCCGGCGACCAGGAGGCGACGGCGGCCCCGGCGGCGGCGGCGGGTGAACGACGCGGAGCCGGGGAGCCCGGAGGCGCCGCAGGGAAAGCGACGGAAGGCGGACGGCGAGGACGCGGGCGCAGGTGGGCCGCGGGGCGAGCGGGCTCCCTCTGGGGCGCCGGCGACTCGGTGCTGACGCGCTGCCGGGTGGGTGTCTGCCTCGCAGAAAGCAACGAGGAGGCGCCAGGGGAGCCCAGCGCAGGGAGCAGCGAGGAGGCGCCAGGGGAGCCCAGCGCAGGGAGCAGCGAGGAGGCGCCGGGGGAGCGCAGCACCAGCGCCAGCGCCGAGGCGGCCCCAGATGGACCGGCCCTGGAGGAGGCGGCCGGACCCCTGGTCCCCGGCCTGGTGCTGGGGGGGTTCGGGAAGAGGAAGGCGCCGAAGGTGAGCCTCGGCGGGCGGGAGGGTGGTCGGCGTGAGAGGGTAGGCTGCGCGGATTCTTAAGTGCGGCGGTCGCCCCGGAAGATTTCGTTCAGCGAATGTTCCCGGGTCACAGCCGCGCCTCGCTGCCAGGTCTGCAGTTTCATCGCCTAGGGGTCTGGATCCTGCACGTGCAGAGCTCCCGTTTCCTCTGCTAGGCTTGCCCCTGTCCTCCCGCCGCGCCGCGCCAGTTCTGCAAGATGTGTTTGCGTGAACGTGCGGGGTTTCCTGCTGTGCGCTCACCGCCTCAGGAGTAAGTCAGAGGCCGTTCTGCAAGCTCCTGACCGTTGGTGTTTTTGCTTAGCACGTGTGGTTTTCGGTAAAGAGATTTCCGGCGAGACAGGTGAAGAAAGCGAGAAGTTTGACAGAGTGCTCGGGCACCTTAGGTAGGGCAGGTGGAGGAGGTTCTCTTTGAGTTGGGATGCAAAGACTTGAAGCCAGGTCAAGGTTGGGGGTTGGGGGTGCCAGGCAGAGGCCTCGAGGCAGGGACGCCGGCGTGGCTGGGGCAGGCGAGCGCCAGGTCACAGGACCTCCTGGCTGCGGGAGGGTGGGTGCCACTGTGGGTTGATGGGAGGCTACAGAGTGAGTTTGCTCAGGGAGTGGCATCTGCTTTTACTGTTTAACTTCTGAAGGCTGTATGGAAAGCGCATCCTGGGGCTGAGAAGGAGCTGAAGACGACAGAGGTTTCCCCAGCCTCCCTCCCCTAGCTTTTTCCACCGTGGGCTTCTGCGCGAGAGCCTGGAAAGCGCTCACCTGGCCTCTCTTTCTTTTTGATGGCAGGTCCAGCCTTTCCTGCCAAGGTGGCTGGCTGAGCCTAACTGTGTCAGAAGGAATGTCACCGAAGACCTGGTTCCTATCGAGGACATCCCTGACGTCCATCCTGACCTGCAGAAGCAGCTGCGGGCACACGGCATCTCGTCCTACTTTCCAGGTGCCCCAGCCCCGGGCAGGCAGCTGAGGGAACACCTCCCTGGGCACCCACACACAAGGCTGTGAGTGGCCGTGGGTCAGGCGTCCCTGCCACATCGGTGCCAAGTGTGGTCTCAGCACTCTCAAGCTCATGGTTCCCACTTGGGTCTCCTGAGGCTGGCGTTCCTCTGGGCCTTGGTGCCATCCCTCTGGGGAGCGGTTCCCAGGCCTCCAGCAGAGCAGCCCAGCCCAGAGGTCACAGGCAGGGAAGCGGCAGGCCTAGGCCTAGGCGTAAACACGACTTCTCTCTCGCCTTTCCTCATCCAGTCCAGGCAGCTGTGATTCCTGCCCTCCTGGAGAGCGCAGCCTGTGGGTTTCTGGTGGGCAGAGGTGGCTACCGGCCTAGCGACCTCTGTGTTTCTGCCCCAACAGGCAGTGGGAAGACACTGGCCTTCGTCATCCCTGTGGTGCAGGTCTGTGTGAGGGTCCCCTTTCTCTACAGCGGGTGTGCAGAGGACAGGTAACAGCCTTGCTGACGCAGGCGCTCCTTCCCCCTCAGGCCCTGCTTTCGAGAGTGGTCTGCCACATCCGTGCCCTGGTTGTGCTGCCCACCAAGGAGCTGGCCCAGCAGGTATGTGGACCCTAGACCTGGAGCGTGGCACCGCCCGCCTCAGCTTCCCTGCTGAGTGCACAGCGATCAGCCCCTGGGGGACCCAGATTAGATCTGGGGTCCTTTTTGCTGCAGTAGGTGGACACCAGCTACCTCCAGGCCAGTGACAGACTTCTCCTGCAGGTGAGCAAAGTTTTCAACATCTACACAGATGCCACACCTCTGAGAGTCTCCCTGGTTACGGGACAGAAGTCTCTGGCCAAGGAGCAGGAGAGCCTCGTCCAGAAAACGTAGGTTGTGTCAGGGTGCGGGTTTTTCAGGGGGTCCCTGCTCAGCCCTGCAGGTGGCCTGAGGCACCGTGGGAGCAGAGGAGGGGCCACCATCTTTAACCACCTGTTCCCGTGAAGAGGAGGAGCTCCCACCGGCCCCCTTCCCATGTGGGGTGGAGTCGGGGCTGTGGGGTGAGGCAGCGTCTTGCTATCCGGAAGCCCTTGAGAAAGCTTCCTTCTCTCGAGCTGCTCTCTGGTCTGTAGAGCTGATGGGTACCGCTGCTTGGCTGACATCGTGGTAGCCACCCCCGGCCGCCTGGTGGACCACATCGACCAGACCCCAGGATTCAGCCTCCAGCAGCTCCGCTTCCTGGTAGGTCCCCGCCCCAGGGGCCTGGGCTTTGAGCTCAGGGCCGCGCCACCCAGTCCCGGGCTCCCTGTCTCCTGCAGATTATCGACGAGGCTGACCGGATGATTGACAGCATGCATCAGTCCTGGCTGCCGCGGGTGGTGGCGGCCGCCTTCCAGAGCGAGGACCCCGCGGACCCCTGTGCCCTGCTCCAGCGAAGGCAGGCCCAGGCTGTGACAGCCGCCAGGTATCCAGCAGCACGCCCAGGTGCTGGCCTCCCCTGAGCAGAGTCCTCTGCACACAGCTCTCCTTCCTTAATGCCCAGAGATAAGGGTGGCTTGAGCTCTGGTGCACAGAACCGCATCGTACTGTCACGTGAGCTGGACCCACCTTGCTCCTGGTCTGCGGCAGTCTCTACAGTGCGTAGCATGAGGAATCCTGTTCCCTGGAGGTTCGGGGCAGCCACTGGTAGGGTGCCAGCAACACCCCCTTCTCTTCCAGCACCTGCTGTCCCCAGATGCCCCTGCAGAAGCTGCTCTTCTCAGCTACTCTGACCCAGAACCCTGAAAAGCTGCAGCAGCTGGGCCTCCACCAGCCCCGGCTTTTCTCCACAGGGCTAGCACACAGGGGCCTGGAAGATACAGATGGGGACGGGGATTCGGGGAAGTATGCCTTTCCTGTTGGGCTCACGGTGAGTGGGATACCGTGTGGGCAGAGGGTTGCACTGGGAACCTGGGGCCCCTAACCAACCCTCACCTCCACCCCGACCCCCTGCCGTCCCTGTAGCACCACTACGTGCCCTGCAGCCTCAGCTCTAAGCCGCTGGTCGTCCTGCACCTGGTCCTGGAGATGGGCTTCTCGAGGGTTCTCTGCTTCACTAACTCCCGAGAGAACTCCCACAGGTGAGGCCCCGGCTGGGCGGGGGTGGCAGAGGTGGCCTCTGGTCCCAGCATCACTTGGCCGCAGCCTTCTCTCTGCCTAGGCTCTTCCTGCTGGTGCAAGCTTTTGGGGGTGTGGACGTGGCTGAGTTCTCCTCGCGCTACGGGCCTGGCCAGAGGAGGATGATCCTGAAGCAGTTTGAACAGGGGAAGATCCAGCTGTGAGTTCCTGGGCAGGGGCAAGGCCTCTGTGGGGTGGGGGTGCCCACTCCAGGGTCAGCCTGGGGCTCTCTAAAAGGTGCTTCCTTCTGCAAATTGGCTTCCTGTGCCCCAGCCCCATGGCAGCCAGTTCCCAGAAAGGCCTGAGCTGCCCCCCGCAGGGCCGGTGCTGCCACGGCCCCTGCTCCTGGCACGTCGGGCCCACAATGCTGCGTGTCCCGGCAGGCTCATCAGCACGGACGCCACCGCGCGAGGCATCGACGTGCAGGGTGTGGAGCTGGTGGTGAACTACGACGCCCCCCAGTACCTGAGAACCTACGTGCACCGGTGAGCGCTGGCGCAGCGGCCACTGGGGGGTCTGGGGCTTTGTGAGCTCCTGGGCGTTGATGTGGGACCGTCTTGACTGGCGTGGGGTGGGGTTGGTGTGGAGAGAAGCTGTCGTTCCGTCAGACTCTTGAAGGCTCAGGGGCCAGTCTGGAGATAGCTGCGTTTGATTCCAGGGTTGGGAGGACAGCTCGCGCTGGGAAAACTGGACAGGCCTTCACACTGCTCCTGAAAGTGCAGGTGAGGCTGCGAGGGTCTTGGGAGTTTCTGCTGTTGGTGGGTGTTAAGGGGCTGGCCCAAGAACCCCCTTCCACCATGAGCTTCTCTCCAGGAGAGGAGATTCCTCCGAATGCTAACTGAAGCTGGGGCACCTGAGTTGCAGCGGCACGAGCTCTCCAGCAAGCTGCTGCAGCCGCTGGTTCCTCGGTACGAGGAGGCCCTGTCCCAGCTGGAGGAGTCTGTCAAGGTAAGGGCACCAGAGTCCGGCATGAAACCCTCTGGGGAGGGCGTTTGCAGAGAGGGCGTCGTCACCACACGTGGAGAAAAGAGGGAAAAAGAGGAAAGCGAGAAGGCAACAGAGGGTCACACAGGTTGTCCTCGAGCTTCTGGCCCAAGGGCGGGGAGCCCCTGGGCACCAGTGGTGGAAACACGTGGCACCAGGGAGGGCTGTCAGCGGGGCCAGGGCCTGGTTTCTGCATGCACAGGGCTTCCTGTCCTCAGGGTTCCAGGGGCAGAGCCCGGGGCCCCACAGACGATGAGGGGACAGAGTGTGTGGTGCTGAGCCCTCCCCTTTCCTCCACAGGAAGAGCGCAAGCAGAGGGCGGCCTAGGCTGGGGCTCAGAGGGCCGGAGGGACTGAACGCTCACCACCCTGACCCTCCTTCCAGAGCAGTGCTGATCACTGGATCCTGTATGTGAGGAAAGGAATCCCCCAGTGGACACAGCCTTCCTCCCCAAGCACGTGGTCTCTGCGCCAGGCAGCCCGGGCGTCAGAGCTCAAGCACCTGCCCCGACTGGAGACTTCAGGGCTTGTCACTTTCAGAGTGTGGAGGTCAGGATGGCTGCGGGCAATGAAGCCTTAGTAAAACGGTGAAAAGTACTCCCAGACGGACGCGGGCACCCGTCATGCTTTTGCTGAGAGTTGGGGGCATTAACCTTGAGCTAATGTTAAAAATCAAGCTCTTGGCCAGGCATGGTGGCTCATGCCTGTAATTCCAGCACTTTGGGAGGCCAAGGCGGGTGGATCACCTGAGGTCACGAGTTCGAGACCAGCCTGACCAACATGGAGAAACCCTGTCTCTACTAAAAATACAAAATTAGCCAGGCGTGGTGGTGCATGCCTGTAATCCAGCTACTTGGGAGGCTGAGGCAGGAAAATGGCTTGAACCCGGGAGGTGGAGGTTGCAGTGAGCTGAGATTGCGCCACTGCACTCCAGCCTGGGCAACAAGAGCAAAACTCCGTCTCAAAAAAAAAAATTGCCGGGCGCGGTGGCAAATGCCTGTAATCCCAGCACTTTGGGAGGCCGAGGCAGGTGGATCACAAGGTCAGGAGATAGAGACCATCATTGCTAACATGGTGAAACCCCGTCTCTACTAAAAATACAAAAAAAAAAAAAAAACAACTAGCCGGGCGTGGTGGCGGGCACCTATAGTCCCAGCTACTCGGGAGGCTGAGGCAGGAGAATGGCGTGAACCCGGGAGGCGGAGCTTGCAGTGAGCGGAGACTGCGCCACTGCACTCCAGCCTGGGCAACAGAGTGAGACTCCGTCAAAAAAAAAGCTCTCCTCCCCAGATTTGTGAACCTTGTGACTGTTCAGTGGACACCTCACATATTGCTGGTGGGAAGGTCACGTGGAGACAGCTGGGCAAAGCCTTGGGGCGTTAAACACAGAGTCACTCATGACCCAGCACTTCCTCTCCTATGCACCTTGTACACCCCAGATCAATGAAACCTACATCCACACAGAAACGTACACAAATCTCTCAGCAGCACTGTTCACAGTAGCCAAAAACTAGAAACCACATGTCCGTCAGCTGATGAATGGAGAATAAAACGTGGGAAATCCACACCAGGAGAGAAAAAGGAGTGAGGCACCAGCATAGGCACCCCGTGGATGAACCCGGAACCTGACGCTAACTGAAGGAAGGCTCCGGCTATAGGGAGTGTCCCAGGCACAGCCAGAGATTGAAGGGTGCCGGGGCCGGGAGTTGGTGGGGGTTGGGGCTGGGGACACAGTGGCCAGTGTGTGGGTTTGTTTTGGGGATGATGAAAATGTTCTTAGGTTGTGTGTGGTGATGGCTGCTCACCTCTATAAACCTTTTACTAAAAACCATGGACTGGGTGGATACAGTGTGTGAATTCTCTCAGTCCAGTGCTTTGTTTGAAAAAGGTGGATGATGCCAACATCACTAACCGCCAGGGAGACGCAGGCCACGGCCACACCCGGCTCACTGGAGTTGTGAGGATGGAAACACCAGCCCACCCCACTCAGTTCAGACCTCAGCTTAGATGCAAAGAATGTCTGGGATGGGGACTGGCAGCTGATTAGAGATGCAACCACTGAACCTGTGGACTGTGTTCAAACAAATGCCAGCAGAACACAAAAGGCGACTGTTACAGGAGGCAGAAAGAAATGATTTAGGTAGACGGGGTAAAGCCAGTCCCCAGCAGAAAATTTGCCTTTTAACAAAAAGCAGCTCAAAAATAGCTCCCTTTCTAACCTCGGGGTTCAAAATCACTTCTCACGACAAGCAGCCAGAAAGAGCAGACTGTGAATCACAGATGAGACAGCTCGGGCACAGGAGTGCGGGGGGTGTCTCCTGGGTGATCACCAAACTTCACACTTCCACAATGGGCCCCAGTAAAACAGTGGACCCTAATAAGCACATTCCCGTCCCCTTAGGTGCACTAAGGGAAGCTAAAAGCAGACTGAGGGGTGCCTGTAACCCCAAGAAGATGTCTGGGAGCAGACCCAGAGACCCTCGCAGAAAAGTGTCACAGAGCAGCACAGACTGAGTCTGACAGAAACTCTCTATACAAATAGCACACCTTGTCCCAGCTAAAACCCTGGGCCCTGGGAGGACAAGACATCCCTCCTCTAACCCCTCGTCACTAGCCCATTTGTAAAAACCTTGACAGGCCGGGCACGGTGGCTCACACCTGTAATCCCAGCACTTTGGGAGGCTGAGGCAGGCGCATCACCTGAGGTCAGGAGATCGAGACCATCCTGGCCAACATGGTGAAACCCCATCTCTACTAAAAATACAAAACTTAGCTGAGCGTGGTGGCGTGTGCCTGGAGTCCCAACTACTCAAGAGGCTGAGGCAGGAGAATCACTTGCCCGGGAGGTGGAGGTTGCAGTGGGCCAAGATCAGCCCACTGCACTGCAGCCTGGCGACAGAAAAAAAAGAAACCTTGACATCTTTACTACAACTTAGCAACCCGCTCAGGCCCCCTCTGCAACGGAGAGCTCTTCTTCCTTTTTGCTTATTAAACTTCTGCTCCAAACTCACTGTGTGTGTGTGTGTCTGTCTGCGACCTCGATCTCCTTGGCCATGAGACCAAGAACCTTGGTATTTACCCCAGACCACAAGGCTGCTTCACGATGATTGCCATTTATCGGGGATTGATAGTGGCTCAGTGCTGCTGGGTTCGCAGACATAAGATGTGGGCCTGGCCACACACTCGGGAGGTGGGAGGAGCGGGCACCGTGGGCACACTCGGGGAGGTGGGAGGAGCGGGCACCGTGGGCACACTCGGGAGGTGGGAGGAGCGGGCACCGTGGGCACACTCGGGAGGTGGGAGGTAGCGGGCACCGTGGGCACACTCGGGGAGGTGGGAGGAGCGGGCACCGTGGGCACACTCGGGAGGTGGGAGGAGCGGGCACCGGGGCACACTCGGGAGGTGGGAGGAGCGGGCACCGTGGGCACACTCGGGGAGGTGGGAGGAGCGGGCACCGTGGGCACACTCGGGGAGGTGGGAGGAGCGGGCACCGTGGGCACACTCGGGGAGGTGGGAGGAGCGGGCACCGTGGGCACACTCGGGGAGGTGGGAGGAGCGGGCACCGGGGCACACTCGGGAGGTGGGAGGAGCGGGCACCGTGGGCACACTCGGGGAGGTGGGAGGAGCGGGCACCGTGGGCACACTCGGGAGGTGGGAGGAGCGGGCACCGGGGCACACTCGGGAGGTGGGAGGAGCGGGCACCGGGGCACACTCGGGAGGTGGGAGGAGCGGGCACCGTGGGCACACTCGGGAGGTGGGAGGAGCGGGCACCGGGGCACACTCGGGAGGTGGGAGGAGCGGGCACCGGGGCACACTCGGGAGGTGGGAGGAGCGGGCACCGGGGCACACTCGGGAGGTGGGAGGAGCGGGCACCGTGGGCACACTCGGGGAGGTGGGAGGAGCGGGCACCGTGGGCACACTCGGGGAGGTGGGAGGAGCGGGCACCGTGGGCACACTCGGGGAGGTGGGAGGAGCGGGCACCGTGGGCACACTCGGGAGGTGGGAGGAGTGGGCACCGTGGGCACACTCGGGAGGTGGGAGGAGCGGGCACCGGGGCACACTCGGGAGGTGGGAGGAGCGGGCACCGTGGGCACACTCGGGGAGGTGGGAGGAGTGGGCACCGTGGGCACACTCGGGAGGTGGGAGGTAGCGGGCACCGTGGGCACACTCGGGAGGTGGGAGGTAGCGGGCACCGTGGGCACACTCGGGGAGGTGGGAGGTAGCGGGCACCGTGGGCACACTCGGGAGGTGGGAGGAGCGGGCACCGGGGCACACTCGGGAGGTGGGAGGAGCGGGCACCGTGGGCACACTCGGGAGGTGGGAGGAGTGGGCACCGTGGGCACACTCGGGGAGGTGGGAGGAGTGGGCACCGTGGGCACACTCGGGAGGTGGGAGGAGCGGGCACCGGGGCATACTCGGGAGGTGGGAGGAGCGGGCACCGTGGGCACACTCGGGAGGTGGGAGGAGCGGGCACCGTGGGCACACTCGGGAGGTGGGAGGAGCGGGCACCGTGGGCACACTCGGGAGGTGGGAGGAGTGGGCACCGTGGGCACACTCGGGGAGGTGGGAGGAGTGGGCACCGTGGGCACACTCGGAGAGGTGGGAGGAGTGGGCACCGTGGGCACACTCGGGAGGTGGGAGGTAGCGGGCACCGTGGGCACACTCGGGGAGGTGGGAGGAGCGGGCACCGGGGCACACTCGGGAGGTGGGAGGAGCGGGCACCGTGGGCACACTCGGGAGGTGGGAGGAGTGGGCACCGTGGGCACACTCGGGGAGGTGGGAGGAGTGGGCACCGTGGGCACACTCGGGAGGTGGGAGGAGGGGCACCGTGGGCACACTCGGGGAGGTGGGAGGAGTGGGCACCGTGGGCACACTCGGGAGGTGGGAGGAGCGGGCACCGTGGGCACACTCGGGAGGTGGGAGGAGCGGGCACCGTGGGCACACTCGGGGAGGTAGGAGGAGTGGGCACCGGGGCATCTGCAGTGCATTGGGCAGGCCCGTCCCGGCCCTTCCACAGTGGCACGGGGGCCTGGATCCTTCCCCAGAGTTTCGAGATGTGAGAGGGGAGAGGAGCGGGAGGGACAGCAGCTGAGCACACAAAGGAAGAGGTGGGAGGGGCAAGAGGAGGACAGAGCTGTTGGTGACGGTGGGGACCAGGCGAGAGGGGGTGGGGTGGGGGCTGAGGGGTGTGCCGGGGCCATGCCGGCGGCAGGATGGTGGGCACTCACCTGCTGGGCCACCAGCTGCTGAGGGCTCAGGCAGGCGTCCGTGGCTGGGCCTCGAGGGCTCTTTGCGACCTTCACGGAGCACAGAATAGGGAGGAGGGACCTTCAATGTGCAGTGTGGGCCTGAGCTGTCCACACATTCCCGTCTCCTTACCTCTACGGAGGAAGGGGGTAGGTCTTGAAAGTAGGATAATGACAGCAAGGAGCACAGCAGCCACTGGCCTGACCCCGTGTGGCCATGTGGGAGGGGCACAGTGTGAGCTGCCCCTACCTGCATGTAGGCCTGCACTGGCGCGGTCCCCGTGGCCTTGGGAACCTGAGACATGGGGGATGGCAGAAACAGTGCTTTCCTGGTGGGCCGCGGACGGTGGGCCACGGAGGCTAGGCCACTCTCCTGGCGGGCTGCAGTGGTAGGCTGCTCTTGGCTGTTGGCCGGTTGGCTGCTAGGCCTGAACTGTGACTTGCTGGGTATTCATCTATGAACTCAAAGGACAGGCCTTAGAGAAAGAGCTGGAAGACGGCAGAGCCATGGAGGGGCGGCCAACCCCTCCTTCACCTTTCCAGACATGAGTGTTGCGCATGGCCCTGTGCATTCTAGTTGCTGAGAGACTCTAGGGCGAGTCGGACGGGTCTGGCCCTCCAGGAGCGAGGTCTGCACTGTCAGGAAGGCAGAGCAAGGCTGGCCGCAAGTGGCTCATGCCTGTAATCCCAGCACTTTGGGAGACCGAGGCAGGTGGATCACTTGAGGTCAGGAGTTCGAGACCAGCTTGGCCAACATGCTGAAACCCCATGTCTACTAAAAATACAAAAATTAGCTAGGTGTGGTGGCAGATGCCTGTAATCCCAGCTACTCCGGAGCCTGAGGTGGGAGAATTGCTTGAACCTGGGAGGTGGAGATTGCAGTGAGCCAAGATTGCACCACTGTACTCCCGCCTGGGTGACAGAACGAGACTCTGTCTCAAAAAAAAAAAACAAAAAAGGAAGGCAGAGTGAGTCCACCTGCCAGGTAACAGGCAGGGTCCCGGGTCTGGAAGGCCCACAGCCACCCCCACTCAAACTGTCATAGCCCCCCCCATCAGCCCCGGCTCCAAGGAGATGGTCCTTGTCACTGGGTAGATGCAAACTTGGGCAATCAAGAGGTGGACCCACAGGCTCAGCTGGGCCCGGTCTCCGCAGGAGGAGCCCCCGTCAGGCGGGGGGGAGGGGGGCAGAACCACCCCCACACTCCGCCCAGGTCAGGGTGGCAGCCACGTCTCTGGAGGGTGGCACAAGGCCCTCCCTTGCCAATGACACTGATGGCGTCCACATCATTGTGGGGAGGCGTGGGAAATAAAAAGAAACCACTGTACGGGTGGCAGCGACGAGCCGCACCCGAAGGCGCTCCCCCGTGGGCCCCGCTGCGCTCCTGGACCTCATCCTCCCGTGGCTGAGGAAGGAGGCGCATCCAGGCTCCCCCACCTGCGTCCCAGCCTCAGCTCTGCTACGGAGAGGCCGCCAGGCCGGGGCAGGCAGCACAGTGGCCCACACCCCTAGCTCCTCCAGCGTCCCCGCCCCTGGCAGCCCCATTGCCGGCCAGGGTCTGGCGTCTCTGAGCCAGGTGGCCCGGCTTCCTGGAAGGGCCACGCCAGTTGCACCAAGATCCAGAGAAGTCAGCCCAGGCTCCACGCAGCGGTTTGGCACATCCCACGAGGCGTCCTTACTGCAGTCCAGCCCTCCCCACGGCTCCTGCTCCCAGGGGCTGCGCCGGGCAGGGGTGGGAGGCAACACCAGGCGCCCACTCCAGGAAGGCCTGGGGGTTGCGGGGCTCATGGAAGGCATCCGGGGGTGGCGGCTGCTCTGGGCTGCGGCCCTGGGGGAGCAGCTCCCCTGGACCACACCTGGAGACTCTACCATCAGCAAAAATGACAGGGAAAAGGCCTCTGTACCACTGTCCTGTGACTGGGCAGAAAAGGAGGTCTTGCTCCCGCTCAAGGAACCTTCTAAAATGCACCTGCTGCTGCTCGCAGTTCTCTTCTTGGTGGGGCCTACAGCTCCTGGTCCAGGTCACAGCGCTTCCCATCAGGTGGGAGAGAATCACCGCCCACCAAGCCCATAGCTCTGGGGCCAGCAGGCAAAAGGGGAAAGCCCTGCTCATATTCCGAACCAGTGGCTTTTGAACACCATGTGCCTCCTGTTCAAAACTGTGCCTTGGGCTATGAGAACAGAGCCCGCAGGGACTACCATGCAAGTCAGGAAACTGCTTCCGAGGAGCCCGACCCTCCGTGGGCGGCCACTCCCCGCCTCCTCGCCTCAATGCCACACAACCAAGCTGCTCTTTAACAACCCACGTTCCACAACGCTCCTTATTCTGGTTTTGTATTTCCATTCCGTTCTCCCGCAGACTTAGTCCTAATGTATTTTATGCTTGGAATCCTTTGACAGCTCCCACAGACTTCTGTGCAACAGAAATGTGTACGAAAATTGATCACAAGGCTCTAGGCGTTCAAAAACAATGATCCCGACTGAGAGATCATTACAATTAGTATTGGTATGCAAATAGTCAACATAACATAAGCATATTACAAACTATGGTAATAACTAAATACAAAAAGTGAAATTTAACCCCAGTGAGATGGATCAGGCTGTAAACTGCCCGATTCTGTCGCTGTTCAGGGCGCCACGTGTAACCACCCTCAATCCCTGGTGGACTGAACAAAGGGGGCGAACGTGGGAATAAAAGACAAGAGACAAGAGAGTATATTTGAAAGAAGGGGTCAGGGGGCACCTTGCCTCTAGTGGACAAGGGCCCTGAGCTTTACACAGCCCTCCATATTTATTGGTAAAAGAGATAGAGCTTTACACAGCCCTCCGTATTTATTGGTAAAAGAGATCGCGACAAAGTGCAGTGATTGTCGGGTAATCGGCAGTCCGCCGTTTGGTTCACAGCAGGCTTGCGAGACTGCATCCTTCGAACAACAGGCGCTAGATTTCCCAGTAGATAACTTCAAGGACCCCAGTGCCAGGGAGTGACCGCCCTCAGCAAACCTTCTGGCAGCAGGCGCAGCTGTGAGTTTTACTCACATCCTACATTCAGGATAAACAGTTTGCTGATTGATCATATAGCCTCCAGTGGAATGCTGAGTTGGTCACGATCCCTTCGGCCTTTTTGGCTCCCAGTATCAGGCTATTTTTTTTTCAACCAGTTCATCCATTCATGGGATGACATAGATTCAGCACCGGTGCTGTTCTTATTTTTCGTATTTATAGATCAAAACACCGAGGAAAACCCGCGCCTGTAATTAAGCAGATGGCACCAGGAGTTCTGCCGCTTGACTCTGAGCCCTTCTGAAGACTTCATCAGCCGGAGCTTGACAGGTTCTCCTTCACATGTGGCTGAAGCCAAAAGAGAAGCCTCCCGGCCTGCAGGCAGCTTCGTGGGTGGCACGTGGGGGCGGCCTCCTCAGCCTTGATGGCGGGCTGTCCTCTGGCAGAGCCCTCACCAGGCAGCAGCTGACGAGGAGACCCGGATGATGACGGAAGCTCTGGAGACGTTCCTAAGGCCTCGTGACTGTGTTTGGAAGGTGTTTGCATCTGTGCAGCTCAGCGTGAGGGGCAGATAGGCTGAGCCACACCCTGGCAGCCTGGGGTGGTCGTCTGATTCTTGCTGTCCTCAAGCTCACACTCCAGTCTCACCATGCATGGCTCCCAGCCCCCTTCTTGGCCCTGGGGGGACCCTCCAGGGATCATCACCGCCAACTCTTCAGTACACCCTCTGTCCCCTGAGCTTTGCTTTCCACATCGAGGGCCATTTGCCTGCTTAAGGTGAGTTTGTTTGTGGTAAATGTTTTCAGTTTTTGTCTGAGTATGTCTTTGTTTTCACTCTTATCCTTGAAAGACAGTTTTATCCCAGCACTTTAAAGCTACTTCTGGTTTCCACAGTTCCTACTAAGAAGGGAGCTGTCCATGGAATCGCCTTTCCTTCGTGAGAAATCTGTTTTCCTCCTGGATTCTTTCATGGTTTTCTCATCTGCTTTGAGTGCCACAGTTTGCCCAGATGTGTCAGGCACAGGTATCTTTGTCTGTATCCTGCTAGGGACTTGTTGTATTTCTTCAGTCTTTAGACTGGTAAATTAAACCCATTCTGGAAAATTCTCAGCCATCCACTCTTTGAATATTTTCTTTTTTCATTCTCTTCTGGAACTCAGTTGAATGTGAGATCTTCTCACCCCTCCCTCTTCTTTTCTTATTTTTTTTGCAGAGACGGGGCCTCACTCTGTTGCTCAGACTGGTCTTGAACTGCTTGGCTCAAACAATCCACCCACACTGGCCTCCCAAAGTGCTGGGGTTACAGGCCTGAGCACTGCAGCCAGCCTGTCTTCTTTGTCTTGTTTGCTAGTCTCATGCTATCATGATTATTTCTCCAGATCTCTCTGTAGCTCGCAAATTCTCTAATGTATTGTTTAACCCTTCCATTAACTTTTTTAAAACTGCAGTATAGGCTGGGCACGGTGGCTCACGCCTGTAATCCCAGCACTTTGGGAGGCCGAGGCGGGCAGATCACAAGGTCAGGAGATCGAGACCACCCTGGCTAACATGGTGAAACCTTGTCTCTATTAAAAATACAAAAAAATTAGCCAGGCATGGTGGTGGACACCTGTGGTCCCAGCTACTTGGGAGGCTGAGGCAAGAAAATGATGTGAACCTGGGAGGCGGAGCTTGCAGTGAGCCAATATCACTTCACTCCAGCCTGGGCAACACAGCCAGACTCCGTCTCAAAAACAAACAAACAAACAAACAAACAAACAAAAAAACTGCAGTATAATTTACATACAGTCCAAGTCGCTGTTTCTGATGCATACTTCAGTTTTGATCAATGCACACAGCCATGTAACAACCATCAGCATCAAGATACAGAATCTTTCCACAGCCCCCCAGAATTCCCTCTTGTCCCTCTGAAAGTCAGTCCTTCCACTGCCCCAGCCCCTCGTGACTGCAGAGCTCTTCTCTGTTGCTATAGTGTTGTCTTTTCCAGAATGTCATATAAAAACAAAAACTGCAGCCTTCTAAGTGTGGCCTCTTTCACTCTGCATAAGACATTTCAGGCTTATCCCCGCTGCCCCCAGCATCAGTGGCCCAGTCCTGTCTCCTGCTGAGTGCTGTTTTATGGAACCGGTGGGCTGCCGTTTGTTTACCCATTGGCCAGTTGAAGAGTGTCTGGGTTGCTTTCAGTTTTAGGTAAATGAATAAAGCTTCTGTGAACACTTGCATCATTTTTCATTGTGGTTACAGTATTTGGTTATTGTGTGGACATATGTCTTCATTTCTCTGGTATAAAGAATGAGGGGCAGGATTGCTGGGTCATACAGTAAATGATTGTTTTATTTTATAAGAAACTGCCAAACTGATTCCAGAGGGCTCCACTATCTTGTAGTCCCACCAACAAGGTATGAGAATTTCTGTTGTTCCACACCCTCACTAACACTTGGTTTTGGTCTTGTCTTTTTTTTTTTTAAGGCATTCTCACGGGTGTGCAGTAGTTTCTCATTGTGATTTTTATTTGCATTTCCCAGAGGACAGTGCTTATTTGCCACCTAGAGAGCTTCTTTGGTGGAGTGTCTGCTCAAATCTGTTGCCCACTGTACAAAATAAGTTGTTTTTGTATTAGTGAGCTTTGACAGTTTTTTGTATGTTCTGGTTACACGTCCTTAATCAGCTACATGACTGGCAAAGGTTTTCTCCTGGTAACTTGTCTTTTCATTCTCTAAACAATGGTTTTCACATAGCAAGAAGGTTTAATTTTATTAAAGTATGACTTGCCAATTTTTTTCCTTTTATAGGCTCTATTTTTGGTGTCATATCTAAGAAATGTTTACTTAACCTATAGTCACAAAACTTTTTTCCTATGTTTCATAGTTTTGAATTTCATGTTTGGGTCTATGATTCATTGAGTTAATTTTCTATGGGGTGTGAGGTAGGGATCAAGATTACTTCCATTAAGTTTTGAATTTCAATTATTACATTTTTCATTTTTAGAGGTTCTATTTGGTTCATTTATTATCTGCTTAGCCTCTGATACTCTCTTGCTTATTTATGCTTTTTAGCTTCTCCTTTGTTTCTTCAAACACATTAAACATATTTGCATTTCCTATTCTAACATCTGAGTCTTTGCAGGTGTGCTTCTTTTGGCCATAACTTCTGAGGCCCCTTCTCTTGTGTGTGCTGTGATTTTCCACTATGAGCTTATAGTCTAGGGATCCTGCTGGCTGGAATTCCTTGAGGCCTGGGTTGGGGGTTCCTCCTGCAAGGACATACATTTCTTTCTACCAGAGGCCTGGGGGCACTATAGCTCCAGATATGCTTGCAATTAAAAGTCACAGTTTGCAGTTCTTTTGAACATGTAAATAATATGAACTTTGGCCCTATACCTGTGATGGAGAGTGCTAGCCAGGGGCCATAAATTTATAGGAGAGACTTTTTAAAGATGTTCCATCCACAGCCATGGCCAAGTGAGATACTGTTTCTGCAGTGAAGCTTAGAGTAGTAGTTTGCCCACTTCATCATTTCCTGGTAGTGTTTGCTGTATCCCTCTGTGAGCCCAGCCTTATATGGGGGTCTCCAATTTGGTTCTGCCCCTCCCTGGGCCCAAGGCTTCTCCAGACTGCTCCCCAAACTTACCTCAAAGTTCTAGGTCATCTGGGTCCATGGGGACCCAGGCCATAGAGTGTCTTTAGCACAGAACTACCTCCTTAGACTTCAGCCCTCGCCTGGTTTCTAGACTCACTATCCTGCAGACTCATTCACGGTTTTATATATTTTATCTGGCACTTTTTGAAAATCTGGCATTTTTAGATGTTTTGTTGAGATAGATTTTCAGGTTCTCTCATCTACCATATTACCAGAAATAGAAGTCCTTGTCAGAGTGATTTTTCACAGAAATCATTGTAAATATTTTTGAAAAATTATACTATACAGCAAAGCAAGCTCTCCCCTAGAGAGCAAATATATGTAAAAATTACAGGGTCAGAGTTCCTTGACACTCGGCCCCTCCCCACCTCCAGAAGCCCATGCAGGGAGCCTCCTCAGCTCTGTTTAACGGCTGCCTCCAAAAGGAAGGGGCTCAGTCCAGCCCCACTCTGGCCTAAGGGCCCTGAATGATGAGTGTGAGATGCAGCTCCCACAAAGCCCAGCGGCCACTTACCTTCCGCTGTGCAGCAGCAGGCCTGGAGCGGCTGAGGGCTGCACAGCTTTTTACTGCTGGTGGTGTTTCAGCTTTCGGAGCTGCTGCATGTGCAGAGGCTGCACAGCCAATCTGGCCCCCTGTGGTGACAGCAGAGAGACAGCACGCAGGACACACGAAGTGCGCATGGACAAGGATCTGCATCTCACACTCATCATTGCCGCTGATTTGCTCAGAGGAGTAACCTGCCTGGCAATGATGGTAAAGGAAATGCCTGCTGCCTTAAAAAGGAGAAATAACGCCCATGCCGCATCTCCCCTTAATAGAGGCAAGCAGCTCTTGCTGGGGGGTACAGCGGCCTCTGCTCCATTTGCTTAAAAGGGGGAGGTGCAAGGAATGAGGCTCTAATTAGGTGTCTTAAAAAATTAACACATGAGGCGCCGATGGTCGTTGTGGGAGTCGGTCTCGGTCCGGCACCCCAGAACTCCAACTGGCAGACAGGCATGTGTGACTGCTTCAGCGACTGTGGAGTCTGCCTCTGTGGCACGTTTTGTTTCCCGTGCCTTGGGTGTCAAGTTGCAGCTGATATGAATGAATGCTGTGTGGAGCAAGCGTCGCAATGAGGACTCTCTACAGGACGTGATATGGCATCCCTGGATCTATTTGTGATGATTATATGGCAACCCTTTGCGGTCCTCCTTGTACTCTTTGCCAAATCAAGAGAGATATCAACAGAAGGAGAGTCATGCGTACTTTCTAAAAACTGATGGTGAAAAGCTCCTACCGAAGCAACAAAATTCAGCAGACACCTCTTCAGCTTGAGTTCTTCACCATCTTTTGCAACTGAAATATGATGGATATGTTTAAGTACAACTGATGGCATGAAAAAAATCAAATGTTTGATTTATTATAAATGAACGTTGTCCCTGAGCTTAGCTAAATGGTGCGACTTAGTTTCTCCCTGCTTTCATATTATCGAATTTCCTGTCTTATAGACTTTTTAAATTACATTTGAAATATAAACCAAATAAAAGATTTTACTGATAAGAAAAAAAAGTTAACACATGGCAGAACAACTCAGCAACTTCTAGAATGAGAAATTTAGAAAGGTTTGATGCAACTCACTCAAGTGAGTTGTTTCGAGTTTGGTGAGGCGAAGGTGGCTGCCTACCTGCCGCTTTTTGCAGCTGCCTTATCACAACACTGATCCCGTTGCGTTGATGGAAGCACTGTGACCCTGGCTGACAGCACCACAACTGCCAGGACAGACACCACAGGGGGCGTGGCCACAGCAACCTGGGCCATCTGGTACGTCAGCGCTGACGTCAGTCTTGGGCCTTGCAGGTGGGAGGTGGAAACTCGAGTCTAAATAACAAGAAACAAGGATCACATATGCCCTGCCCTGTCACACTGCGTTATCCTTCCTCAGGGGTTGAAATCATCAGCCCC
Organism: Homo sapiens; assembly: GCF_000001405.40. Lineage (NCBI taxonomy): Eukaryota > Metazoa > Chordata > Mammalia > Primates > Hominidae > Homo > Homo sapiens. The sequence goes on along the minus strand of NC_000012.12, from coordinate 132,125,769 downwards.
CATCAGGTATTAAAAACAATGATGAGGCCAGGCGTGGTGGTTCACACCTGTAATCCCAGCACTTTGGGAGGCTGAAGTGGGTGGATCACCTGAGGTCAGGAGTTCGAGACCAGCCTGGCCAACATGGTGAAACCCGGTCTCTACTAAAAATACAAAATTAGCCGGGCGTGGTGGTGCATGCCTGTAATCCCAGCTAATGGGGAGGCTGATGCAGGAGAATCACTTGAACCCAGGAGGGGAAGGTTGCAATGAGCCAAGATTGGGCCATTGCACTCCAGCCCAGGTAACAAGAGTGAAACTCCTTCTCAAAAAAAAAAAAAAAAAAAAAGCAAAAAAAAAGCAATGATGACCGAACGCTTACAAGCCGGGCTACCTGGAGGTTGGCCATGGTGGTGCCCATCAACAGGGCTCTGGGTCTCGGGGCCGTGACTGTGGTGAGCTGGGGGCTCTGCTGTGGTAGGCGGGTGACGGCTGCACTTGCACTTGTGTGGTTGGCTGTGCCCCGGGCAGGGCCTGTGGTGGTGGGGGTGGTGGGAGCAGCTGCAGTTTCTGTTTCTGGAGTCTAATCAAGTGCTCCTGAAGATACAGATAATACTCATGTGTTTCCTTAGTTGGCAAGCTCACTTACGCAAATCCGGAAGTTTATGTCTTTCTTCACTCATGCTTTTAAAAAGACTGTCAAGAGATGTACAGCTAATCAGATATAGATGCTACTACCAGGTATCTCTGGTATCACGGGCTTGCTTTCAGGAGCCACGTGGTTCTAATGGCACATCCTGACTGGCCCTCGGCCCCCACAAATGCACCGCCGGCAGCTCCCTCCCACACATAGGACACAACACACACTCTTGCACATGACACACAAGGCTCATGCAGAGACGCGCCATCCTCAGAAACACCCGCACACAAGGCTGGCCCTGGGCTGGCCTCAGGGAACTTGGGATTTGGGGAGGTTCCCACCATTCTCTGACCCACAGCCCCTCATCCTCTGGGCCTGTGCCGCCTTCTCCCTGCGTTCTGAGTCCTCACCACACAGCCCCGAGCTTCCTGAATGCACTGCACTGCTCCCTGTCACATGCATGTGATGTGTGCGCTACTCCTGCTGCCGTGACTTTCCCTCCCCCGTAACCATCCAGGAACTTCCTATTTGCTCTGAAGACTCAGCATGACCTCCGTTCTCCCAGGTCAGGCACTCCTTTCCCTGTGCTTTCCGATACTCACCACCAGGACTGTGAGTTCCTAGGGGCATGTGTTGGTTTTCCACTTTGAGTAGGTGATTAAAAATGGACGGATGGATGGATGGGTAGATAAGAAGATGGGTGGATGGATGGGTAGATGGATGGACAGATGAGTAGATGGATAGATGGATGGCCGGATGGGGTGGATGGATGGATGAATGAATGGACGGGATGGCTGGCTGAGTGGATGGGTGTGTGGGTGGATGGATGGATATATGGATGGGTGGGTCGGTGGGTGAATGGATGAGTAGACAGAAGGATAGGTGGATGGATGGATGAATGAATAGATGGATGGAAAAGTAGATGGGTAAATGAATGGATAGATGGATGAGTGGATGGATAGGTGGGTGGGTGGATAGACAAGTTGGTAGGTGGATCAGTGGATGGGTGGGTGAGTGGATGAATGGAGGGACAGATGAGTAGGTAGACAGGTAGGTGGGTGAATGGATGGATGGATGGACAGACAGGTGGGTAGATGGATGGATGAATGGGTGGGTGGGTGAGTGAATGGGTAGAAAAGCACTGGGACTATAGGTATGAGCCACTGCACCCGGTATATGTATTTTAAATTTAGCCATTAAATTTGAAAGATAAAGCATATAAAGTGGATGTTTAAAATCTTTTTCTTTTCTTTCTTTTTTTTTTTGAGACAGAGTCTCACTCTGTCACCCAGGCTGGAGTGCACTGGTGCGATCTCAGCTCACTGCAACCTCCACCTCCCGGGTTCAAGCGATTCTCCTGCCTCAGCCTCCCGAGTAGCTGGGACTACAGGTGCATGCCACCATGCCCGACTAAGTTTATTTTTAGTAGAGATGGGGTAAAATCTTTTTCTTAAATACAGCACAAACTCACATCATAGGGGTGCACCAAGTCACATTTCAGCTGGATGCCTGCATGTCGAAATCTCTGATTAGCCAAAGCCAATATTACCATCAACAGAATAAACTCTGTGACAGATGAATAAATCTGACATTTTATTTTTTAAATAATATTTTAAATTTAGGGGTCAAGCTTATTTGTATCTGTGAAAAATTCCCAAACTAGTACTTTTTCTTAAAAGACTTGTCAACAACAGAATTAAACGCTGTCCTTGAAGATGATTTTGCTCAATGCTGTGAATGCCACAGTTCATCCCAACACACAGATCAGAATCAGCCTCCAATCCAATCTTCCCACCACGCTTGATATTATTACTTACATGTTTGGAAATACATGTTGGTTCAAAAAAGATAAAATGTGCTTCCTAAAGTGTTCTACCATGGAGTCTCTCTTTATGTTTGTAGCAACTATTAATCTATTTCTGTATTTTATTATTAGAAAGTTCTTGACAATTATTTGTGGGCACAAAATTACCAGCTTTCACAATAATCATTCATTGTGCTGCAGCCTTCTGCCACTGCAACAACAGATACAGGTTCATATTTCAACAACAGAACTTCTAAATATAAAATCCCATAAGGGTTTTTTCTTTTTTTTTTAATCCCAAGTCACCTGAATACACACCCACATTTAGAAGTGAATATTCTGGCTGGGCACAGTGGCTCACACCTGTAATCCCAGCCCTTTGGGAGGGTGAGACGGGCAGATCACCTGAGATCAGGAGCTCAAGACCAGCCTGGCCAACATGGTGAAACCCCGTCTCTACTAAAAATACAAAAAATTAGTTGGATCTGGTGGCTCATGCCCGTAGTCCCAGCTACCGAGGAGGCTAAGGCAGGAGAATCGCTTGAACCCAGGAGGCGGAGGCTGCGGTGAGCCGAGATCACACTGTGGTACTCTAAAGCCTGGGTGACAGAACAAGACTCTGTCTCCAAAAATAAAAAAAGTGAACATTCAGAAACTCATGATTGTAAATAATATGGCTTATTTATATTATAGGTACATAGTCCCTTATCCAAAATCCTTAGGGCCACACAGGGTTTGGAATTCAGACTGTTTCAGAGAAGTAAGGTAATGACATAAGTCAAATAAGCATGGGAAAGTGTTAGGGACGGCATCTGGCAGCCATGACCAAACACGCCGACGTTTCCACAGCAATAGCACCCAGACACACTCACCCACCAGGACCGCGGGGCTGGCCTGGCCTCGGTGTGGGTCAGGTTTGCTGCAAAATGAGTGAGCAACACTGAGTGGGCAAAACCTTTCTGCTGTCTGAGCTTTCAGAGTTTTAGAACTGCAGATAAAGGGTATGAACCCAAGGGACGCTGTCCTACTGATCAGACATGGCGTAACCTGCCCCATCACAGGACACAGAGGACAGTCGAGGTGCCCGGTCCCCACACGGCAAAGCCAAAAGGCAGTTTGGGCGGAAAAACCAAAGGCAAGACCACACGTTTCTGTTTTGATTTGAAGTCATCCTGAGAAAATTCGATTTTGAAATTGACCCTTTCTGGGTGGTCCCAAAGATCGTGAGTAGATCTGTCCTCTCTGGAGGGAGACCAGAGGGAAATGCTGAGGAGACTGGAGACCGGAGCCCCCCGGCAAGGACACGGGCACCCTGAAGCCCCTCACCCGGAACATGAAGTTCTGATATCACAAAGAAAACACTCACCACGTGGCTTTTATTTTCCAGTGGAGCACTTGCTTCCAAGATGCTGGAATCTTTACCTACAAAGGCATAATTCATAATGTTTTCAGGGCTTCAGCCTCATTATGCCATGTCACAAAGCACAGGAGCATAACAATGAATTCTCACAGTTCACCTTGGCAGTGGGCTATAACATGACGACTCTTTGAATAAGTACACTATATTAACTTACTTGGTTACCTCTTTTTGAATATTTATTCAAATTTAATGTCTTTTTTTGTTTCTCTTGAAATTCAATTTGCAGCTTTATTTCTACTATCTAAAAGATAATCTACGATCTAAAAGAAAATCATGAATTAAAATATAAAATCATTAGCTCCCGAGTGAAAACTTGAGGGCAAATTGTAGAGGAAACGTGTGTTTACCTGCGCAGTACTAGACCAGGGACGCTCGATTTCTCTGGTAGTACAGGTGACGTCTGCCTCAGCCTGCTCGGCTCCTCCCTCCTGGCCCCGGCCTCCCTGCGCGTCCTGTCCTGCAGCTGCCGGGCCACAGCTCTGACCATCTGAAGACAATCGCCACATTGTCTGTGAGGGTCTCCACGCACACAGTAATATGGAAACATCTTGTTTTTTACTAGATATACATATTTAATTCTGGAGAATTCCAAAGAAAGTCTATTTTTCCATTTTTAGTATCCATTCATGATACTGCTTCAAGCAACAATTCTAATAATATTCAATAATAAAAAGTAAAATGAATATTCCCCTAGAAAATATCCCTTTACTGTCAGTCAAAGACACTTATGTTAATGGGCAATAAAGTCCAGATGAAACATGAACCACAATTATCACAGCGCTTTCTATGCAAACATAATTCGAGATAATCCTTCTCAATTTAGACGGTGCCATGGCCAGACATGAAATGCCAGTTGGTATGAAATTGTCCACATGGCCGGGGGTGGTGGGTCATGCCTGTAATCCCAGCACTTTGGGAGGCCGAGGCAGATGGATCACTTTGAGGTCAGAAGTTCGAGATCAGCCTGGCCAACATGGCAAAACCCCATCTCTACTAAAAATACAAAAAATTAGCTGGGCATGGTGGCAGGTGCCGGTAATCCTCACTACTCAGGAGGCTGAGGCAGGAGAGTCCATTTAACCTGGGAGGCGGAAGTTGTAGTGAGCCGAGATTGAGCCACTGAACTCCAGCTTGAGTGACAGAGTGAGACTCCGTCTCAAAAAAAAAAAAAAAGACTTACAGTCAGGTAAAGTCTTAGAGTTAGTGATGAAAACTCAAACATTAAATTGGCCATATTAAATTTAGAAATTTTCTTTTACATAATATAATTACTTCTTCAATTCTCTTTCACGATGTGATTTCCACAAAGTACTATTCCAACCCACCTTCTTCACAGAGGCCACCTTCCACCTCTCCTGGGCAAAGTCTGTGGCCATCCACTGCATCTCCTCCAGCAGATAGTCCCAGTGGGACTTGGGTCGTGGGCCTCCTGCAGCTTCAGCAGACGCCTCTGGGACCACAGACCTGCTTTCCTCAGCTCCGCAATGCGCTGATGCACCTGGTTCTCCTGAAAGACAGGAGCAGCCCATCAACTGTGAAGACAGAGACTCCAGCCCCTTTGTCACAGGCTCAGATGAAGGACCTGAATGAGGGAAGGCGGTTTCCCGGCGGTCCCCAGTACAGCCCACACTGGGTGCTGGTGGGGGAACCTGCAGTTCCCAGATGCTGTGCACACACCCCAGATGCCCCCTGCTCTAGAATCTGAGTAGGCTGGTGCCAAAGAATCACTAGAGAAGCAGCCATGGCCAGTTTTTCAGATGCCTTTACCGTCTGCCATATTATATTGAGAAACATTTCAACTTCTAATTTAAACAGCTTGTAGCAAAAGCAACTTCTTTCACAGATAACTGAGCTCTCTCACCAGCTTCATCTGCTCTGCAATCTTGTCCTAAGGGCTCTCTATGGCCATAGGGCCTGGTGGGGGATGGGGCGGGGCAGGTGGTGCTGTACTCTGGGCTCTGGACGCCATGGCCACAGCCACACCTGCAAGTCTGAATGCACCTGGAGAGGCAGCTTTGTGACTTGCTGGGGGGGTGCTGCTTGTCTGCATGGAGCCGATGGAAAGGGGTGCTGCTGGCCGGGCGCGGTGGCTCACACCTGTAATCCCAGCACTTTGGGAGGCTGAGGTGGGCGGATCACGAGGTCAGAAGATAGAGACCATTCTGGCTAACACGGTGAAACCCCGTCTCTATACAAAAAAAATTAGCCAGGCGTGGTGGCGGGTGCCTGTAGTCCCAGCTACTCGGGAGGCTGAGGCAGGAGAATGGTGTGAACCCGGGAGGCCGAGCTTGCAGTGAGCCGAGATCGCGCCACTGCACTCCAGCCTGGGCGACAGAGCGAGACTCCGTCTAACAAAAAAAAAAAAAAAAAAAGAAAAGAAAAAAAAGAAAGAGGTGCTCCCCGCAGGAGCCGAGGGCAGACGAGGTGACAGAGGCAGAGTGTTTGCAATAACTGGTTACCCTCAAGGGCAGCAAGCAACCCGTCATTAACGCATTCGGTTCTCAATTCCACTAAAACCTTTACCCGGAACGCTGACTTACGGCCCTCACCATTTCATCAGAAGTGCTTAGTAGGGGAAAAACATTGAACAAGTTAGACCTAGTCCTTTACACTCACTGGAAACACAGATTCCTGGGGAAGCACAGACCACCGAGAATATTCTGGTACTGCAGCCCATGTGGGTCAGGACTCATCCCGTGCCCGGGTTTGGAGGGCAGCCCCTTTGGGTACCTGGGATGGTGCCGCAGGCAGAGGCTGGCGGGCCTGGGGAGCTGCCTGCTCCTGGGTGGGGAGGTGGAGCGCAAGCTAAACAGCCTGCCTGGTGGCGAGCGCCGGCCTGGCAGGAAAGGTGGCGGCGCTGCGATTGGCTGCTGGGTCCTTCCCTGGACTGAGAGCTGTGCTTGTGGCTCTGTCGCCTGCTGCTGGGAGACCTGCAAAGACGCTGCAGCGCGGACCCCGGCTGGGGCAGCCTCCCGGCGTGTGCAAGCTGGAGGCGTTCTGCACGGGAGGCCCCGTGGAGGGGTCGTACTGCTGCTGCCTCTGCCTCTGCCTCTGCCCAGCGAGCTGCGCGGCGTGCGGCGTGGGGGGCATTCCTCCCGCAAACGCAAAGAAAGTCAAGCCCAGCTCTCCCAGTATCTGACAGCAAAACAGAGACGCGACCTTAAGAAATTAGGGAGCCCACTGCTCCCCAAACCGAATAATGTCCCAGGTGTCCATTGACAGATGATGCGTAAAGAGAATAAGGCCTTAGCGAGGAAGGAAATCCTGCCACGTGCCACCGCGTGTATGAGCCCCGAGGACCTTCCGCTGAGTGACACGAGCCAGGCACAGAGGGGCAGGCAGATCCTGTCTGTCCCACTGACATGGGGTCCCTAGAGCACTCAAAGCCATGGGGACAGCAAGCGGAGCGGGGCTGCCCAGGGGAGGGGCGGGGCATCCGTGTTTCACGGGGGCAGCGTTTCTGTTTGGGAGGGTGGAAATCTTCTGTAGGTGGACGCAGGTGACAGCTGCACAGCAACGTGAACGTGCTTCATGCCACTGAGCTGTGGCTTCAAATGGTAAAACAAAAGCCAACCGGAAGAACTCCAAGGAGTAACGTTTGAATCGTTATTATTATTTTCGAAATAAGGGCTCGCCCCGTCACCCAGGCTGGCATGCAGTGGAGCAATCACAGCCTTGTCTCTGCAGCCTTGACCCCTGCGCTCAAAGCGATCCTTGTGCCTCAGCCTCCCGAGTAGCTGGGATCACAGGCGTGCGCCATCACGCCCGGCTAATTTTTGTATGTTTTGTAGAGACGGGATTTCTGCATGTTGGCCAGGCTGGTCTCAAACTCCTGACCTCAGGTGATCCGCCCACCTCGGCCTCCCAAAGTGCTGGGATTCCAGGCTGAGCCGCCGCAACCTTCAAGCACAGGTTTTAAAAAAATCATTTTTACAGTAGTTGTTCCAGTCCTAAACATAGCCAATATAAAAGATTTGATTTTACATTTTACAACCAAAAAAGATGGAAATCTCTAGAATCTAGGCAGTGGCTAAACTATCAATTTGGCCCCATCATTCCTTTTCAGGCCCATGGTCCTGAAGGGACCTCCTTCCTCCTACTCGACAGAACTCTCAGCAGCAGATGAGGGCGGCCAATGCCACGGCCTGTGATTGGAGGGTGCCAGCCTCTGGCTGCCCTGTGATTGGAGGGCGCCAGCCCCTGGCTGCTCTGTGATTGGAGGGCGTTGGCCTGTGACTGGAGGGTGCCCGCCTCTGTGCTGGCCTTTGATTGGAGGGCGCCGGCCTGTGACTGGAGGGCGCCCTGCCCTGCGCTGGCCTGTGACTGGAGGGTGCCCTCCCCTGTGCTGGACTGTGATTGGAGGGTGACTGCCTCTAGCTGCCCTGTGATTGGAGGGCGTCAGCCTGTGACTGGAGGGCGCCCTCCCCTGCGCTGGCCTGTGACTGGAGGGTGCCAGCCTCTGCACTGCCCTGTGATTGGAGGGCTCCCGCCTCTGGGCGCGCTTTTCCTCCTCTGGTGATCTGCAACCGCACAACTCGCCTCACAGCCCCCACGCTGGGAGAAGGCGATGGCCGTGCCCTCTGCTCCGGGGGCTCCGTGCTCCTGGATGGTGACTCCCCAGGCCCGGCCCACCTGCCCGCCCCGCAGCTGCAACGCTCCTGGCTCACACCCTGCCCAGCAGCTGCAGCCTGAAGGCCTCGACGACCACCTGCCTCGGGGCGTGCACGTGGCGCAGCCTCTGCCACCAACCCTCCTCAGGCGGGCGCGGTCAGCAGCGCCCACTCTGTTCTAGCAGCAGCGCAGCTTCTCCACCTCAGCACCATCTGCGAGGGACTCCGCCTTGAGGACACGGGACCACCTTCCCTGACCACCTCCTGTCCCGAGGGCAGAGAGGAGCGCAGGGCACGCCAGGCCCTGCCTTCCCCAGCGAGGCACAGACACAGGCGACCTGACGGGAGTGGGCGCTCTGAGGACCAGGGAGAGCAAACATGACGGCGCAGGGCGGGCGCCGGGGCGGCAAAGGCCTCTCCAAGGTGGGCCGTGGAGCCAAGACCTGAATAAAGAGAAGGGAGCAGTCGGGAGCCGGTCCGGGCAAAGGCAGGGGGTGGCGGTCACGCATCTCTGCGTACTCGGGCCTCGCCACTCGCCAGTCTCTGTAAATATCTGCTGAAGGAGCGCATCGATGTGACTTATCATCATGGACCGGTTTCCCGGGTCTCTAGGCACACACTGATGCGCACGTACGTATGCATATCCTAGTACCGGTATTTGCTGGTGTGTTTTCCTTGAAAACTACGGTGTACTCTATAAGCAATGCAAACTTGCAAAAATTAAAGAAAGACAAAAAACAGTAGATGCTGGCGAGGACGTGGAGAACAGGGAACACTGCACACTGTTGGGGGGAGTGTAAATTAGCATAGCCTCTATGGAAAATAGAATGGAGGTTCCTCCGAAAACTAAAAATACAACTACCGTCCAATCCAGTAGTCCCACTCCTGGGTGTGTATCCAGAGGGAAATAAATCATTCTCTTGAAGTCATACCTGCGCTCGCATGTTTACTGCAACACAGTTCACAACAGCAAAGACACGGAATCAACCTAAGTGCCCATCAACAGACAGTTGGATAAGAAGATGTGGTGCATATATACACAATGGAATACTGTCCAGCCATAAAAAAGAATGAAACTGTCCTTTGCAGCAACATGGATGCAAACAGAGGCCATCATCCTAAGCGAAACAACTCGGACACAGAAAGACAAACACCGCACATTCTCACCCGTAAGCGGGAGCTAACTCACACGTCCACACAGATGTGTGGAATGAGAGACACTGGAAACTTGGAAGGGTACAGGGTGAGGGGAGGGTAGATGCTCAGTGGGTGTGATTACATTATTCCCATAACGGCTGCACTGAAAGCCCAGACTTTGCCACCACGAAGTATGTCCATGCAACAAAACTGCTCCTGTACCCCATAAGTTTATAGCGAAAAAGTTGGATATGTTAAAAAAAATTAAAGCTTGCCATTAAATCTATAGAATATTAATTTTTTAGTGTGGTATTAACTGACACGTGCTTACAACATGGTGCTGTGCTCAGCGCCTTACAGACGTAACAGTGTTAGTCCCCAGAACACACTTGAGAAGTGTAATTATCGCTGTTGCTCCCATTTTACAGATGAGACAACTGAGAGGGGTGAGGTGACACCACATTGGCCACATCCCCAGAGCCAGCGAGGGCACGGCTGACCACACTGCAGCCCGCACTCCAAGCGTCACAGCACGGGCCCCACAGAGCAAACAACAGTGCATGTGAAGACAGCCTGAGATCATCATAGAGAAAAAGAGAATGCTTCTACTTGGAAAAAGTTAGGAAAATACATGAAAACTCTTGATAGTTTGGTTTTTAATCACCTGTAGGGGAAACTGTGAGTCTGCACAGACACCACCAGCCTGTGCCCAGGTCTGGGTCAATAAACAGATGCAAGGGCCCACTCTGCCCAGGAACAATCAACAGATGACAGAGTGTGCGGTAGCTTCAAAGCCTCAGAGCTCAGAGCTTCAGAGCTGTTGGCTCCCGGCTCCCACAGCCTACTCCTGGACTAGTACCTGCCAGGTTCTTCGGCACACAGATGCTTTGTGCTGTTGGCATTAACTGCTGGAGAGGAACACCTGATGTCACCTCCAGGTGCTGTAAACCCATCCCAGGATGGCCCACTTGTAGGTGAGGCCTCTGACATCAAAGGAGAATCTGTGACATCAAATCCAATCACAGCACAGTGAGCCAGGTTCCACCTTCAAAGTTCATGCTACACTGTCCCTGGTGCAGAACACGGAAATAGCACAGAACGCACTGCGGGCAGGACATCCTCTCTCTGATCCTCACCAGGAAGGGAGGCAGTCTCAGGCCTGGGTGGGACCAAGCTCTTGAGGCACCCATCTTGCTTTGCTCTGAGTCCATGCCCACTGCCAAGTGGCCTGTTCCCAGGGATCCTGCTGTCAAGGGGGGTGGCTGGACAGTGAGTTCGGGGACACTCACATGCCAGATTCTGATGTGCCTGGCCGGCATGGGGAAGCTCCTGGGCACAGAGCTGAGGCCCAGGCCCTGCCACTACATGAGTGCCCGTGGCCTCCCCAGGCCCGCTCCCATGCCTCCAGCTCAAGGCACTAAGTGGCCAAAATGATGGCTGAGTGTAAAGTCACTTCGCTCCAAGCAAGAACTGAGAGGAGGCACAGGGGTGACCCCGTGAGCCCACAGAAGCCATTTGGTAGCTATTTGTTGACTTACTTAAAATGAAAAAAGTTGGAAAATACACTGCTAGAAGGCCTGCATGGTTTCCTTTTTGTTTGCAGGCTGGCTTCATGCTGGGTGACTGCTACATACCTGTGGGCGCCAGTGTTCACTGCCTCTTAGATGCTTCCATTTTTATGGAATTCACATCTCCAGGTACTGGAGTCCCCATATGTATTTGCTATTAGGAGACAAAAATTATGGGAAGTAGAAATGTGTGTTAATTTATATCACACTGATTTTAAAATAAGTATTTCTCCACTGTCTCTTCAATTTCTATGACAAAGAACATGATATCACAGCTTAGAGCTATTGGCCAGTGATCATAAATAAACTCAAAAAACCCTCCATATTAGCCTTTGAATTTGACAGAAAGGAACAAAAATAATCTTTTCATCGTTTAGTACTTTTCTGTGTACCACTTGCTAAAGGCAGCACAACAGAACCAGGCTTCAGAAGTAGTTTGTAGATAAGAAATCTAAGTCACAACTGCTAACCAAAAGCGGAAGCCAGAATTAAAACACCAGAGGTATCCATGTGAAAACTAAATCTAGAGCTTAGAAAAATAGTTGTATAAACTAAGGCAAAAATGACAATGTCAAAGTATTTGTGGAAAGAAATAAAACTCTAAGTCTATAATATGTCTTCACCAAAAAACAGAAGGCTTATGTGGATTTGACAACAGACAAAATCTTAGTAACTGGAGAATAATGTGAAAAGAAAAATGTCTAAACGTTTACTGAGTAGAAAGCAGACTTAGGTTTTATAAAGTCCACCATACATGAAAATGGGTTGTACTCTCAACTCTAACTGAAATGAGGACAAAGCCACACAAGGCCCCTGCAGAGGTGTCCCACACACAAGCACTGGAGCTGCTCTAGGTATTGCTTTCCATCTGTTTGCTTGGGAGAAGTTGTAATAAACCTTTCCCCCAACAAGCGCAGACCCTCAGGCCTTGCCTCATCATCTGGGGGACTGCATCTGTGACAGTCACTTCCGGGACACATCTCCTGGCATGGGTCCTCAGGGACAGCCTCAGAATCAACTCCTCAGAGGGATCTGCAGCATCTGTAAATACACTGATTGCTATTTTTGGGATATTGGGATAGGAAATGTATATGTGTTGATCCTCAGGCATTATTATCATATAAAACAACATTTGTTTCAATATCCTTGTATATGAGCCCTTCCTCAAGCAAAATGTTAAGTTTCAGAGACCAAAATAGAATGGCGATTTGGCTGGGCGTGGTGGCTCATGTCTGTAATCCCAGCACTTCGAGAGGCCGAGGTGGGCAGATCACTTGAGCTCAGGAATTCGAGACCAGCATGGGCAACATGGTGAAATCCCATCTCTACAAAAAAAATACAAAAATTAGCTGGGTGTGGTGGTGCATGCTGATAGTACCAGCTACTCAGGAGGCTGAGGCAGAAGAATCATTTTGAGCCCGGAAGAGCAAAGTTGCAGTGAGCTGAGATCGTGCCACTGCACTCCAGCCTGGGAGACAGAGCAAGACCCTCTCTCAAAAAAAAAAAAAAAAAAAAAAAAGGAACAGAGATTCAGACAGGTTCACAATTAAAACCAGTGTGCACTATTACTTCAAAGACTGTCAGAATGCTGCAGCAGGCTGAGTTTCAGAAATACCAAAAAAGGCTGGAAAAGATGCTTAAACAAACAAAAAACCAGGCTGGACAACATTAATTTTTTTAAATAAAAAGCTGAAAATTTAGCTGGGCATGGTAGCTCACGCCTGTAACTCCAGCTAGTTGGGAGGATGAAGTGGGAGAATCGCTTAAGGCCAGGAGTTCTAGACCAGCCTGGGCAACATAATGAGATGCCATCTCAACTAAAAATTTTAAAAATTAGCTGAGCATGGTGGTGTGGTGCTTATAGTTACAGCTACTAGAGAGGCTGAGGTGGGAGGACTGCTTGAGCCCAGGAGATGGAGGTTGCAGTGAGCCAAGATCGCACTACTGCACTCCAACCTGGGTGACAGAGCAAGACCCTGTTTAAAACAACAACAACAACAACAACAAAACCAGTTTCGTTTCTTTTTTCTTTTCTTTTTTTTTTTTGAGACAAGAGTCTCGCTCTGTCGCCCAGGCTGGAGTGCAGTGGCATGATCTCGGCTCACTGCAACCTCCGCCTCCCAGGTTCAAGCCATTCTTCTGCTTCAGCCTCCCAAGTAGCTTGGATTACAGGTATCCACCATTTTTGTATTTTTAGTAGAGACGGGGGTTTCACCATGTTGGTCAGGCTGGTCTTGAACTCCTGACTTCAAGCAATCCACCTGCCCTGGCCTCCCAAAGTGCTGGGATTACAGGTGTGAGCCACCGCACCCAGCCCACTTTTCTTTCTTTACCTCATTTAAGATGTTAAAGGAAATTTGTTTTTTTGAGCCAATATGTTAACTCATCATGGAGATACGAGGCTGAGTCAGGCAGACGGCCAGGTTCATCCTCTTACTGAACAAGGGCAGGCCCTGCCCCACGACTGCTCTCCAGGGGCATCGGCACAGGGGTTTCAGCCCGGCATGGGGCGCTGCACACAGGGGTTTCAGCCTGGCGCAGGGCGCTGCACATGTGGCCTCGTGTAAAAGCTCAGTTTTTGGTTTCCACTCCCTACTGCTGGCCTCTCCTCAGCAGTCGTCCAGTTGTTTATCCTCTCCTGCTCTTCATACGGTGAACAACTGGAGGACTGCTAAGCCTCAGTCTGGGGCCAAGCTGAGCACATGACAGAGAGTGCCTCTGTCCAGAGTGTCCCCGGAGGGCACCCTCCCATGAGACGCACGGCACCCAGCCCACCTGCATCTGCATCTCCCTAACTGGCCTGCACGGCTTGGTTGAGAAGTAAATGCATGCAGAGGTCCGCCTCCATTGTATTCTTGCCAGAAATGTTCAGCCTAAGTCAGCAGTGAGAAACGGAACACCCAGGCTGTGATGGCCTCTGCAGAGCAACTGGCCTTCAAAACATCAGCGTCGGGAGAGAAAGAAAAGCAGACCCAGGCAGGAACATGCCTCGAGAGGTGTGGATGCCCGCGAGCGTGACCGGAGGGCTGTGGTCATGTGGGACATGCTCTTGTTGGGAGATACACAACAAAGGATCCAGGGGTAAACAAAAACAATCACGACTGTGACAACTTTAAAATGTGTGGAGATAGACAGACAGGTAGAACACATACATGCGGCAAACTATTAACAACTGGTGAGTTTACCACTCACTGTACTGCTCTTTCAACATTTTCAATAATTCAAATTTTTCACAATAAGAAATTGGAAAAAAGAGCCAGGCGTGGTGGCTCACACCTGTAATCCCAGCACTTTGGGAGGCTGAGGCGGGTGGATCACTTGAGGTCAGGTGTTCGAGACTAGCCTGGCCAACATGGTAAAACCCCCTCTCTGCTAAAAATATAAAAATTAGCCAGGCACGGTGGCACATACCTATAATCTCAGCTACTCAGGAGGCTGAGACATGAGAATTGCTTGAACCCAGGAGGTGGAGATTGCAGTGAGCCGAGATCACACCACTACGCTACAGCATGGGTGAGAGAGGGAGACTCTGTCTCAAAAGAATATATAAATAAAGAAATTGGAGAAAAGAAAATTGACACTGCCCACAGCCAGTTTGTTTGGAGAATCACACTGAACTCAACCTGTGTTCTCAACATTAAGAACATGACATGAGAAGAGTAGGGTAGAGCAGCCCTGTGTTCTGTCTGGGTCCTTACGCTTGCTGGGGCCAGGCCAGAGGCGCCAGCCCTGCCGGCCACAGGTACAGCACACTGGGCCACCCCACAGCCTGCATCCTGCTCCCAGGAGCCCATGCATCCCTCCACACTCTTCCTGTGGGATTCTGCATATGTCACCAATGCCATTTGCTACTCTGAGTTAAAGTTGTTTTTTCAAATGCTGTCTCCCTCACTAGTCAATTTTGAACCATCAACAGTGCCAGCTGATTAACAGATTAAAACTCTAAATGTCCTTTTTTTTTTTTTTCTGAGATGGAGTCTCGCTCTTGTTGCCCAGGCTGGAGTGCAGTGGCGCAATCTCGGCTCACTGCAACCTCCGCCTCCTGGGTTCAAGTGAGTCTCCTGCCTCAGCCTCCCAAGTAGCTGGGATTACAGGTGCCCGCCACCAAGCCCGGCTAATCTTTGCATTTTTAGTAGAGATGGGGTTTCACCATGTTGGCCAGGCTGATCTCAAACTCCTGACATCAGGTGATCTGCCTGCCTCGGCCTCCCAAAGTGCTGAGATTACAGGTGTGAGCCACCGTGCCCGGCCAACTCTGAATGTCTTTAGCCATATGTACATGCATAGTCAGTAATATTTTTCTATTACATTATAAAGCATACAGCACACCTATTAGGGTGGCCACTATTAAAAAAATGTACAAGCGTTGACAAGGATGTGGAGAAAGAAAACCCTCGTTCTTGCTGGTGGGATGGAAAATGGTGCAGCTACTATGAAAATGGCATGGACTTTCCTAAACAGTTAAACACAGAGTTAGTGCGTGACCCAGCACTTCCACTCTGGGTATATGCCCAAGAGAACTGAAAGCAGGACCTTGAAGAGATATCTGTACGCCCGTCTTCAGGGCAGCACTGTTCACAGCAGCTGAAATGTGGAAGCAACCCAAGTGTCCACCAAGAGATGGATCAACACATGCAGTCCACCCATCCCGTGGCGTGTGACTCAGCCTTCAAAAGGAAGGAAATTCTGTTACAGGCTACAATGTGGATGCACTCCGAAGACATGATGCTGAGTACAACAACAGACAGAAAAGGACAAATACTGTATGATTCCACTTACTTAGGTCGCTGGAGAAGTGCATTCCAATCCGCAGAGACAGACAGTACAGTGGTGGGTGCCAGGGGCTGGGGGAGGGGGAATGGGGAGTTAGCATTTCATAGGGGCAGAGTTTCAGTCTGAGAAGATGAAAATGTTCTGGAGATGGATGCTGGTGATGGCCACACAGCAATGTGAATGTGCTTCATGCCACGGAACTGTACACTTAAAAATGGGTAAAATGGGAACTCTTATGTATATTTTAACCTAATTTTTAAAACATGTTTTTAAGTATATAGAAATGTTGACTGGGCGCAGTGGCTCACACCTATAATCCCAGCACTTTGGGAGGCTGAGGTGGGGGATCACCTGAGGTCAGGAGTTCGAGACCAGCCTGGGCAACATGGTGAAACCCCATCTCTACTAAATACAAAAAAATTAGCCGGGTATGGTGGCACGTGCCTGTAATCCCTGCTACTCGGGAGGCTGATGCAGGAGAACTGCTTGAACCCAGGAGGTGGAGGTTGCGGTGAGCTGAGATTGTGCCACTGCACTCCAGCCTGGGCAACAGAGCAGGATTCCATCAAAAGGAAAGAAAGATAGGAAGGAAGAAGGGAAGAGAGGAGAGGAGAGGGGAGGGGAGGGGCGGGGAGGGGAGAGGAGAGGAGAGGAGAGATAACTGAGTTGCAGTTTCCAGGAACTTCCTTGTATTCTGAAATCTGAAATCATTGTTTTTTGCTACTCATCCCCTAGAATATGTTTAAAGAACAAAATCAACTCCCTATAGCAAGAAAACAATTTAGAAAATCTGTTTGTTTAAAAGCAGACAAAGGGGGAAAAAAAAGAGAAACATCCAAAGAGGCCACAATCGTACAGAAGCAATGAAAACTGCAAATATATCAGAAAAGCAAATGCAAATGAAAAACATTCCAGCAGAAAAGTTAACAGAACTAATGATCAGAGACAAACACTTTTTAATTTCAGTAACAGTAGGGAAAAATAACAGCATCCATGCATTAAAACTAAGAGCCTTCACAAAGACGTTTCAAGATGTATTTTGAACAAAAGAGGACAGGCTCTTGGGACCCCTCTGGGTCCTGCCTCAGCACATCGAGTCCTCAAATCCGAGTGAGGAAAGTCTGGGGAGCTGCACTGTGGAGCCATCAGAAAGTACCTGGAGCGGCTGCTGCTGGGCTGGAAAAGCCGCAGAAGTCCTCGGCGGTAGCTGGGTTGCTATGGCAACAGGAGTCCCAGGCTGCCCGTGCTTTCTGGCCACAACCTTTACCTGAGAGGGAATATTCAAAGGGAAGGGAGGAAGAAGGGAAAATAATGTTTAAGCTTTGCAAAGTTGATCACCGCCTGCACATCCCATGCAGCTGGCGGCCTCAGCCACTAACAGAGGGGCACGGGGACACTTGGCTCGCTGATGCAATTTCAGGCCTCACAGGGCTGGAAAGAACAAATCTGGCCCTAGGCACTGAAGCTTTGTTTGAAGTCCAGTTGAAACCTCGATCTGTGGCCGGCAGGTAGCCATGGTCAGGCTACACAGGCCATGTCCACACAGCTTCGTGCAGGAGCCCAGGGGCAGTGTCAGAGGGTGGCCAACCCCTCACGGCAGGGGCTGCAGATGCCTGAGGAGGCCATGGTGGGGCATGGCATGGGGAAGAATGACAAAAAACACTCCCATTGAAAATGTGTCATTTCTTAAAAACACACTCTGATAAAACAGAAAGACAAATTAATCTGCATCTCCATAATGACAGCTTCTTAGAGTAAGCAAACCAAAGAAGCTTTCCAGATACATTAACTGCTTCAAGTCCAGGGTATTCAAATGGGAATACCCTGGAAATTAAATGAACTCAAAGTCAAATGGCACTTTACAGCTTGAAATCATAGAGAGAAATACAAGAAAATAGAAACCGGTTCTTACTTCTGGCTGACAGGTCTAAAAAAGAAAAAGGAAAAGAAAAAGAAACTGGTTCTTCTGGCTAAATATGTCCAGAAGGCTAAATATAAACAAGCACATATCATCATAAATAATCAAAACCAAACCTTAATATTTGTCAGTACCCTGGAATAAATTAACTTTAAAAATAATGAATCAGATAGACAGTAAATCTTATGTTTTGTATATGTTACCACAATTAAATGTTTTCTTTTTTTTTTTTTTTTTTTGAGACGGAGTCTCGCTCTGTCGCCCAGGCTGAAGTGCGGTGGCGCGACCTCGGCTCACTGCAAACTCCGCCTCCCGGGTTCCTGCCATTCTCCTGCCTCAGCCTCCCGAGTAGCCGGGACTACAGGTGCCCGCCACCACGCCCGGCTAATTTTTTGTATTTTCAGTAGAGACGGGGTTTCACCATGTTAGCCAAGACGGTCTCGATCTCCTGACCTCATGATCCACCTGCCTCGGCCTCCCAAAGTGCTGGGATTACAGGCGTGAGCCACCGCGCCCGGCCCACAATTAAATGTTTTAAAGAAATCACATAGCGGCTGGGCATGGTGGCTCACGCCTGTAATCTCAACGCTTTGGGAGGCCGAGGCAGGTGGATCACGAGGTCAGCACCAATTCCCCAAGTAAAAAAGCCATAGGCAAATGTAGCTAATTAGTTTAAATAATTTGGATGAATTCTATAGTTACTAGCCCCCAAATATTTTGTAGCTCTAATGAAGTTTGGTAACAGGGATCATGTTACAGAGTCAACACAACGAGCAGCTGGAAGATGAGCAATATTACACAGAGGAAAATATTCACGAAAAACCCAAATGTTAGTCAACTTCCGGTATTTTCCTATAAAATGATGATAAAACATAGATTCCGAAGACGCTAGTCAGGTTCTATAAAAACTTATTTCTATCATTTAGAAGTAAACTTTAATACAACGATGAACTTACTCTTCATGTGACTATGGAAGCTGTTACACTGCTTATCTGCAGTATTTCTTAACTGAATGCCATAATGACCTTTCTAAGGAGACCTTCAGCTGATCCCACAAGACCTGAAGGCTGCGGCACCTCCGCTGTGGCGTGCTTCAAGACGCTTCCATGAAGATAGTCTCCTCAACCTATGAATACCTTACGGGCAAGTTTCCTAGTTTCCACACATAGTAAATGTTTAAAATAATTGCTTTCTAATTTTATTTCATTATAGGGAGAGGACAGTTCATATGAAATTAATTTTATAAATTTTATTGAGGATCCCCTTGGGGGTCAATTTACAAATAGTCTCCATGTATACTCTAAAAAAATTATTCTTTGTTGAAAGTTTTTACACACACATACATATACATGTGTGTTATACACTTAAACAGGCTAATTTGTGTTAATTTGAATAGTTCATGTTCTACACTTATAATTATTTATTGTCTTCTAAGAAAAAAGCTAGTAACTCCTCATATAATTGTGGATTTAAAAACTGCTCCCTAGGAGGCCAAGGTGGATAGATCACAAGGTCAGGATTTCGAGACCAGCCTGGCCAACATAGTGAAACCCCGTCTCTACTAAAGATACAAAAAATTAGCTGGGCGTGGTGGCGGGTGCCTGTAATCCCAGCTACTTGGGAGGCTGAAGCAGAAGAATTGCTTGAACCAGGGAGGTGGAGGTTGCAGTGAGCCGAGATCATGCCACTGCACTCCAGCCTGGGCAACAGTGCGAGACTCCGTCTCAAAAGCAAAAAACAAAACAAAACAAAACAAAAAAAACCTGCTCCCTTGAAATTCTCTAAATAGGCTACACATAGTGGCTCATGCCTGTCATCCCAGCACTTTGGGAGGCTGAGGCGGGCTGATCACTTGAGGCCAGGAGTTCAAGACCAGCCTGGCCAACATGGTGAAACCCTGTCTCTACTAAAAATACAAAAACATTAGCCGGGCGTGGTGGCACATGCCTGTAATCCTAGCTACTCGGGAGGCTGAGGCACGAGAATTGCTTGAATCCGGGAGGCGTAGGTTGCAGTGAGTGAGCTGAGATCGCACCACTGCACTCCAGCCTAGGCGACAGAGCAAGACTTTGTCACAAAAAAAAAAGAAAGAAAGAAAGAAAGAAAATGAAATTCTATAAATTTTTGCTCTGTATATTCTAAGTTAGAGCTGTAACTTGTTCAGAAACTCTTGACATTGAGATGTGTGTTCAGGAACTTGGAATCTTGGCTTTGAGACCAGCCAGCCCTGACTGCAGGCAGCTGGCAAGGGTGGACTCTGGGGTTCTCATCTTGCACGGCACAACCGTTTAGGAGCAGGCAAATGTGGTGGCATTCCAAGAAAGGTGCCAGGACGCTGCCGCCGTGAGCACCTGCCACAGAGGTGCCTGACTGAACACCACTGGAGTTTCCATGCTGCTGGGGGTTCAGCCATGTGCTGGGATCCCTGGAACCACCCTCTGTAAATGTGGGGAGACTCTGAGGGACTTTAAACCACTATTCACAGCCACAGTGTGTCTTTAAAGTGAAGTGCCTAGAACGCATGCTCTGAGATGGTAAGCTCTGCGTTGCACCTGCACGCAGCATAAGCCCTGAGCTCTGCCTCCCATGACAAGCACCAAAACAAAGAACTGTTACCTCATCATTAATGACTTCAAAGTGCTCCTCTTCCTCTTCTTCAATGTCCAAATCATTCTGCCTAAGATATGCTTGTAATGGTCCATACAGTCTCTCCTTGAAAGCTAAGAAATCCATCATGTTCCCTTGAAAGTGTTGCAAGAAAAACAGTTCAATCAAATACTCCTTGAAGACCTCCTTCAGAGCCTGCATCTCCTGGTGATGATAGTCCAGGCACTGCTTCCTCATCTGTGCCATCTCCGGAGAGGCTGGGGGAATCTCCTCTAACTTCTTGGGAACCTTCTTCATTCCCGTGTTCCCCACAGACGTGAGTGGGAGGCTGGAAAGGCCTGGGGGCACGGCAGTCCTGGAAGGGCTGGTGGGCGGGGGTGGGGACGTCATCCCAAACCCCGCTGCGCCCCCAGCCCCGGGGAGCAGCACGCCGGGCGTCCTCTCGAAGCCCAGGGGCCGGGGCAGCGGCGGCCCCTGCAGCACCTGCTGCTGCTGAACCAGCTGGCCCTGGATGATGCTGCTGATCTGCGGTGGCAAGTTAGCCGTGGTGATGTGGCTTGGGCTGGCCAGGGGCTGCAGGCCGGCCCCACCCGCGGCTGCAGGGCTCTGGGGTCCCAGGTGGTGGATGGTGCCCCCTGACTGTGTGTGGGGCTGGGAGGGTCTCCGCTCTCGGACTGTGATGGGCGTACCCGGGTGCTGGAGCTGAACCTGGGCTCCCTGGGCGATCTGGGTGAGCCCTGACCCATCCTGAAACACAAAGTGTCCACCACTGGAGGGGCTCAAGCTGATCTGCCTCACCAGCACGCTGGCATCCACGAAGTCCCCTGTAGGGCTGCTGCTGCAGAGGCCCAGCCCAGGGCCAGGGGCACCTGCACGCACATTCTGCAAGGCCTGCCCCGGCCCCGGACTGGGCTGCGTGGGACTCTGGGTCTGGACCTGCTGGGACAAGGGGGACGTGACCTGAATGTATGATGGAGACCCATGCTCAAACCGCCGAGGCTGAGCGCTGAACTGGAAGCCTGGAGAGGTGGGGCTGGGGAGCGGCAGTGGGGCCAGCGTGACCTGTGGGCTTCCCTGGAGCCCAGGGCCCACGCCCTGCAGGTCAACATTCATGTTCTGCCCACCCGCAGGGCCCCCTCTCACCATCAGCTGCTGTAGTTGGTGGCTGGGGGATGGCAGTGTGAGGGGCAGGGACGGCTGGGAGCACGCTGGCTGCTCCTCGCCCGCGCCGGGGCAGGCCCCAGGCCACTGGACATGGCGCTGGCTGCTCTGGGAGCTGCTGACGTGCTGCATGACTACGTCTTCAGGAAATGCTCCCTAAACAAATGCAGAAAAGTTAGAGTTGAGTGAGGTGAGCTCCATGCCCGGGCGCCTTTCGGAGCCTGCACAGGTGTCTGGAAAGGTGGCTCAGGAGGGGCCAATGCGGGCCCAGCAAACCCCAGGCACGAGACTGCTACCCAGGGCAAAAAAGGCTCAGATCAGAATATCTGCTCAGCAAGAGATGCTCGGAAGCTTCCCTGCCTCACACTTTTCTCGAACTGAAGTATTCATACCTGCCTAATCCAAGTCTACCGCAAGGGGCTGAAAGTGCTAGCGATGAAGAGCATGGGAGGGGGAGAAGGGAGAGAAGTACAGCACAGCAGGGCATCCCCAGCGGGTGGCAGACGGTGGCTCAGGGTCACAAAGGTTCTCTACGCCCCTTACGTGATCTCATTTAGTTTTCACAGTCATGCCATGGGGTCACTCCTATTGATAGCCCATTTACACAGAGAGACACTGAGGCAGCGAGAAATGAGCTCCCTGGGCTGTAAGGTCCAGCTCTACAGGGCTTAGCGGGTGTTCTCCCCGTGTGCGGAGACGAGAGATTGTAAGAAATAAAGACACAAGACAAAAAAATAAAGAGAAAGCAGCTGTGCCCGGGGGACCACTACCATCAACACGCGGAGACCGGTAGTGGCCCCGAACGGCTGGGTGCGCTGATATTTATTGCATACAGGACGAGGGGGCAGGGTAAGGAGGGTGAATCTTCTAAGTGATTGACAAGGTGAAGCAAGTCACGTGATCACACGACAGGGGGCCCTTCCCTTTTAGGTAGCTGAAGCAGAGAGGGAAGGCAGCAAATGTCAGCGTTTTCTTCTATGCACTTATAAGAAAGATCAAAGACTTTAAGACTTCCACTATTTCTTCTTCTGCTATCTACTAAGAACTCCAAAGAGGAACCAGGAGTGCAGGAGGAGCATGAAAGTGGACAAGGAGTGTGACCATTGAAGCACCACAGGGAGGGGTTTAGGCCTCCGGATGACTGCGGGCAGGCCTGGAGAATATCCAGCCTCCCACAGGAAGCTGGTGGAGCAGAGTGTTCCCTGACTCCTCCAAGGAAAGGAGACTCCCTTCCACAGTCTGCTAAGTAACAGGTGCCTTCCCAGACACTGGCGTTACCGCTTGACCAAGGAGCCCTCAAGCGGCCCTTATGCGGGCATGACAGAGGGCTCACCTCTTGCCTTCTAGGTCACTTCTCACAATGTCGCTTCAGCACCTGACCCTATACCCGCAGGTTATTCCTAGGTTATATTAGTAATGCAACAGAGTAATATTAAAAGTTAATGATTAATAATGTTTATACTAATGATTGATAATTGTCCATGATCAGCTCTGTATCTGATTCGTATTATGACTATTCTTATTCTAACTATTTTCTTTATTATACTGAAACAGTTTGTGCCTTCAGTCTGTTGCCTCGGCACCTAGGTAATCCTTTGCCCACATCGGGCCAAGCTACGAAGTGGTGGAGCCATGGTCCAGCTCCAGGCACACGGGCTCCGAGGCCCATGGGCCTCACTATAGGCCAACACCGTGGACAGGTCCTGAGCCTGCCCCTGAATCTGGGACTTGGACACTATCAACCCCAGTGCTAAAACATCAGTTCCACGGATGTGATCCTGCATGAAGACTGAACACTTGATGGACGGTTTTCATCATTTAATCTGTCCTGAAGGACTCAGTGCATACTGCCTGGTAGAAAAAGGCAAAGGGAATCTGTTCAGAAGTAGTCATTCCAGAGACAGGCTGGAAACACGGGCACAGAGTGCACCTGAGGCACTCCAGGTGTGGCCTGACCCCGGCTGGGAGGAGAGTCCAGCTCCCACCTTCCTACCATGACAGTAGACCCCAACTGCCACGTGTTTTTTAATGAAGGACATGTATTACAGACAAATGCATTTTATGGACAGCTTAGACCTGATGTCTTTTCCATCATCACCTTCATAGAAATTCAAGGGAAACATTCAAAAAGCTGCAAAGATACCACCCACTACAGAAGCCGCCTCTCCTAACGCCTGATGCTCAGGGACACAGTAGACAGTGCTTACGTGAAAACGGTGCAAGCTCACATCCAGCACGAGGTGTGGCGAGCCAGGCAGGCACGAAGCGACGCTTGCCAGCAAAACCACTATAAAGAGTGCTTGATAAACACACTCTTTATGTTTGATTTTAAATGGAAAAATTCAAGATCCAAAATTATGTAATTTTAAAGATGTAATAAAAAGACTCAAAATGTGTCCACAGGTGGTGGTCTCTGGGTTAGGTGGATTATAATGATTTTTTCCCTTTTTATACTTTTTTATGCTTTCTAGATGTTCTCTAATTACTATGTGGCATTTTTATATCCACACGGAAAAAAAGGCATCTTTTTAAAAAGTGGTTTTCCTGGCTGGGCGCAGTGGCTCACACCTGTAATCCCAGCACTTTGGGAGGCCGAGGCAGGCGGATCATGAGGTCAAGAGATCAAGACCATCTGGCCAACATGGTGATGTTGGCCCGTCTCTACTAAAAATACAAAAAGTAGCTGGCATGGTGGCAGGTACCTGGAGTCCCAGCTACTCGGGTGGCTGAGGCAGGAGAATCACTTGAACCTGGGAGGTGGAGCTTGCAGTGAGCCGAGATCGTGCCACTGCACTCCAGCCTGGCGACAGAGCGAGACTCTGTCTCAAAAAAAAAAAAAAAAAAAGTGCTTTTGCTTACTAGTAAACTCTTCTTCCAGGTGTGCAAAGTTTGCACATGAGGGACTGTAATCTAGTAAAATAATAATTAGAAGGTGCATAGAAGATACAAGGCAAAAAACTATTTGTACATTATTTCTAACTCAGAACACCTTTTCCTACGGAAATGCAATGACTACAGTCTCTTTCTAAGATCAGATAGATCAGTGGCTCTGTACTTCGGAAGACTGTGCCCGCAGGGGACATCAGGCAATGTCTGGAGGCATTTTTGGTTGTCACAACTGATAAGGGTGGGAGAACTGCTGGCATTTGGTGGGTAGAGGCCTGGAGGTCTCTAACCATCCTACAACACACAGCACGGCCCCACCAGGAGGAATCTTCTGGCCCCAAATGTGAACCAGCTGAGGCTGAGAACCCAAGACTGAGGAGGTGGCCCTGTGGGGCTGACCCGCCACACCATCTGCACCGTGTGTCCAGGGCTGAGTGAGAGCATCTCCTTGCAGTCAGGCCACCCAAGCACACAAGGAGGCAGCCTGGCCCTCAGTGGCAGCCAGACTGACCCCGGCTCTTCAACTTATTGACCGGGAAGGGGCCACTGACACTCCTGAGAATCTGGTGAAAGCTGTGGACTGTTCTTACCAAACACACCTCACAGCCACAAGCTTTACATGTTTACACATAAGGGACTCTAAGAACCAGACCCTCAGTTGCCAGTAAGGGAATGAGGCCAAGGGAGCTAGTGTCTCCTCATGGGGCAGAAGGGCAGCTGGAGTCCCCCTGAGAAAGCCCAGCCTGGGCGGGCCGGCCGGCAGGACCAATGGTGGGCAAGAGTCCTAAGTGGACCACAGAAGGTCTGGGGTTAGCAGGCAGTGCCTGGGCTCTGGGGAGGCCAGATGAGGGGAACAGCGAGTCGGAGTGCACAGGAGCCTGTGCTTGTACCTGGGAGGAGGGGCCGGTCCTCTTCCATGACTGCTCCCCGTGACAGGACTCCCACCACAGCAACGCTCAGAAAGAGGACAGTGCACACGTCCCCTTCCCACAGCCCTAGTCAGAGCCTCCCGCCAGCCCTGATCACAACACAAAGGGCTGGCGGTGTCTCCGTGCCTGTGTGCCCTAGGCACACACACTGTCGTCTCCAGACACCGCTTTGGCCGCTGGTAGAGTCTGCATGAGGGCAGTCAACACACGGCCAAACTGGAACTCTCTGCCCCACCACAGGTTTCTGCAGTCTCCATGCAGCAGACATCCCTGGGAGCCCCCAGGCTGCTGGGCAGGGCTTCCTCCTCAGTTCAGATTCTCCTCCACAGACGGTGCTTTTCCTGAGGTGGAGTGCAGCAGAGGACCCTTCCTGTCACCCTACACTGACGCAGGCCTGGAACTAGAAAACGGGCTCAGAATACTCCGGGGGCACAACAGAGCTGCAGCAGGGAGAAGGAAGAGGAGCCCTCCCCGGGCCATGCAGGCAGGCCAGCAACAATCAGAACGCGTGCTGGAGGAGGCGAAGGCCAACCAGCAGTTCATCCGTATTCGTCGTATTAGAGTGAACTTAGTGTATTAGAGTGAATCCCAGCACTTTGGGAGGCTGAAGCAGGCGGATCACTTGAGGTCGGGAGTTTGAGACCAGCCTGGCCAACATGGCGAAACCCCATCTCTACTAAAAATACAAAAATTAGCCAGGCGTGGTGGCACACGCCTGTAATCCCAGCTACTTGGGAGGCTGAGGCAGGAGAATTGCTTGAACCCCTGGGAGGCGGAGGTTGTAGTGAACTGAGATCAGGCCACTGCACTCCAGCCTGAGTGACAGAGTGAGACTCTAGTCTAAAAAAAAAAAAAAAAGAAAGAAAAAAGACAAAGATTTTTCCAAATGTACAAAACTGAAAGAATTCACCACCAGCAGATGTGCAGTACAAGAAATGAAGGACATACTTTAGGAATAAGGAAAACAGATCCAAGGTGAAAATCTGGTTCTATATAGTAAACTTGGGAAGAAGAAAACTTCCTCGACCTGATAAAGAATCTCAGTGGCTACAACAGCTAATATGATACTCGATGGTAAAAGCCTGAAAGCTTTCCCTCTTAAGACAGAAACAAGGAAGGGATGTAATACAGTTTGGATCTGTGTCCCCACCAAACCTCATGTCGAATTGTGATCCCCAGTGTTGGAGGAAGGGCCAGATGGGAGGTGACTGGATCATGGGGGCAGTTTCTCATAGTGTTACACCATCCCCCTTGGTCGCAACAGTGAATTCTCATGAGATCTGGTCATTTTAAAAGTGTGTATCACCAGCCAGGCGTGGTGGCTCACGCCTGTAATCCCAGCAGTTTGGGAGGCCGAGGCAAGTGGATCACTTGAGGTCAGGAGTTCGAGACCAGCCTGGCCAACTTGGCAAAACCCCGTCTCTACTAAAAATACAAAATTAGCCAGGCGTGGTGGCGCACGCCTGTAATCCTAGCTACTCAGGAGGTTGAGACAGGAGAATCGCTTGAACCTGGGAGGCGGAGGTTGTAGTGAGCCAATATCACACCACTGCACTCCAGCCTGGGTGATGGAGTGAGACTCTGTCTAAAACAAAAAAAGTGTGCATCACCTCCCCTTCTCTCTCTTACTCCTGCTCTGGCCATATCGTGTTCACTCCCCCTTTGCCTTCTGCCAAGATTGTAAGTTCCTGAGGCCTCCCCAGAAGCCGAGCAGATGCCAGCATCATGCTTTCTGTACAGCCTGCAGAACCGTGAGCCAATTAAAACTGTTTTCTTTATAAATTACCCAGTCTCAGGTATTTCTTTATAGCGGTGTGAGAACGAACTGATACAGGACATCCTCTCTCAGTACTTGGACTCAACATGGAGATTGTAGCAGCACAGTCAGTCAAGAAAAAGAAATAAAACACAGACAGACTGTAAGGGAAAAAGATTAAAGCCCTTCATTCTCAGGCAAAATAATCATCTCTGAGAAAATCCTGCCAGGCACAATGGCTCACGCCTGCAATCCCAGCACTTTGGGAGGCCAAGGCAGAAGGATCACTTGAACCAAGGAATTCAAGACCAGCCTGGGAAACATAGTAAGACCCCATCTCCACAGAAAAAAAAAAATTAGCTGGGGGTGGTGGTATACACCTGTAGTCCCAGCTACTTGGGAGACTATAGTGGGAGGATCACTTGAGCCCAGGAGATAGAGGTTGCAGCGAGCTATAATTGTGCCACTGTACTTTAGCCTGGGAGACAGAGTAAGACCCTGTCTCAAAAAAAAATTATTTCAAAAAATATAAAATACTCAAGAATAAATCTGATAGATGTGCAAGACCTGTACA
Source organism: Homo sapiens (assembly GCF_000001405.40). Classification (NCBI taxonomy): domain Eukaryota; kingdom Metazoa; phylum Chordata; class Mammalia; order Primates; family Hominidae; genus Homo; species Homo sapiens. Next base: position 132,098,007 of record NC_000012.12, on the reverse strand, counting down.
TCAAAACCACAAAACACTGCAGAGAGAAAATTTTAAAGACATTAATAGTGCTCATGAATCAGAAGACTCAGTATTGTTAATATGTCAGTTCTCCCAAAATTGATCTAAAAATTGAATGTAATGTCAATCAAAACCCCAAGAGGCTTTTAACAGAAATTGAGAAGCAGATTTTAAAGTTCATAAGGAAATGCAAAGAACCTAGAAGAGCCAAAATTATGAAAAAGACAAAAAGATTTAGATTTCCTGACTTTAACGTGTATTATAAAGCCACAGCAATTAAGACAGCGTGGAAATGGAACAATCTTACAGAATGCCAGAAATAGATTCACATATACATGGTTAATAAATTTTCAACAGAGGCGAAGATCATAAAGTGGAGAAAGGATAATGTGTTCAAAAATGATGCTGAAACAGCTGGACATCCATATGCAAAAAAATGAACTCTCATCCATTATTTGTACAACAGACCAAAAAAATTTCAAAATGGATTGTAGACCTAAATGTGAAATCTAAAACCAGAAACTTCCTAGAAGGAAATATAGAAAAAACATCTTTGTGTGTGATCTTTGTAATTCTGGGTTAGGCAAAGACTTTTCAGATACAATAGCATGATTCATACAAGAAGAAACTGGTAAATTAGGCTTCATGAAAATTAAAACTTCTGCTCCTGAAAAGACACTGTTAAGATAACCACAGACTAGAAAATATTTTCAAATCACATATCTGATACAGAACTTCTATCTAGAATTCTCCAACTCAGGTTTTTTTTTTTTTATTTCACCAGGCAAAAGATGTCAACAAACACTGTCAAAGAAAAATGGATAGAAAATAAGCACATGAAAAGATGCTCAACTTCATTAGTGATTAGGGGAATGCAATTAAAACCACAGTGAGATGCTCCTACAGGCCTTCCTAAGATGGCTAAAGACCGATCATACCAAGTGCTGGCTGCTAAGGATGTGGAGAAACTGGAACCTATTCATATACTACTAGGGGGAATATAAAATGGTCCACACACTTTGGGAAACAGTTTGGCAATTTCTTAAAAAGGTAAACACCTGCCATACAATCCAGCCGTTCCACTCCTAGGTACTTACCTAGGAAAAGAGCCAGCATGTGTCCACACAAAGTCTTGTAAGTGCGTGTTCCTCCTAGGCTTATATGTGAGAGTCAAAAACTGGAAACAACCCGAATGTCCACTGACAGGTGAATGGATAAAAAAATTACGATCTATCCCTACACGGAATATATTTGGAATATCATTCAGCAATAAAAAGGAATGAACTGGTGATACATGCAAAAAGACGAATGAATCTTTAAAAAAAAGTTAAGTGAAAGAAGCCAGACACAAAAGAGGACACTGCTCCTAATTCCATTATAAGGAATTCTAGAAAAGGCAAATTACGTGACAGCAGATCAGCGCTTGCCTGGGGCTGGGCCTGAGGCGGGAAAGATGGCAAAGGGATGCAAGGGCCCCCTAGAGTGAGGAAAACACCCTAAAAGGCTGCTCTGCAACCACGTGGTGAATACTTACTAGGATTCAATGAAGAGTACACTTAAAGTGAGTGAATTTTATGGTAGGTAACTTATACCTAAATAAAGCTATTTTTAAAGTATAGTGGATAAATATGCATTTATATTTTTAATTGACTATTTTATCTATCTTTTTTCTATTTTTTTTTTAAAGGCTGGTGCCTGGACTGTTAGAAATGCAAAATGCTTGTTCCCCAGTGCCACAGAGAAATAGCACTCGAGCATCCATTTAATGTTCTCAGCAAGGCAGTTTTGACTTTTTGCATAAAGGGTGACCCTCGCAGGTGGAGCCATGGCAAGAGCATACCTGGACACGGGAGGGACAGGAGGTCTTATCCCTGAGGCAGGTAGTCCCTACTGCTGTGTCGTTCCCTTATTGGCTAGGGTTGGACCACACAGTCTAAGCTAATTCCGACTGGCTATTTTAAAAAGAGCAGGAGTACGAGCCAGAGTGGCGGGGTGAGCAGTTTGGTGGGAAGGACGGTTAGGAAGAGGTAACTAAAGGTGACTCCGGTCAAAGCAGGTGACCGAGATGAGTCAGGATGGAGCAGGTGACCAGGGGAACAGATGTGAACTAGTGATTAGGACTGGCGGGAAAGTTGTTTACTGAAACTAGAGGCAAGGGGGTGAAGAGAACCAGGAAGTTAAACTTTAAAATGGAGAATCAAAGAACAGGAAGCTGAACAGACTGACATACTGATTCTTTGAAGAGAAACTTGGGGTTCACTCTATTTAACAGAACTCTTTATTTCTAGGAATCAAGTGTGCTCAGAAAATCAAAGATGCAATGGAGAGTCTGAAAACTATGATTCTGTCTCACTGTTAGAACAGGATTGGTAGGGAGGATGAGGCTAACAGAATATAAACCAATTGAAATATAAAAAGAGATTTTTCCTGAAGAGAAAGGCTGAATAAAATTTTTTAAAAGATAGGTTGGATAGAAAAAGAAAAACAAAGCCAGGCGAGGTGGCTCATGCCTGTAATCCCAGCACTCTGGGAGGCCGAGGTGGGCGGATCACCTGAGGTCGGAAGTTCAAGACCAGCCTGACCAACACGGAGAAACCCCGTTTCTACTAAAAATACAAAACATTAGCCGGGCGTGGTGGCGCATGCCTGTAATCCCAGCTACTCAGGAGGCTGAGGCAGAAGAATCACTTGAACCTGGGAGGTGGAGGTTGCAGTAAGCCAAGATTGCACCACTGCACTCCAGCCTGGGCAACAAGAACAAAACTCCATCTCAAAAAAAAAAAAAAAAGAAAAGAAAAAAGAAAAAGATGTTTCCTGAAGAGAAAGGCTGAATAAAATTTTTTAAAAGATAAGTTGGATAGAAAAAGAAAAAAACAAGGCTGGGCACGGTGGCTCACACCTGTAATCCCAGCACTTTGGGAGGCTGAGATGGATGGATCACTTGAGGTCAGGAGTTCGAGACCAGCCTGGCCAACATGGTGAAACCCAGTCTCTACTAAAAGTACAAAAATTAGCTGGGCGTGGTAGCATATGCCTGTAATCCCAGCTACTCTGGAGGCTGAGGCAGGAGAATTCGCTTGAACCTGGGAGGCGGAGGTTGCAGTGAGCTGAGATAGCGCCAATGCACTCCAGCCTGGGCGACAGAGCAAGACTCCATCAAAAGAAAGAAGAGAAGAGAGGAGAGGGGAGGGGAGGGGGGAGGGGAGGGTCTTTTGCAGACCGGGGCCACCAAACAAAATAGGTAAAGGGAATGCACTCAAGTCTGCCTGATGGTCGGCGAGGCAGGAGACAGAGTCTCAGAGCCAGCTGGAACACTCCTCTAGAAGAGGCTTCCTGAGGGTGATGGCAGAAGGGAACCCAGGACAAGCAGCAGAGGCATGGCTCAAAGCCTGCAACTGGCGGGGACCCCGTTTGGAGGCGGCCAGCCTCAGCTGTGGAACCCGCTGAGGAAGGTTCTGCGTGAAACAAAGGTGGGCACAGGGGAGCTGGAGAGGACACACTCAGGCCCAGAAGCGCCGGCCACAGTCAGCCCCTCTCAAGCAGCTCTGCGTCCAGCCAGGCACACCCAGTCCCAAGGACACCTGGCAAGATTTTCAACTGCCCCCTCTCTCCGAGAGCCACAGTAGTACAGTCAACATTAAGCAAAACAAAATTCATGGCAAACACATAGAACAGGACAAAAAGAAGCCTTATGTCCCGATTAAAGCTGCAACTCGGCAGGGCATGTGATGGCACCTGTGGTCCCAGATACTTGGGAGGCTGAGGCAGGAAGATCACTTGAGCCTGGGAGCTGGAGACTGCTGTAAGCTATGATCATGCCACTGCACTCCAGCCTGGGTGACGGAGCAAGACCCTGTCTCTAAAATACACTAATACAATTTTAAAAAGTTTAAACTCACAAATTATACATGACATACATAAATCTTTATAAACCAACATTATAGCAACCAAATGCATGAAAACAAAATTTCCTAGGACAACCTGATTTTGAAACCAAAACCAAAAAAAAAAAGAAAAAAACCCACTTAGAATGAACGACTGTAAAACACCTCTTTCAAAACCTGATTGATCAAATCGGACAAAAATAAAGAATGGAATACAACGCAACAAAATAAGTAATATGCTTGTTATAAAACTTTGTACTTGGCCAGGCACGGTGGCTCACGCCTGTAATCCCAGCACTTTGAGAGGCTGAGGTGGGCAGATCATGAGGTCAGGAGTTCCAGACCAGCGTGGCCAACATGGTGAAACCCTGTCTCTACTAAAAGCACAAAAATTAGTCGGGCGTCGTGGCACATGCCTGTAGTCCCAGCTACTCGGGAGGCTGAGGCAGAAGAATCACTTGAACCTGGGAGGGGGAGGTTGCAGTGAGCTGAAATCACGCCACTGCACTCTAGCCTGGGTGACAGAGCGAGACTCGGTCTCAAACAAACAAACAAACAACTTTGTACTTGTGAAATTTTTATAGGCCATAAATAAAATATGCATTAAGTCCCCAAAATGAAGGTTATACATAACAAATTAATTATATTTTAGATGCCAAATTCATAAAACTAGAAATTCATCATAAAAATGACAAAGAGTAGTTGGAAGTTTTTAAAAACCACTAAATAATATCTGAACCAAAAAAAATTAAACATGAAATTACGAACTTCTCTAGAAAGTTAAAAAAACAAACAAAATATAGAGTATTTCTCTTTTAAAACCTATGGGAAACAAAGCTGTACTTTAAGAAAAAGTTACAGCTTTCAGTATTTTTATTATCAAAATAAAAGGCTGAAAATAAGTGTTCAATTTAAGAAAGTATACAAAAACTGAAAACAACAAAATGAAACAAACAAACAAAAGTAGTAGAAAGGCTAAATTAAACCAAAAACTGATTCTCTGGGAAAAATAAATAAAATGGATAAAGTCCAAGCAAGTCTGATTAATGAAAAAAGAAAAAATAAAAACAGACAAATGGGCCAGGCGCGGTGGCTCACGCCTGAAATCCCAGCACTTCAGGAGGCCGAGGCAGGCGGATCACGAGGTCAGGAGATCGAGACCATCCTGGCTAACACGGTGAAACCCCGTGTCTACTAAAAATACAAAAAATTAGCCGGGCGTGGTGGCGGGCGCCTGTAGTCCCAGCTACTCGGGAGGCTGAGGCAGGAGAATGGCGTTGACCCGGGAGGCGGAGCTTGCAGTGAGCTGAGATCGCACCACTGCACTCCAGCCTGGGCGACAGAGCGAGACTCCGTCTCAAAAAAAAAAAAAAAGAAAAAGAAAAAGAAAAAATCAAAAAGAAAATTAAATATCTATTGTTTTAAAAGACTCTAAGAGACAATGGAATTTTACTTAACTGAGCTCTAACCTTTAAAGCTCAAGTAATTCCTATGCTATTTAAATATTTCAAGTTTATGGAAAAAATAGAAATCTCTCTAATTCACTTTACGAAATTAGCATTTAATACCCAAACCTGACAGTACAAAAAAGCAATAAACTTATAAGAATTTTGCATATGCGTGGTATAAAAATTATTTTTAAAAATTCATAAATAGAACCGAGCATACACTCAAAGAAAAACACACTGACAAAGGGGAGTCAGTCCAGTAATTCAGGGAGTGGGCCAATATCAGGAAATCTACAAACTTCACCATCATTTTAAAGCTAAAAGCCACTAAATGAAAAAAATGATACAAAATTTAGCAGTTCTTCTGAATAATAATTCAAAGTAAAACACATATCAAAGGAAACAAATTGAACATAATGTTTTAAAAACTAGCTCCCAAAACTCAACAGCAATAATCATATTAAATGTTGATATGCAGAAACTAATTCCATTAAATCAGGAACACAAGGATGCAAATGTCACCATTTCTATGTAGCACTTCAACAGAGGTTTTAGCAGTTAAAAATAAAAAGAAACATGAACTAAGTAATGAGGGAAGGGAATATAATTTATTATTATTATTTACATATATATTTTTTAGAGATAGGGTCTCACTCTGTTGCCCAGGCTGAAGTACAGTGGCACAATCTTGGCTCACTGCAGCCCCGACCTCGCAGGCTCAAGTGATCCTCCCACCTCAGCCTCCCAAGTAGCTGGGACTACAGGCGCCCCCCACCACACCCGGCTAATTTTTTAATTTTTTGTAGAGACGGGGTTTTGTCATGTTGCCCAGGCTGGTCTCAAACTCCTGGGCTCAAGTGATCTTCCTGCCCCAACCTCCCAAAGTGCTGGGGTTACAGGCATGAGTCACCGCACCTGTCCTGAAATTATATTTATTTGTATATGATATAATTGTATGCCTACAATACCCACGAGACCAAAACTTGTAAGAATAACAATTTGGCCAGGCACAATGGCTCACACCTGTAATCCCAGCACTTTGGGAGGCTGAGGTGGGTAGATCGCCTGAGGTCAAGAGTTTGAGACCAGCCTGGCCAACATGGTGAAACCCCGTCTCTACTAAAAATACAAAAAATTAGTCAGGTGTGGTGGCGAGTACCTGTAATCCCAGGTACTCTGGAGGCTGAGGCAGGAGAATCGCTTGAACCTGGGAGGCAGAGGTTGCAGTAAGCCGACATTGCGCCACTGCACTCCATCCTGGGCGACAGAGTGAGACTCGGCCTCGAAAAAAAAAAAGAATAACAATTTTGTTGAGGTGCCTGCAATCAAGATAAATATACAAAAATCAACAGGCTTTTTTTTTATGTCAGCGATAGACAACTGAAATGGAAATTTTAAGATGTCCCATTCAAAGGCCACAAAAACTATAAAATACCAGTGTACATTTACCAAGTACATTTACCAAGTACATTACCAAGAAGTACATTTACCAAGAAGTACATTTACCAAGAAGAGAAATAAACTATATAATGTTAGTAAAGAACATTAAAAAATACATGAATAAGGCCGGGTGCGTTGGCTCACACCTGTAATCCCAGCACTTTGGGAGGCCAAGGCGGGCGATCACCTGAGGTTGGGAGTTCGAGACCAGCCTGACCAACATGGAGAAACCCCCATCTCTACTAAAAAAAACAAACAAAAAACAAAATTAGCCAGCTGTGGTGGCACATACCTGTAATTGCTACTCAGGAGGCTGAGGCGGGAGAATCGCTTGAACCTGGGAGACGGAGGTTGTGGTGATCCAAGATTGCGCCACTACACTCCAGCCTGGGCAATAAAAGCAAAACTCCGTCTCAAAAAAACACGAATAAAATGAAGCAACATACCATGTTCCAGAATAAGATTTACTATCATAAAATGTCATGCCTTCACAACTGAACATATACATGTAATGCAATTCCAAAGAGGATTACAATGAGTTTGGGTTTTGTTTTGCTTTAGAAATAAGAAAAAAATTAGCTTAAAGCTCAATGAAGTGATATGTTTTTAAAGAGACAGTGCTTTTTTGAAAAACATAAGAATACTGACAAAATAAAAGAAAAACAAAATAGTAGAATTCCTGACTTAGGAAAATAGTCATACTTATTCTAGAGCTTCTGTAATAAAAAAGCAATGTAGGTATATACAGCTATTGTGTAGCCATAAAAATTTAAAGTTTAAACTAAAAAAAAGTAGCATGCTCTTGGCCTCCCAAAGTACTAGGATTACAGGTGTGAGCCACCATGCCCAGCCTGAAATTATCTTTATTTGCAAATGATATAATTCCATGCCTACAAAATCCGAGACAAAAACTTATAAGAATACTTCGAATTCGGTGAAGTGTCTGTAATCAAGATAAACATACAAAAGCCAACAGGTTTTTATGGAAAAAAGAAAAAGAGGAAAGAAAAAGGAAAAAGATTAAAAATGTATAGATACTTTAATGGTAGTGGCATTGGGAGAAAATATCTGCAAACCATACATTTAATAAGGGGCTAATATCCAAAATATATAAGGAACTGAAACCACTCCATAGCATGAAAACAACCTAATTTAAAAATGGGCAAAAGACCTAAATAGACATATCTCAAAAGAAGATATACAAATAGCCAACAAATACATGAAAAAAGGCTCATCATCACTAACCATCAGGGAGATGCAAAGCAAAACCACAATGAGATTATCACCTCACAACTGCTAGGATAGCTATTACCAAAAAGACAAAAGATAGTTAAGTGTTGGCGAGGATATGGAGAAAGGGGAACCCTTGTGCACTGTTGGTAAGAATGTAATTAGTACAGCCATTATAGAAAACAGTCCGAAGCTTCCTCAAAAAAATAAAAATAGAATGAAGATATGATCCAGCAATCCCACTTCTGGGTGCACAGCCAAAGGAAACAAAATCAGGATGTTGAATAGTTATCTGTACTCACATGTTGATGGCAGCATTATTCACAGTAGCCTGGGTACCCATCATCAGATGAATGATTTTAAAAAGTGTGGTATATATACAACACAAAGGAATAGTATACAGCCATTAAAAAAATAAGGAAATTCTGTCATTTGCAAGGACATGGATGAGCCTGGAGGACACTGTGCTGAGTAAAATAAGGCAGGCTCAGAAAGATAAATACCACATGATCTCACTTACACGTGGAATCTAAAAAGGTTGAACTCATAGAAACAGAGAGAACAGTGGTTACTGGGGCCGGGGGGTGGGGGAAAAAGGGAAGGGGGATATTGATCAAAGGGATCAATTTCAGTTAGATAGAAAGAGTAAGTTTTAGTGATCTATTGCAGAGGATGATAATTATAATAAATACGAATGCATTGTATATTTCAAAATTTCTGAAAGAGTAGATTTTAAATATTTTCACCACATAAAAATGGTGTGTGAGGTGATGGGTTTGTTAATGAGCACAATTTCATCATTCTGTAATATAAACACATTAAGACATCACGTTCTTCATAAATATATAATATATACAACAATTATTTATCAATTAAAAATTAAGGCCAGGCATGGTGGCTCACGCCTGTAGTCCCAGCACTTTGGGAGGCTGAGGTGGGCAGATCCCTTGAGGCCAGCAGTTCAAGACCAGCCTGGGCAACAGGGCAAAACCCTGTCTCTACTAAAAATACAAAAATTAGCTGTGCACTTGTGGTCCCAGCTACTCAGGAGGCTGAGGTGGGAGAATTGCTTGAGCCCGGGAGATCAAGCTTGCAGTGAGCCAAGATTGTGTCACTGCACTCCAGCCTGGGTGACAGAGTGAGACTCTGTTTCAAAAAACTTTCCTTTAAAATTTTTAATTACATTAAAATAAGAAAAAGAAATGGTAGTAGCATCTAGGGGGGAAAAGGTTATCCCCTACCTTACACCATTTCAATCAGAATAAATAACTAAATGTTATCATGGAAGGAAGAGGAGGCAGGGAGGAAAGGAGGAAAACACCCCTACCTCATACCATTTCAGTCAGAATAAAGAACTAAATGTTATCCTGGAAGGAAGGAAGAGGAGGCAGGGAGGAAAGGAGGAAAACACCCCTACCTCATACCATTTCAGTCAGAATAAAGAACTAAATGTTATCCTGGAAGGAAGGAAGAGGAGGCAGGGAGGAAAGGAGGAAAACACTTTATTGGAATAATATTTCGGGGACTATCTCTACAACTGCGAGGTGGTGAAAGCTTCTTAATAAGTAATGCAGGAAACCCAGATGCTGTAAAGGAAAAAATACATGACTACATAAAAGATGTTTTAAACAAGATCAAAAGACAAAAAATAATTAGCAGAAAAATACATGCAATATTTTATTACTTCAAAGGGTAAATATCCCTGTTATCCAAAGAGTTTGGCTGGTTGCGGTGGCTCACACCTGTAAGTGCAGCACTTTGGGAGGCCAGGGCAGGCAGATCACTTGAGGTCAGGAGTTTGAGACCAGCCTGGCCAATATGGTGAAATCCCATCTCTACTAAAAAATACAAAAATTAGCCAGGTGTGGTGGTGCCCGTCTGTAATCCCAGCTACTCTGGAGGCTGAGGCGGGAGAATCACTTGAACCTGGGAGGCGGAGGTTGCAATGAGCCGAGATCACACCACTGCACTCCAGCCTGGGCGACACAGCAAGACTCCATCTCAAAAAAGAGCTACTATAAAATAGTTAAAAAAAAAAAAGAAAAGAAAAGAAAAGGAAACCTCTCCAGGAAATGGGGAAGAACACAATGGAAAACTTCAGAAGAGGCACTGCCAATGGGCCAGTCCACGAAGTGCAGCACACGGCGCCAGCAGGACATGGCAGCACCCATTCAACAGGCAGTATGTCAGACGGGAGCAAAGCGTCCTCCCCTTCATGGCTTCAGGAATGTAACTTTGCTATAACTTTGGGAATAGATCTCTCAATAACTATTGAAATTTAAATGTTAAATATGCATACCCTTTGACCCACTAACACCATTTAGCTCCCCTTCATGGGAATCTAGCCTGTAGAAATGAAAGAAAGTGTCAGGACCCATGCATAGGAATGTGTCTCTCAGTACAAACTGTGGCAAAAAAACAGACACAAAATGAAATCCATCAATGGGGAATGGTTGACTAAATATGTTGTATCCTCAGTACGGACTATTATGTAAACATAAAAAGAATAAATTTTTGCCTGTAATCCCAGCACTTTGGGAGGCTGAGGCAGGCAGATCACAAGGTCAGGAGATCGAGACCATCCTGGCTAACACAGTGAAACCCCGTCTCTACTAAAAATACAAAAAATTAGCCAGGCATGGTGGTGGGTGCCTGTAGTCCCAGCTACTCGGGAGGCTGAGGCAGGAGAATGGCGTGAACCCGGGAGGCGGAGCTTGCAGTGAGCTGAGATCGCGCCACTGCACTCCAGCCTGGGCGACAGAGCGAGACTCCGTCTCGAAACAAAAAAAAAAAAAAAAAAGAGAATAAATTTTTATTTCCTGACATGAGCAGATGTTGAAGACATATTACTAACTGAAATGGAAAAAAAGATGGAGGGTGTTATTACAGCACAAAAGGACTGAAAAGGACTTATTTTTCTGTATTGTTTGAATTCTTATGAGGGTACATTTTGTAACATCAAAAAGCAAATTAAAAATATGGCTCATTCCAAGGTACAAAAAATTACTCTGGCAAATCAAAGTTTTTCAAAGTATCTTCAGACTCAAAGAAGTCAAAAAATAAGCTGGACACAGATAGACACTATTTGTTCCTGTAGCAGCTGGAAACCACAGTGAAAGGGCGTTGGCTTTTCCTCCTTAGAAGGGCCTCAGCACCTGACTTTGGAGAGAGCCCATTCTTTGCCATTTTTCCTCTACATGGTGGTTGTCAATGGACTCTTAGGGGACCAAGAATCACTTTACAACATTCTGTTCTCCTATTCAAAATGGGTCATGCTCCATACTTCTCAGAGTCATCACCCAAAATCATACATTTCAATGCTTTTTCAAACATGTGAATACCACCCAGAAAATTCGTAAGCATGCCATTATCCTCCAGGCCCTTTATTACATGATCACCATCATTAAAGTCCTAACACTTAACCATTTTGTAGTAGTTATGACAACTGTTACCTTAACAGTGAACAGATCAGATGACAACGTATCCATGGCCAGGTGGGACGATGTGGACCCAGGAGGACCTAAAATCATGGCCAAGAGACCTCTGCACCACATGCTGACTCTGTAAGGCCATCTCTCCTTGAGTGCTAGGTATTGTTGAAGGAGGGAGTTTCTACTTGTCTCTACTGTGACTGAACATGAAGTACAGACTTTTATAAGTAATATATATATTTTTTGAGACGGAGTTTCGATCTTGTTGCCCAGGCTGGAGTGCAGTGGTGTGATCTCAGCTTACCACAACCTCCGCCTCCTGGGTTCAAGCGATTCTCCTGCTTCAACCTCCCAAGTAGCTGGGATTACAGGCAAGCACCACCACACCTGGCTGATTTTTTTTGTATTTTTAGTAGAGACGGGTTTCTCCATGTTGGTCAGGCTGGTCTCGAACTCCCGACCTCAGGTGATCTGCCCGCCTCAGCCTCCCAAAGTGCTGGGATTACAGGCATAAGCCACCACACCCAGCATAAATAATAATTTTTAAAAGTGCATTAGTTTAGCAAAAACGTGACAGGGATGTCAGTGAAACACCTTTGTGTTACAACTGTCATTTTGTACACCTTGGACAATTCCATTCAACGAACAATTTAGTTAGTTTTGAAGTCTCAATAACATAGTCAGAAAAGAAACTGCTGTAATCTCCCCTTATCCATGGATTCAGTAACCCTCGGTGAACTGCAGTTCAAAAACATGTGCGTACAATACAGTAAGATATTTTAGGAGAGAGACATCACTTTCACATGACTTTTATTACAGTATATTGTTACGACTGTTCTATTTTATTATTAGCTGTTATTAATCTCTTCCTGTGCCTAGTTTATGAATTAAACTTTATCGTAGATATGGAAGGATGCATAACAAAACAGTGTATATAGTGTTCACTACTATCCTTGATTTCAGGCATCCATTGAGGGTGTTGGACCGTATCCCCTGAAGATAAGGTGGGGCGACTGCACGTGGATTGAGAGGTGCCCTCACTGCTGCAGAGCTGTGGTAACAACACTCACTTGTGGTTCCCAGACAAGACTCTATCTGGTCGTGAGCCCCCAACAGCCAGTGGTACTGCTGTCCAATCTGACAGATGGAAACCAGCGCCAATCAGCCTGCCTGGAGCGGCACAAATAAGCCTAAGACTCAAACTTTCAGCCAGTTAACTGTAAGTAAACCAACTTTTTGGTAAGGAGGAAATACTCACCCAGCTCTTGGGCAAGATAAGTGTCTTTATTATAAAAGGCGTCAATTCGCAGCGTCTTTACTGTAAAGGTGGTGGTATTATTAGATTCTTCCTTTCCACTAACACAAAACTCCCAGTGCCGGAAGGCCCTTGTCAGGAGCAGGACCCGCGGAGGGGTCCGTGGTCAGTTCTGGGACAGCTGCCGAGCAGCGCAGCGCGTGGAATCAACTTCACTGCTCACGTGCAGCGCACACTAAGCGCACTCGTCTTTCCTGGAGTGCAGACCAGGCCCCGACCTCAGGGATCAGGACAGCGGGGCCAAGGGGTCAAGAGGCAGAGGCGGCGTCAGCGCCGTAGACAGCGGTCTCGCGAGGCTGGAACCAGGCGGGCGGCAGTGACGGGGGTGGGCACCAGGGGACTGGGTGAAGGGTCATGAGGGGAGGGGCGGTTACCGGGCCAGACGGTCACAGGGATCGTGTCACCGGGGAAGGGCTGGGAGGTCGGGGGTTTGTGTCACGGGATGGGGGGGAGCGGTCACCAGAAAACGGGGTGATGCGGGAGAGGGGGCGGAGGAGGGAAGGCGGGAAAACGGCAGTTGCCAGGTGGCGGGGGGAGGGGTCGCAGGGGGAGGGGTGGGCGCTCACGGGCGCAGGGTCACCGAGGGATGGGTGGGCGTTTGCGGGGGGTCATGTCACGGGGGAGTGTTCACTGAGGGAGGTGGGCGTTCACGGGGGATCGTGTCACGGGGAGGGGGTCCCTGAGGGAGGGGTGGGCGTTCGCTCAGCCGGGGTCACCGGGTGATGGGACGGAGAGAGGGGAGCGCGCGGCCGGGGAGCCTCGAGGGTAACCGGCGGATGTGGGCGGTCGGGGGCCGAGGGTAGGGCCAACCCCTCACGCCCGCCACAGCCCCGGCAGCGGATACGCGGGCCGTCACTCACCGCGGCTGCCGGGCGACGCAGCCAAGGGCTCCCGGCGCGGATGAGCGCTGCGACAGCGGACCGGGCGGCGAGGCCACTACAACCGACCAAACCGACCGGCCGACGCGGAGCCAGTGCGCAAGCGCGGGAGCCGGCCCGGCACTGCGCAGGCGAGGCTCGGACCAATCAGCGCCCAGCGGACCCGGAGGGACGTGGCGGAGGGGGCGGGGCGGAGGGGGCGGGGCGGATAGGGCCGGGCCTCGGTCCGCGCCGGCGCGCGCCTCTGGCTCCGCCCGGAACTAGTTTGTTCATTCATTCGCACGTGGGCACTGAGTTGTATTTGCCCGCCCTCCCGCCGGACACCTGCTGAGCGCTGGTCACACTGACAAGCACAGCTAGCGGCTCCCCTCGCGGGCCCTACAGTCTAGGCGGGGAGGATAGATAAACATGCAGTTAGAAGAGCACCAGGCAAAGCAGCCGGGATGGGGCAGGCTGAGGTCTGTTTTAAATTGGGCAGGGGAGTCGGGGTGCCTAGGGAGATGAGATGTTACGTGGGATCCGAAGATCCACAAGACTCTTGCCTGTGACCACTGAAATGGTGGGACATGTCCCTGGTTTCGTCGTGTCCACTGTAGACGGGTGAGCTTTGGAGCTGTGCATCAGGCGCCTTCCACTGCATAACCTGCCCATCTATTTAAGAGTGAAACCCGTATCACTTACCACCTGTCCATTTCTTCATGGTACTTATCCCCTGAATTATTTTATCTGACCTGCTAGGATGCAACCCCCTTTTTTATTTTGCTGGCAAGTATAGCCTAGTTGTCTAAACTGCCACATAGTATGTACTTTATAAACAGCTGAATAAACCAGTAATTCATCCATCTCTCTGATCAGCTTTTTTTTTTTTTTTTTTTTTTTTTTTGAGACGGAGTCTCGCTCTGTCGCCCAGGCTGGAGTGCAGTGGCGCGATCTCGGCTCACTGCAAGCTCCGCCTCCCGGGTTCACGCCATTCTCCTGCCTCGGCCTCCCCAGTAGCTGGGACTACAGGCGCCCGTCACCACGCCCGGCTAATTTTTTGTATTTTTAGTAGAGACGGGGTTTCACGGTGTTAGCCAGGATGGTCTCGATCTCCAGATCTCGTGATCCGCTCGCTTCGGCCTTCCAAAGTGCTGGGATTACAAGTGTGAGCCACCGTGCCCGGCCAGCTTTGATTTTCTTAAACAGCCAAGTGTTGTCCTTCCGCCACTCCAGCACTAGTGGTAAAGTTGGCATGAAATATGCTACATTAAATATTCATTGAATAGGGATAAAACAGAGCCACACTACAGCTGGAGAAATAAGACAAATACTGTTGTTCAGCCCAAGATACTACTGGAGGAGAACACTGGGGAGAAATGAATAAATGAATGAATGAATGGATGCACACTTAGTTAAGTGGGAGTAGTCTTCAAAGTAGGAGAAATACTTTACAACAAAGGAGACGAGCACAAAGTCAGGGAGACAGGAAAGGCTGCACAGGGGGCAGAACGATGCTGCTCTGGGGGCTGGTCGGAGTGTAGGTGGCTACACAAGATCAGGCAGGAGGTCGGAAATAAAGGTTCCCGAGTAGGGGACCATGTGACAAAAAAGCTGATAGGGCCTTATTTTAAAAATTAATTCATGGCCGGGTGCGGTGGCTCACACCTGTAATCCCAGCAATCTGGGAGGCCGAGGCGGGCGGATCACTTGAGCCCAGGAGTTCGAGAACAGCCTGGCCAACATGGTGAAAGCCCATCTCTACTAAAAATACAAAAATTAGCCAGGCATGGTGGTGCGCGCCTGTAATCCCAGCTACTTGGGAGGCTGAGGCAGGAGAATCGCTTGAACCTAGGAGGCAGAGGTTGCAGTGAGCTGAGATCACGCCACTGCACTCCAGCCTGGGCGACAGAGTGAGTGAGACTGTCCCCACCCCCACCCCGCCCCCACCACACAAAAATTCATGCACTTGGCAAACTACCTGAACAGTTAAAAGGACGCGCATAACAGTGCAGATCAGCAGCCTTGATCCTTGCCCCCCAGTCTCTCCCTCCACAGAGGCAGTGCTAACACAACGTACAATCGTCCCTCAGCACCTCCCATGGATGCCAAACTCCGAGAGGCTCAAGCCCCTGATGCAAAATGCATATAACTCAAAAACATCTTTTTAAAATCATCTCTGGGTTACTTACAATAGTGAATGCAATGTAAATGTCATGTAAATAGTTGTTATGCAGCATTGTTTAGGAAATAATAACCCCCCCAAAACAAGGTCTGTATATGTTCAGTATAGACACATTTTTGTTTCTGAATATTTTTGCTCCTTGGTCGGTTGAACTCATGGACGTAGAATCCACCACATGCAGGGGCAAATACTTCCAGGATATTCTATGCACATCCAGGCATACAACCAGTTCCATCCTGGTAGCATACTTCACAAACTCATCCCCCAGCACAGCTGTACTTTGTAGAGGCTGCACTGCATTCCACCGAATGTATATAGCATAATCTACCCAATAAAATGGGAACTTTAGAAAAATTAGGGGAATAGATGCTGCAGCAACAGCATAGCAGGGCACCCTATGGCAAAGGAATCTCCCCTCCCATTGCCCTGGATCACAATGCCCAACTCTGGGGTGTTGGTGGGCAGCTGTCACACGATCTGACATCTCGAGTAGGAGGTGACACAACACACTCCGGGCTCAGAAGCTACCTTAAGGTCTTGACGGCTGTGCGCAGGCACAATTGCTTCACCCACTGGCCCCTGGTCGCTACTGGACAGCAAACAGAAACACAGCTTCCAGGCCAGATAAGCCCGCCATAGGGCCTGCTGCCACAGGCACACTTGGCAAAGACGTGATGGTAGGGTCAGGATGACAGAAACAGTAGGCTTTGCAAAACCTGCAGTCCTCTTCGTTGGGAGTATAAAAGACAGACACCAAGTGCAGCACCCAACATTGGACTGGATCCTCAAGCCACCTTAGGAGAGGGGACATGGGGACACAGAGGCCCTGAAGGAGGAAGTCACCTGCCCCTGGTTATGTGGCTGGTAGGCATGGAGCCGCAGGTGCACCAGGCACTGCAGTACAGACCCCCAGAGGCCAGGGAGCACCAGCCGGGCTTTGCAGCTGGCTTTCTCGCCCACCCTGGTATCTGCACTATCACCTGCAGACACGAAGTGTGCAACCAGACCCTGGGAGCTTTCAATCTGGAAGACCGGAGGTGGAAGCCCAAAGCTGCAGGGCCAAGTGCCCGTGCACCCCCGTTTTTGTGGTGGGAGAAAAGATACAGAAACTAAGGGGCTTCTGGGATGCTTCTTTACTTTGCGTAATGTGTGCGTTTTCAATTAAAAGTGTACGTTGATTTTTGTAATCAGATTTAAAACGAAACGAAGAAAAGTCTAAAAGCAGAAGAAAAAGAGAAGCAACAACTCGCAGGCCATCTGCTCACAGGCGTTTTCGGTGGTGAGCACCTGTGAGCCGGTGTCCCTGCCCTTACTTGGGCACACAGACTGGGTGTGGAAGGACACTGGTGCCAGTTGGGCACACAGACTGGGTGTGGAAGGACACTGGTGCCAGTTGGGCACACAGACTGGGTGTGGAAGGACACTGGTGCCAGTTGGGCACACAGACTGGGTGTGGAAGGACACTGGTGCCAGTGTGGCCCCCAGGACATTGACGACGGGTGCTGTGAGGGTGGCAGGCCACATGGGGCAGGGCGGTGCCAGCTCTTTCCTCCACGTGCGGCTTTGGGAAGCGGCTGCCTGGTGGACTTGGTGAATGTGATTTCTGTTCCTTCCAGGTCCTTCTATGGCCACGGAAGAGTGGGTGAGGGGAACACCTCTGGCTCCAACATTACTTGTTGGTTTTTTCTTCACACAAATGAAAAATTCAGCATCTCATTTAACTTAAATACCAGTTTTCTATGAAAGACAAAATGAAAAAATATATAAAAAGGTCACTTTATTTTGCCTTTTGTTTGGTATGCTATCAATGCCCTTTAAAATCCTACTATTCAAGTACAAATGCTGATGTTTACAAAGTATTTACAATTTTAGTCTTGTTCCTTTCTATCTTAAAACACAACAGCTAACTGGTTACAACAGTTAACAAAATAATAATAATAAAGGTCACAAAAAGAGAAACCCCTGTCTTATCAGGCACCAAATCTGAACAAGGGCTTGGATCCAACCTTCTGCTTCCCGCCAGGTGCTTTAAAAACAGTCTGGCTAACTGTTTTTATCATCAGAATAAACGTCTTTCTTTAAAGAATAGCAGGGCAACTGTTTCCCAGGGTCGCCAATTAGAGTCTGACAGTGTTCGGGCTGCTGCCTTTATAGTCTGTGTTCTCAAAGTTTCCAACTCTTACTTGCCGTATTGGAATGAACCCAGATTCACAAGGGGAAGGCCTAGACAACAGCTTCCTGAACGCGTACTTAATTCTTAGGTTAGAAACTTTAACCTTTAAAAGGGAAGGCCAAGAAAATAACACACTAAAAGGAGAGTTTTTACGTACACGACTAAATGAATTTAACTCAGGTCAACGGTAGCATCTAGAAGTTACTAAATTGAGTGCTACGAGTAAAAATATGTCCGTGTTTTGTATTAGGGAACAGCCAAAGGAAACACACTTGAGAGACAGGAGACCCTCACTGACGTGAGATCGGGGCGGAAACTCCACATTGCAAATATTCAGAATCCCATTAAGCTCTCCAAAAAAGCATTTGAGAGATGGTGTTAAATTCTCTTGTAGTGTTTTAGATTAATAGAGCGCTTTTACTTAGACAGTTATGTCTAGGATATTCTAAAATAAGTGCACTCAACATTTTATCTTCAACTATAAGGAGACTACCAAGATTTGGGAAAGACAAAAAAAATGAACAGGGCACACAAATTAAAACAAATGACAAAGGCAGAATTCCTAGATACTTCAGTTCTATCACATCTGCGGATGAGGAGGAGTAAAAGTTTCCACTGGGAGCCAGATGTGAGGCGCACACAGCGGCCCTCCCTCCGGCAAGCTGCGCTCTCACGGCACGTGCCAAGCCAGGGAGAACGGGTTGGTTAGAACAAACAGATTCCAGTCCTCTGCTTTGGTATGTTCAACTAACTAAAAGATTAATTTCTTCTGTTTCTTCAAAGCTTGGTTTTTACTTTTCTCCACATTTCTTATCAAGAGCTCAAGTGAGCTCCCCAGTTGATTTCACTGACTCCTGCTGTATCGCTGTCCACAGAAACCTGTGGGACAGAATACCTTCCTCAATGTCACTTAAAGTGAGAGAATGGGGAGGAAGCAGATGAAATACAATTTAAAAACAGAAAATCTTTATTGTGCCATAACTGATTTTTAGTATACAAAAAACCTAATATAACCTAATTTCCTGGACCAAATAATGTAAAATAGGCCAAAATCAAGCCACAGCACAAAGGATACTATTGGATATGGACCTTTTTGCTTTGGTGAAAACTTCAAAGTAAGGAGACACTGTCAATCAATTCCACTAAAATTGCATTTATTTTCCTGTCATAGTAAAAAAAGGAAAAACAGTAGCAAATACTGGGCTTCGTTTTCCCCCTCAACGGCACGCCTTCCACAACAGCACAGGTGGTTCTCTGCTTCACTGGCAGAACCACACAAGCTTATCCTAGAGAAAATCTGCTGTCGTAAGTCCACAAGGAAGAGTTGACTGGGCCCACCGCTATAGCCAATACTTCCAGAATCACCAGCCCACCTTCGTCAAAGGGCTGACTGTGGCAGCAAGGGGTGTCTGTCACATTCGTCCTGGCTCACTGAGCCCAGGCCTCATCGTACCCTCAGCTGTGACATCTGTACTACCATTGCCTCTGCGTGGTCCTCTGGGCCTCACGCCAGCCATGGCAGAGTGTCCCAAAGGTTCTCAGGAGCTGTTTAACACACTATGTCAAATACCAGCTTCCCCCGAAAACTGGAGATGCGTCTTGAGTGCACTGAGTTGGGCATCAGTCCCAGAAGTTTCCATTAAATGAAAGCGAATCCCATTGCAGGGTAGGGCCTGGGGGAGGCCACTGTTGGCTGCTCTTTGGAATAACAATGCAATGACTGATCATTTCCCTTGAACACAGGCCAGGAACGTGCCTTGTGTGTTTAGGTGGGTGTCAGAACATTT
The DNA here is from genome assembly GCF_000001405.40 of Homo sapiens. NCBI lineage: Eukaryota > Metazoa > Chordata > Mammalia > Primates > Hominidae > Homo > Homo sapiens. Next base: position 132,078,260 of record NC_000012.12, on the reverse strand, counting down.
CTCTTAAAAGTTAAGTCATATTTTAGGAGGGAAGGAAGGAACCATATTGCCTTTCTTTGGAATGGAAAACCCATCTCGGATGATTGACTTTAGACAGGCCTTCCCCTCTGCGAAGACCACGAGGCATTTTTCAGTAAGGTATAAAGAACTAAACTCTGGCAGACACTGTGGAAGCCCACGCCTTATCTTTAGAAAGTCCATTGTATGCTCCTCACACACGGCAGACGGCTTCTGTGGCGTGCAAAGCACTACATGCTCACAAAGAAATTCTAAATGGCTTTCAGAACACAGTACTATGGCTCTAGGGGACGGGTGCGGGTGGGGACTGAAAGGTGAAATGATTTAGAGGAAGCCATGTTGTCACTTTTTCCATGAGCCACGTAGTACAGAGAACGCGGCACTCCATAAGGACCATTTGTCCTGCAGTGTGGGATGCATTTTAATAAAATGATTACACTATTTTGTTTCAATTATATCTTTCCCAGTGCTGAATCTCTTGCGTGACATGGTCCCAAGGTTCACTAATAAAGCGTTTTCTGTGAGGAAGGTAGTTTTGCTTTAGATGAGAGGCAGCCCTGCTGCCCTGACTACTGGCACGGAGGCTTAGTAGGTGTCTTTAGCCTGACAGCAGGGACCCTCATCTGTAACTTGGGCTGCTGGCTTGGGCTGTCGGAGCTGGCGGGCACCTGGGCTGGGTTGGGAGCGCCTGGAGTCTGGAGCGGGGCCGACGCCGTGGTCACCACCTGCTGCTGAATGAGTTTCTGCTGAACCACCTGGGCAGTCGCGGTCACTGCAGGGATCATCTGCACCTGCTGCCCGGCCGCCGTCGCCTGCGTGAGCGCCACAGTCTGTGGAGAAGCCTGAGCCGAGAGAGTCAGAAAACACACATTGCCCAGGAAACTCAGTCCAGGGACAGGAAAATGGACGTTCTTTGGGATGGGGAGGACTCGAGAAACTTCACTGACTATGCTTTTATGACACGGAAGAATGACCAGTCACACAACAGTATGACCTCTGGTTTCCAATTAAACACAAGTGGAAAATTAAAAGATGGTTGCTTTTAGACTAACACCAGATGCCTCTTGGGAAAAGGGTGAGAGCTGGGTCAGGGACTGATTTTGTTGTTGTAGTAAAGCTTTTAATAGAGTTTGGTTTCTTGAAATCTATATGCCAGTGTGACTTTAAACAAAATTTAGAAAGTTTAAAGCACCGCTTTACATTTAAAGCACTGTGCTAAAGAGTCATATTGTGGAGCATCAGTGACAACAGTGAAAGCGCCTGAAGGGCTTCTGTGGGAGGCAAGGCCACTGTGCCCACAGCGCCTCTGCTCAAGGGCGGGCCCCGAGCGGAGCCTGCTTGCCTGAGGCCTGTGCCTCCCTAAAACCACAGGGCAGTGTCTGCGACTTGCAGGACACACCCGCGATGATCAGTGAATGAAGGGTCCTGGGAATGAGCCCAAGGTGAGGCTCCCTCAGTATGGCTGACACAACCTCTAAACGCTTGTTCACTCTTCTCATTATTAAGTGTATCTAGTTTTTCCCCTGAAGTTAATGTTTTTGTGTGTATCACAAAAATCAAAAGTGATTCCCTAATCATGACCTCAGATGAAAACAACCCATTCTCTGACCTGGGAAATGTGAGGTTTCCACTTTGTCTATGCGTCCTACCTGCTGGGAAGCAGAGGCAACTTGCTGGATGCTGGCCACGGGTGTTTGCTGTTGAACAACTTGAGGAAGTTTTGCAACCTTTGACAAAACAAAAAAAGCCAAACATACAATTCAAAGGAGTATGTGCACAAAAAGAGATTTTTCCTCCCTTTCTGTCCTCAGTTAATGCAAAAAACACAATGACCAGGTGACACAGAAGAGCAATTCTCGTAGTGTGCCCACCTGCAGCAGTGAGAGAGCAAGTCGTTCCACTGCATGGTGAGTCAACTGACTGCCTCCCCAATTTGCCATCACTCATCATTTAAGCTTATTTTTGGTCTCATATTTCAGACACATTTTTTCTTTTCACAAAAACGACTGCAAGTTTATATGAAAGAATCAGACTGAGGATGGTAAGTATTTGAGCGTCTTGTGAGTCCCAAGGGCTCTGCATATGACAGGCCTGGACGACGTTCCAGTAATGAGCTGTACAGTGCAGCTAGGGCAGCCAGCTGAAGTGGGGAACCCGGTGACGCACCAAGGTTTTGAGGCTGGTAATTTTATCATTTTTCTACATTCTTCTTAGTCATGATTGAGATCTGGCTATTTATAAAGCAACACTTTCCACCCAGTGCCCACTTTCTGTGCACTTGCTACTGCATGCATCTCCCGCTGTCTTGACGTAGTAAGAGGCTCTGGGCCACCTGTGTGTCCTATCAGCACCGTCATGGCGTGCACCCAGAACACAAGAGAGGCTCCAGCGTGGGCAGCTGCTGGGGGCCCTGATTTCAAGGGCCCTCCCTGCACAAGGCCCTCACGGACCCTGGTCTCTTGCTGGGTCCTGTTACTTACAGAAAACGGATGAAAATAATATTTCCCAAGATTATTCTGCGAAATATGTGAAATTACATGATTTACTCACACATGAACAAAGGTCGAAATAAATGTTAGTCCTTACTAAAATTAAAATCAATCAGAAGGCATTTACTAGTTTACTGTCACTTAAACAATTATAAATAAAATTCACTAAGATAAGTGCCCTGAGCGCCCCCTGTGGAACTGCTGGGAAACAAAGATGCAGCCGGTGCTCCAGGGCCCATCTCAAGACCACAATGGTCCAGGACTTACTTGGCACAGCACTGAAAATCCTGAGACGTCTTAAATAAAGCACTAGCAAGAAATCTTAAATGTACCAAGAAACCTGCAAAGAGTCAGGAACTGCCAGTCTCCAAACCTAAGCACAGGCGGGCATCACGAGTCACGGAGCAGAAAAGCTGCACAACCTCTGCCCGGGATCGCTGGCCACATGGAGACGCACCCCGTGATCTCCAGGGTCGCACAGGACACAGCTGACCAGACACCAGGTATAGGCCAGTTCTCGGTGGGGAGCTTGCAAAAGAGCCCCGTGCTACTGCCAGCTGCCATCCTGGAGGGAGACACTGTACCCACAAAGGTACCCAAAGGCTGCAAAGAAAGCATCCCCTTCCTCCAGTGGCATCTGTAAGAAAAGCACCTGCCCTAAGCCTCAGTGCCGGGGAGGAGAGAGGAGGAGACACAGATTCAGAGGCCAGGTGGGTAACACCTGAGAGCTGAGTGAAAGCCTGAGCCACACACCAAGCAGTGTTCCTGTGGCACCTGAAGGTGCCCGCGGAAGCAAAACTCCACCTTTGCCCCAGGCTGCGAGGGGTCCCCGCAGATGCAGCACATTTCAGACAGGGAAATCACCAGATCCAGAAAAACACCTCACTCACTCTGCGAGGCCTGGAAACAAGAGACTATAAACAAAGACCAGGCATTATTTGGGAACTTCTGAAAATAAAATAATAAATCATCAAGATAAAAATTCAACAGACAAGCTTTGAAGCAGATTTGACTTAACCAAGGGAAAAATGAGTGACTGAGGAGACAGAGCGAAAGACATGACTCAGAATATAGTACGACGAGACAAAGACACAGAAAATACAAAAGCTGCTGAGAGACCTGGAGGGCAGAGGAAGCAGGACAGGGGCAACACGTAAACAAACAGTGGCTGCTTATTTCCTAAAGACATGAGAGAGACTGCCCGAGATTCAAGAAGCTGGAGCATTGGAATGAAACTGCAAAACAACAAAGACAAAGACAACGTCTCGATAACAGGCAGACAGTGGGGGAGAGAGGTGACCCAGAACAACAAAGACAAAGACAACGTCTCAGTAACAGGCAGACGGTGGGGGAGAGAGGTGACCCAAAACAACAAAGACAAAGACAACGTCTCAATAACAGGCAGTCGGTGGGGAAGAGACAGGTGACCCTGGAAGAGAGAAACGCTGGACAGACACCGGCTCCTCTTCAACAACAAAAGCAGCCACAGTGAGGAAATGATACCGTGAATGCACTCAGAAAACAATGCCGACCGGGCGCGGTGGCTCATGCCTGTAATCCCAGCACTTTGGGAGGCCGAGGCAGGTGGATCACCTGAGGTCAGGTGTTCGAGACCAGTCTGGCCAACATGGTGAAACCCCACCTCTACTAAAAATATAAAAATTAGCTGGGCATGGTGGTGTGTGCCTGTAGTCCCAGCTACTCGGGAGGCTGAGGCGGGAGAATCTCTTGAATGTGGGAGACAGAAGTTGCAGTGAGCCAAGATCATGCCACTGCACTCCAGCATGGGAGAGTGAGCCTCCGTCTCAAAAAAAAAAAAAAAAAAAAAAAAAAACCCCAAAAAACAATGCCAATCCGGAATTCTGTACTAAGCAAAACTGTCTCTCAGGAACAAGAGTGACACACAGGCATTTTCAAGCACTAAAGGAAATTCCAAAGGATGGGTCAAGTGGAAGGAAAGTAATTCCACATAAAAAGTCAAAGATGAAAAAGGACAGAATTATGGCTGGGCATGGTGGCTCACGCCTATAATCCCAACACTTTGGGAGGCCAAGGCAGGTGCATCACGAGGTCAGGAGTTCGAGACTAGCCTGGCCAACATGGTGAAACCCATCTCTACTAAAAATACAAAAATTAGCTGGGCCTGGTGGCATGTGCCTGTAATCCCAGCTACTCAGGAGGCTGAGGCAGGAGACTCGCTTGAACACAGGAGGCGGAAGTTGCAGTGAGCCAAGATCGCGCCACTGCACTCCAGCCTAGGCGATGGAGCAAGACTGTGTCAAAAAAAAAAAAAAGGAAAAGGGACAGAATTAAAACGCACACTAACAGCAGCATTTGAGATGAATAAACTGAGCTACTGTGTGATAAGATCATTGCTGGAGAAGAGGGTGGAGGCCATCGTTAACTTCATACTCTGATACAGAAGTGTGCACATGGAGATTTTAGGGTAACCACTTAAAGAACAGAAAGAAAATATATAATTTTTCACTGGCAGAGGGGAGAATTGATAAAAAAAAAAAAAAAAAGAGAAGGTGGCCCAAAAGAAGGCAAGGAAGGGAGGAAAGAAAAAACAGAACAAGCAAGACAAACAGAGTCCAAACAAAAGAGAAGCCAGAAATTCAAATATACCCAACCTTATATACAGACAAGTGGACACGTGTTTCAGGTAAGAGTCAGAGATGGAAAGCCTGACCTCACAACAGCACCGGACCTGCCCGCGAGCTGCTCACAGGAGGTGACGAGGGACACACAGAGAATGGCTGAAAACAAGGAAGGAAAAACACAGACCAAAAACTTCCAACAGGAGGGTGGTGCTTTACTCATGTGAGGAGAATAGGCTTCAAGACCAGAGATATTACTGAAGACAGTAAGAGTCATTTCAAAATAACAAAATTCAAAACTTTAAACTTAAATGTGGCTAATGAAAAGCCTTCTAAGATATAAAGCAAAACCAGAGAGAAAGGTAAGAAGAAACAGATAAAGGCATACTCAGAATGGGACATCTAAACACGCCTTCTCAATAACTAGTAACACAAGTGATTGGCAGGACACACAGAAGACCGAAATGACACACACAGTAAACTTGACCCAGTTACAACAAAATCATCTCACAAGTGAACCCATCCTGAAGACTGCTCTGGAAGGACACAGACCATTTTTTAAAACTGACTGTATTCTGGACTAGATAGCAAGTTTCAACAAATTTCAAAGACTGAAATCATTGAGACCTCATTCTCTGACAATACAATGAAGATTTATTTTTAAGTCAATAATAAAAAGTAACTGGAAAACCTCACCTGGAAATTAAGAAACACTTCTAAAAAGAACCCAGGCAGTAAATAAGAAATCAAAATGGAAATTCAAAAACATTTAGGACTGAAGGAAAACCAAATAATAAAATTTGTGAAATAAGCTCAGGTGGTACTCCATCTTAACAAGTTAGAAAATGAATAGCAAAATAAAAGAAAGGAAAGGAAGTAAAAACCCTGGCAAAAGCCCGGCATCGTGGCACACACCTGCGGTCCCGGGCCCTCCGGAGGCTGAGGAGGGAGAACTGCTTGAGTTCAGGAGTTCGAGGCCACCCTGGGCAACACAAGCAGGAGCGCGTCTCAGAAACAGACCTGACAAGGCAGGCAGAGCGCACGAACGAGGCTGAGCTGCCCCGATGCCGTGAGGTCACACACACAAGAGCAGTAATTGAACTCATCCATGCACAATGACAACTACCACAGGACCCAGTGAGTCACCCCAGAACACAATGATTGAACATCACAAGATTCAATGACTATAACCCACTACAACAGTCCATCTGTCCACTGTACTAACAGCCCTCGGACACACCTGTACTCATGGGGCTTGCTTTATTGGAGGAGACAAAATCACCTGAACAAAGTACTTATAGTATTTGTTGAAGGTGATAATACAGAAACAGAGAGCAGAAAAGCTGAGCAGGAAGGGAGACTGTGAGCAGCGCTGGTAGGGGCACAGGTGCAGAGGAGCAAGTGCAGAGGGGTGCACAGGCCAGGAGCCGTGGGCAGCAGGGCTCTGCAGAAGACATCCACACCCCCACACCCCCGACCCACCCACACAACCACAAAGTATTCCTGGGGGACGGATGGCAAAAAGGAAGCAGGAGAGATGGCAACAACCAGGGAAGGGTGCGGAGGAGGAGCTGACAGTAGCAACAGGAAGCGGCTGCTCCAGGTCTCTTCTGGAAGTCAAGCACACACAGCTGCCTGCCAATGGGCTGGACCTGTATGGATGACTGTAGGGGTTTCTCAAGTAGGCTAAAGGTCTGCAGGGACAGCTGCCCTTCCTGAGCCGGAAGCCTCTGGTAGGAGCAGGTCAGGCGTACACACCTGAGGCCTGAGGGATCAGACATCTCCATGGATCTGTCAAAGGCAGGTAGGATGAAGAATCTGGAACTCAGGACAGTAAGTGGCTACAGACATGAATCTGGGTATCATTCGCACCGAGACAGGACTTAAAGCTTTGAGGCTAAAGGAGATGTGTAAGGGAGGGAGGGAGTTCATACACATGGGCTTTAAACAAGACAAAAAGCACCGTAACAAAGAGGAACAGAAACTTCAAGCAAAGTAGAAAAGAACAGAATTTTCTTACTCTGACAAAAACACAGCAAACACCCTACTTCACAGTGAAATACGGACTCTGACATTCACCACTGTGCTGCAGGTCCCAGCCAGCACAGTAAGGCAGGAGAAAGCAAGGGTTTAAGATGGGAGAAGTAGATCGTCATGATTTACAGGTGATACAACTGTATACGAAGGAAATGCAACAAAACAAAACCAAATCCTAAGATAAATTATTCAAATAACCAGAATCTAGCAAGGCGGCCAGAATAAAAAACTAATGTACAAAAATGTACAACAGCCAGAGACAGAAAATGGAAATTAAAAGCATACCATTTACAAAAGCATCAAAAAATACTGATTGCTTAAGAATAAAACTAACATAATCTATAACACTTTCACAAAATATTAGAAAACTTCATTAAAAGGCATTAAAAAAGACTTAAGTAACAAAAGATGCATCATATTGGTGAATCTGAAGGAAAGACTGTAAAGATGTCAACTCTCCCCTGAACAGCTACAGAATCAATGCAATTCTAATAAAAACTTTCAGCAGTTTTGATTGTAGTGTATGAACTAAGCTAACTAAAATTAACACAGAAGTGGAAAGAGCCAAGAATAGGCACGCTACACCCAAGGAAGGGTGTGGTAGGGGGACTCGCCCTCCAGACACCAAGTGTCACTGCCGCTCATAGCGAGAGCGCCGTGGGACCAGCATGGCCTCTGAGACAAGAAGCCCTGAACTTCCCCACAGGATCTCAGGTGGAGGCGGCACTGTGGATCGATGGATGACAGAATTGGGCTTTTAAATAAATGGGGCTGAAAATAGGGTATTCATAGAGCACATCAAATTGAATTCCTGTTTCTATCTCAGACCCAAAAACCAATTCCCAGAGGATGTAAGACTAGCTGAGAAGGTAAAACTCCCCTGCTCTAACTGAATTCCTGTTTCTATCTCATACCCAAAAACCAACTCCAGGAGGGTGGAAGACCAGCTAAGAAGGTACCACTCCCCCGCTCTTAGAGAAGGATGCAGGGAGGTAACTCCATAAGCTCTGGGAGGAAGCAGGACATAAAAGCTCTAGGCAGAGAGGAAGACGGGAGGGCACACTGCACACATGAAATCAGGAACTCAGTTCTCCCAAAGACACCAGGTAGAACTTGATGAACAAGAAATATCAAAAAATATCAAAAAATAAAATAAAATATATTTTTAAAAAAGACACCAGGAAGGGAGAAGAGGAGCCTGGAACTGGGAGAGGGCAGCTGTACCCCACAGAGCTGGAGATCGACGTCCAGAACATGAAGGCAAAGCTGGCGACAGCTGGAACAGGCCCCGGCAGAGAGGAGCCTTCCCAGGAGCCAGAGGGGTTGAAACCTGAGGCCAGGAGACAACACTTCCCTCCAGTGCACCACCCAGTGCAGCCGCAAGGGCTGGGAGCTCGCAAAGCCCGCGAGACACACAATCCAAAGGCCGGGCACCCACTCCTGACACTCGGGCCCTCACCCTGTTCCCCGCTCACCTGGATCTGGGTCTGCACTTGCTGGGCCCCGGCCAGTTTCTGGGCCTGGGAGATGGGTGTGGTAAGAAACTGGGTCTTAAGGGCCGGCTGCGCGGCGTAGGCAACCTTCTGCTGCGCGCCAGGGGTGGTGATCTGCTGTGCGGTGATCTGGGGAGAGACTGCGAAATTAGGGCCGCAGAGACCATGCCGCGCTCAAGACTCCCGGGACGCCTGCCCGCTCTGGGCCCTATGGCAGAACCCAGCCCCTTTCCAGCCTACCTCCCAGACCAACCCTGTGCATACCCACATCTCCTGCCCCCTGTCCCATCCCTGCCGCTGCCTCCAGGCCTACCTCTGCCCATGCGGCATGGCCGCCAGCTTCTCCTCCAGGAGGCCTGGCCGTTGCCTGCAGCCCACCCCACCCGGGACACTGCTCCCTGAATAGTCGGGCTGGTGGGGCACCCTGACACCCTTGTCACACCTGCACGGGGCTGCTACTTAGGTGACTGAAAGCGATCACAATCTCTCAAATCCAATGTAAAAACTTGGCAGACATAAAGAAAATATTTAGTACACGGGGTAACAAACTGGTATGCACCATTTTTGCAGATCATATTGTGTACATCTGACGTTTACGTATCTGCTTTATCAGCCATGCTTATGGGTAAATAGGGGTTTTTAACATCTAAGGATGTTTTGTCCAATCGTAGGAACACACAGCCCAGCACTTCAGCTGCAGCCCTCCACTGCTCCCTCAAGCACAGCTCAAGCCTGAGGGACCACACCCACCTGTGCATCAGCATGGCCACGTCTGCCCATGGACCACCATGACGCACCCAGGGACTGCTGACCAGGCCCAGGAGGTAAGTCCCAGCACTGTCTCCTTCTTCCAGAGGTAAATAAATGCAGGTGACCATCCCGACCCAAAGGACATGCACTTCCCTGCAGCGGTCGTGCCAAGTGGGGATGCAGGCTGGTCTTTGGAACCCGGCCACGGCGGAGCTGGTGGCACTACCCAGACACCCTGCGCCTCCCGGCTTTGTGTCCCCTCAGTGCTCACTCCCTCTCCCTCTGGGTTCCAAAGGACAGCTCTGCTTCCAGCTCCCCACAGAGCATGCCATTGCTGCACACCAGCAGGGCTTCACCCATAGGGCCCCTGGGCACTGGTCTTCTGCAGGAGGTAGCAGCGGCTCACAGCACAGCCAGTGTCCAGGTGGTGTGGCACAAAGAACCCTGGGCCTGCTGGAGTCAGCCAGCTGCCTTTTACTGGCCCTGTGATCTGGGCAAGTCCTTTTCTCTGAGCCTCAGTTTCCTCAAGACAACATCCTCCGTCTTGAGGATAAGCACCAGGTGCCTGCAGGGGTCCAGCACAGCGCTCAGGGAACAGGGCAGCTCCCCACACAGCCATGTGGCTTCCCATCAGAGCCCGCCTTCTAGCTCTAGCCAGACAGCAGTGCCAACAGAACGTGGGGTCTGAGGGCCCACACCAGCCATCCGAAGCCCGGGACTTGGGCTGGGTGCCACCGATGAGCCACCACGAGCAGAAGTCCCTGGAGGCAGAGCTGTCTCACCACCGTGTCCCCCTCACGTCCTTCAACACAGCACTGGCTGCTGAGAGGCACAGGTATCGTCTCAGGGAGCTGGCTGAGACTGTAGACGCCCTTGGAGCCCAGTGCCCTGCTGCGCCCCCATCCACGTCGGGCCCTGGCGTGTTTATCTCCCCTTTCACCACCAACATGCACAGAGGCCACATTCCCTGTCTGGGGTCCAGACTGTACGGCATCCCTGTCCTCCAGCAGGAGTCCAGGCGGGTCCTGTGGTGTGAGCTGCGTCTGCTTCCCTGAGCCCACTGGCCCCCATCATGCAATTGCACCCCCTGTGTCTGTCCCAATGCCATGCAGGCTTCTTACCTGGCACCCAGCCATCCTCACAGACTATACCCCCTCCATCCCCCTGCCAAGACCTCAGCCTCACTTGTCACATCACACACAGCATTCACCTTTTAAAGGAAGGAAAAACCAACAGGGATGACCACACTAGCACCTCCAGCCCTTGAAGCCACCCTCTGAAAAGCGTGAGCCGCCACATGGGGATTTGTCTGCTTAGGACCCTCTCCTCCAGCAGCCAGCTTTGGCTTGGCATAGACCCAGAAGTGAGAATCCCCTAGCCCCGGTACCTTCTGCTGGACGGCTGCCGGGCCCTGTGCAGCCTGGGGCTGGATGGCCTTCTGCTGCTGGACGGCCTGCTGCTTCAGCTTCAGCAGCTGCTGCATGTGCACGGGCTGGGCCACCACGGTCTGTCCTGCAGGCAGCAAAAGCCCCTTAGTCAGCACACTGGGAAAAGAGCTTGAGGCTCACGCCAAGCTCTGTTCCAACTGACTCACCTCTACAGAAAATAACAAACTATGAAACTCTATGGAGACAAGTAAGCCATCCCTTAACTACATTAAAATGTTTCTGGGTTCACAAATTACACTTAAATTAAGACGGAAATTTCAGAATGTTAACAGTTCAATTGAGGACCCAGCCTTGCGCCTGGAAAGCGCCAAGGCACGTTTGTGCTAGAACACGTGATGGCACGCTCAAGTGGGTGGGTGTGAGGAAAGAACACGGGTCGCTGGCGACCACTGCCACCAGAGAGGCCTGTGAAACCAGGCTCAAGCCCAGGACGGGAGGGTGTGCTGGGGCGGGCACCTGCTGCCTTCTGTGGCTGACCGATCGCCACGCTGATCCCCGCGACGTTCATGGGCAGGGTGGTGACTCCCGGTGAGGAGACCACAGCTGCCGGGACGGACACCACCGGAGGCTTCGCCAAGGCCACCTGGGCTGGCTGGGGTGCCTGGGTCTGCATCTGCCCTTGCGCCTGCAGCTGAGAAGTGGGAACCCGGGTCTAAACAGTAGAAATAATGGGAGAGTCCAGAGAAATTCAGGACACGGTATGTCTTTCCAAATACTTCTCCACAAGAGGTCATGCCATGAGAAAATTTACAAAGATCAACAAAGTTTAAAGTGGCCCAACAGGAAAGGAAAACTGAGAGATCTGCACGCCGCAGGGAAATGTCAAGTCACAGGTCAGCCCGCGCTTCTGAAGCTCCCGCAAGACCTGCAGGCTCATCACACATGCTGCTGCGTTCAGATGTCAGTGATCTCACGGGACATCACCTTCACTTCCCTCCATCTCCTGAACCAGTAACCGCATCCTGTCCCGTTTTTCCCACAGAAGGCTTTTCACTTCCTGTTCCTTCAGCGAGCACTCGACATCAGCCTGTCCCTCACTTCAAAATGACTGCCTCAGCCTCCCGTCCCGCATTTTCTCTTAAGTTACCATTTAAAAAATGGTAAATGGAAGTACTTCCATTTTTGTATGTATAGAGACTAAGATTACATAAGAAAATACAAAGTAAAAATTACCCACACTCCTCAAACTACTCATATCTGAATATTAAAACTGGTATTTAGCCTTCAGCCACTGTTCATATCTGTGTGGCTCACCGTGAAAGTGTGCAAAAATGACATGAATTATAAATATTTTGAAATCTGTTTCTCTTCTCTTTACAAAAAACCACTTTCAAAATTGCTTAATATTCCATTGTTTGGATGATACATCATTTACTTAATGAAATTCTTAGTAATGGACATTTAATTTCCTCTAACACTCATGAAGCAAACAAGCTTGTACATTCATCACTTTGTAAATGTTCAGTTATCTCTGCAGGACATAAGGGGGTGTTTAGTTAAATAAGCGTGCACATTTTCATAGCGTAATTACCAAAATCCTCTCCAAAAAGAGGCCACTGATTCCTGTCCAACAAGAACCCGGTACCCTGGCTACCACTAGGTGTTACCACCCTTCTCAGTGAATTTGCATTTTTGTGAACATGAATGAAACCAAGCACCCTTCTGTAGTTTTTTATCCACTTCTACTCACTCTGCTGTGGAGGGCTAGCCCCTCCCAGGGAAGACCCAAAGTGGGGGTCCAGCACCCACACAGCTTAGCCTGAGCACCTGGGTCCCCAAATCCTAGCTTGAGTTGCAGCTGATTGGTTGTGGGATTTGGGTGGGAACTTAGCCTACATGCCTCAGTTTCTTAACCTGTAAAATGGAATTAATAGTAAGACCCTTATCCCTGCCTGGGGCAGTCCATGAGCACTGGGCCAGGTGAAAGACACAAGAGAACGAAGGGCAAAGTCTAGCTCAGGGTGAGCCTCCAACAGGGCAGCTGTCACCAGTACCCCTAGCTGAGCTCTAGTCACGGTGCAGTGACGCTGCCTGCCCCGGGACGCTGGCACCTGCTGAGAGCCAGTCTTCCCAGACAGCACTTGCGCCTGATGCTAGTCCCTTCTGAAATCTCCAAATGCTCTCCCTGCCTACAGCGGTCACCTGAGAGCAGCTTCAGAGACCGCCACCTGCCCATGCCTACGGCTTACATGCACAGCGCCCTCTGCTCCAGCCACACAGGCCTTGGTCCCTGCAGGGTCCCTCAGCAGCACAGGGAAGCCACGCAGGCTGCATCTCACCTCGCTCACTCTCCACCCCCCTCAATTCAAGCCCTGAGAAGCTTGGTGATGCCTGGATGGGCTCTGGGAGCTGCTGCTGTGTTAATGTTCCACGAGTGGTGAGTCCCGTCCTCTGTCCAAGGGGTACTAAGTTCTCGGGGAAAAGAACCCGTCTCACACTCACTCCTGTAACACGTGACACGCACCTGAGCAAGCGCAACAGCTGTGTTAAAACATAAAAAGATGCTGCTTTTGGAAAACAAACAGAAACTGACACTTACGAGCCGGGCCACCTGGAGGTTGGCCACGGTGGTGCCCGTCAGCAGGGCACCAGGCCTTGGGGCCGTGACCGTCGTGAGCTGGGGGCTCTGCTGCTGCGGCGGCTGCGAGGTCTGCACTTGCACTTGGGCTGTTGGCTGCGGGGGCGCAGACTGGGCCTGTGGCGGTGGGGGCTGCGGGGGCATCTGCAGTTTCTGCTTCTGCATTTTGATGAGGTGTTCCTAAAATACAAGCAAAGTATCTTCTCTTCAACATTAACTGTGCTCCATTCTTTAAGTAGACATCTTGTTCCTAAGCCACCCCTCTACTGCCCATTAAATACCAAAGCAGACACCTGCTACCGTGCAGCATCCAGACCGCCTTCCATGGGCTGCCCAGTATCTTCCAGGTGTTCATTTATTAAAAATGTGCATTCGTCGGTGAAAACTACAAACACGGATTCTGACTGATAAGTTCATAGCAAAAAGAATTCTATTATCCTCACAAACAAGTCGATTTAAATCTGTAGCACCAACCAAACTTATTTGAAGTTCAAAAAACATTTTAAGAAAAAATTTTTTAAGAAAACCTATACTGAGTTGATCATGACTATCAAGTCTCTTTTGAAATGCTGGAAGTGAACTGGTTTTGAAATGGATTTGGGAGAGGGCAGAGTGAGGAACGAAGGAGACAGGCAAACAGCTGGCACACAGAGCTCCTGGCAGCCAAGGCTGGGTGGCAGCCTTGATGTTGACGGCACTGGTGTCTCAGTGGTTGAACCGGGGCAGGTGACAAGGCACCTGTGTGGCTGTAGGCCGGGGGGTCATCAGTGGTTGAACCGGGGCAGGTGACAAGGCACCTGTGTGGCTGTGGGCCGGGGGGGGGTCATCAGTGGTTGAACCGGGGCAGGTGACAAGGTACCTGTGTGGCTGTGGGCCGGGGGGGTCAAAGCCCGGCTCTGACTCCCTGACAGTTGCCTCTGCTGGGCCTGGGACTCTTGAGCACAGCATTCTAATTCAGCACTGTCCAGTGGCACGTCCCGCAGGATACAAGTGGGCTAGGCGGGGGCTGCCCAGGGTGGTAGCCACAGCCACATATGGCCATGCAGCCCTCGAGGGATGGCTGGTGTGACAGGAACAGGATAAGCTCAATGTCTAAATTCCACCGACAGCCCTCCCGACAGCCCCAGGAGGGGCCCTCAGCTGAGTGTGCGTCTCCTGCAGCCCACTTCCTCCCTTCCAGACCACGGAGAGGCCCAGACTCAAGCACTCCGGCAGGCCCAACAGTGAGCTGAAACTTCAAAATATTGTCTTGTCTTTATTCCGTATGTGTCTCTGGTTACTTTCTATGACAAGTATTAATGATTTTTCATTTATGGTAGGACATAACATTTCCTTTTTTTTTCCTTTGAGACACAGTCTTGTTCTGTTGCCCAGGCTGGAGTGCAGTGGCACAATCTCGGCTCACTGCAACCTCTGCCTTCCAGGTTCAAGCGATTCTTGGGCCTCAGCTGGGATTACAGGCACCCGCCACCACGTCCGGCTAATTTTTGTATTTCTAGTAGAGACGGGGATTTGCCATGTTGACCAGGCTGGTCTCGAACTCCTGACCTTAAATGCTCTGCCCGCCTTGGCCTCCCAAAGTGCTGGGATTATAGGCGTGAGCCACTGTGTCCGGCCCAACATTTCCTTTGAAAATGAATATATTTACATAAAGAACAGCAAAGCTGGTACAGAGGTTAGCAAAAATCAGGTACATCAGTACTCCAATGACCACCTTTGAGAAACAGTACCGCACGTGAACCACATCGAAACAAACCCAGGGTCCATCGCCTGCTCTCCCAACACTGCTGAGGAATATCTTCTCACCAGCACTTTCTCTGGTCCAGAACCACACCAAGCGGGCCTAGAGACTGATGCTGAACACAAGGCACAAGACGCCTAAGCAAGAAGACGCATTTGCACGCTGGGTGTTAATGTCTCCAAAGTGCTCTGAATAAGCTGTAAGACTTCTCTAAGGCATGATCAAAGTGTTATGACATGGGAAATTTTAGACCAATAAAACGAAGCACGCGTCCTACATAAAGGCAGTGCTAGACGTTTGCAAAATACACTCTGGACTGCACCATGCAAGCAGGCACCGTCTCACAGACGCTGGGCTGACTGACCGCAAGACGCACACGTTCATGGTCCTCTGGGAAATGCTCACCGGCGTCAGCTTGCCCACAGCTTTGATCTGTGCTGGGGACTGGGCCTGGCCCTGGATCTGTGGAACTTGCACCTGAGAGGTCGTCGTCGTCTGTTGCTGCTGCTGCTGTTGCTGCTGCTGCTGCTGCTGCTGCTGCTGCTGCTGCTGCTGCTGTTGTTGCTGCTGCTGCTGCTGCTGCCTGAGAAGCTGGAAATGTGCAGGTGTGATGGTTTTTCCAGGGAGCTGAACTCCTGTGGCTATGAAGAGGTTTGCTCATTAGGTCTGGACAGGGATACTCGCCCACCTTCAGATCCTCATTCTCAGACAGCAAGCAGCAGCTGAGCCCTCACACGCGCCAGAGCAGACGTGTGGCAGAGAAAGCTCCCAGCCTGGCTTTACCTTGGGACACTTGGGGCACCAAAGACCGTGCCGGGGTCTGCACTGGGGTCAGGTTGGTAGTGACCACGGCCGAGGCTGTCACAGAAGTGACCGCTCGAACACCCTGAGTCGTTGCCATGGACACCAGGTCAGGGGTCGCCGTGGCTGGGGAGCCGACTGCCCGTGGCGGGGGCTGGGTGTGCACCACCTGGGCGGGAGCAGAGCCTCCCGGCGTCTAGAAAAGGCAAACAGAGGACCTCATCAAATATTTCACACAGCACTCAGGGCTGTTCACACTCAGAGCAGGGAAGACAAGAGCACCCAACTTCAGAGGCGAAACAAGTGAAACACACGCTAGAGTTCAGTCTTTTGAAAACTGCTGATTTCATGTGTAAATTCACAAGCAAGTGCCCTGAGCAATGGTTTCTCCCAGCAGATCACATCACCCACAGAAACACGCTTCAGATGGCGGCACGCCCGTGCACATGCTGGAAAGGCCGTCCTGTCCCTCCCTCTCCGCACAAAGACCTCTTGGTCCCCAGGAACGTAACGACTGTCCTTGAGGCACCCATGCTACCCACAAACACACAGCCCACAGTCCTGGCTCTCTACCACTGTCCCCATCTGTGCTGAAACTACAGCCCTGAGTGTCTCACCATGTGCGTGGGGTCTTGTGGCATCTTACCTTCATCTTGCCTAAAATTCAGAGCATCCTCACTGTGCCCTGCAGTCCACTCTGGCCCGCAGGCAGAAGTGGCAGCCAGAGTGGTCCCCTCACCCTATCCCACCTTGCCTCACCGTCCTTCCTTGTCCCACCATAAACTGGAAGGCAAACGCAATCATGCCACCTCTGCAGTGTCCCTCCAGCTGACCTCTGCCAGCTCCCTTGGTTCCGAAGTGCAGTGTATTTTTAGTTTCTCTTGATCCTTTTATGTCTCATTGCTTACGCATTTGGATGGAAATCTAGCGTGTTACTCCATGTTTTCCATTCCACCCAGCTGCTGTATGTTTCTTTTCATCTCCTTCCTTGCCTCCTCTCAGATGACTCTTTCCTCACCAATGTCCCTGCCACAGTTGGGAGCAACTCGCTCTGCTCTCATTCTTCTGGTGGCTGGTCTGGAATTACCACGGATGCTTGCCAAAGTCTAAATACTCCATGCTTTTCCTAAACAGTAACGAGATCTGTGCACATTTCAGCCCCTCTGCCCCTTCCCCAGCTTGCATGTTATTGTCCTGTGTATTTATTTCCTCTTTCTAACCCCAGTGAGCTCCTGCGTTCATCCATGAGTCTACCTTGTTACCACTTCCAGCTGGGAACACCTTTCTTCTGCTTAAAGCATATCATTCAGTGAAGGTCCAAAGTTGAAAATGTCTTTATTTTGCCCTTGTTTTTTTTTGTTTTGTTTTGTTTTTTGTTTTTTTTTTTTTTTGAGACGGAGTCTTGCTCTCGTTGCCCAGGCTGCACTGCAATGGCGCAATCTTGGCTCACCGCAACCTCTGCCTCCCAGGTTCAAGCAATTCTCCTGCCTCAGCCTCCTGAATAGCTGGCATTACAGGCATGTGCCACCACGCCCAGCTAATTTTGTAATTTTGGTAGAGATGGGGTTTCTCCATGTTGGTCAGGCTGGTCTGGAACTCCCAACCTCAGATCTGCCCGCCTCGGCCTCCCAAAGTGCTGGGATTATAGGTGTGGGCCACCACACCCGGCCTCCCTTGTTCTTTAAGATATCTCCAAGAGATGCAGAGCCCTAGGCTGGCAGCAACTTTCTTTCCCTGGCACGACAACGACCCCCGCTGGCTCCCGGCCTCACTGCTGCTGCTGACAAGTGAGCCGCTCCACCTCTGAAGGCAATCTGTCTTTTCCTATGGCTGCTTGAAAGACCTCTTGGTCACTAGCATTATGCAGACGTGGTTCCTTTTTCTCATCCTTGACTGGGATTAGACTTTCTACATATACGCATCAGTGTCATTAGTAAGTTCTCAAAAACTATTCTGTCTTCAAATATTGACTCTGCTCAATTTTCTGTCTGATAGTCAGTGACTACCTATCAGGCCCTGTCACCATGTCCTCCATGTGTCATCTTGTCATCCCATGTTGTGTGTAGGATGTCTTCTGATTTTTGCCTCCACTTCCCTCATTTTCTCCTCAATTGTGTGATATTAAGCCCATTCTTAAGTTTGGGTTGTTTCCCCCAGTTTTGGTAATCAGACTTTTCTAAAAGTTCTCTATATACTTTCTAAACATAGTTTCCTGCTTACAGATATTCAGATACTCTCAATCTTCTATTTCCTTAAAATAGAAAGCATAACTTTTTTTTTTTTTTAACGGAGTCTCGCTCTGTCACCCAGGCTGGAGAGCAATGGTGTGATCTTGGCTCACTGCAACCTCCGCCTCCCGGGTTCAAGCAATTCTCCTGCCTCAGCCTCCCGAGTAGCTGGGACTACACACGCGTGCCACCACACCTGGCTGATTTTTTTTTTTTTGTATTTTCTGTAGACACGGGGTTTCACCGTGTTAGCCAGAATGGTCTCTTATCTCCTGACCTCGTGATCCGCCCGCCTTGGCCTCCCAAGATGCTGGGATTACAGGCGTTGAGACACCACGCCCAGCCTGAAAGCCTAACCTTTAAAATCTAAACCTGATAATCCCAATATCGCACATCTTTACAGGCCTATCCAGTGTCTGTCATTCCGCTGATTCTCACTCATAATGCCTTCTCTTCTCTGTTTAGTTATTTTGTATTCTATTGTATTGTACTGTATTATACTAGAAAACTATTTGTGGAGATTCTCAGAAGTCAAGAAAGCACAATCCTCCAGAGAGAATCTGCATTTGCTCCAGGTCAGCTGCCCAGGAACATGCCCACTGAAGCAGGTAGACTTCACTTGATGTGAGGGAGTGCGGGAGACACTTTTAAGGTAATATCGACTTGAGCTGCAAACTACCCTGTGGTTTCAACCTCTCGGGGGCCGTCCCCACCATGCTCCACTACTCAATCCAAGGGCTACTCTTCTTTTGACCCCTGAAGGCCAAGGGCAGATGGATTCTGCTTCTGGTTCACTCCTGCTCTAAAGGTTTAGCCACCTGGGGCCCTACCTCGGTGTATCAATAGTTTCCTTTTTAGATTCTCCACCTTGGCCCAGCCTTGGACTTGAATTCAAGTTCCCTCATTCCACAAGCTGAAATTTATTTTCAAGGCAAACATGACTTCAGTGAATCCTATTTCTTTCTCTGAGTTTCTTCCCTCCCTTAGATTTGGGCCTGATAATTAATTATTCTTGTCAATTCCTTGAAGCTTTAAAAATTTTTATCCAATAACTTCAGTTCTTTTCATTAAGAGGTGGTATAAAAATAACTTAACTCATCTTGTTACCAGAAACAGAAGTCATCCTTTTCTGGACTCCTTAAACAGTTTTCGCATCCCAACTATTCAGGAAGCTGAGGTGGGAGGATTGCTTCAGCCTGTGAGTGTGAGGCTGCAGTGAGCTGTGATTGTACCCCTGCACTCCAGCCAGAGCAACAGCAAGATGCTGTCGCAAAAAAAAAAAAAAAGGAAGAAATCGTTTTTCTCCTTAGCCTCTTCTACTCTAATCAATTCTACATACGTAGGAGCACGTTAATTTTCCTAGAACTTCTCTCTGCTCTAAGACCGTTAAGGGCTCCCCACTGCCTGGTGAATAAAATCCATAGTCTAGGCTGGGCGCGGTGGCTCACGCCTGTAACCCCAGCACTTTGGGAGGCTGAGGTGGGTGGATCACGAGATCAGGAGTTCAAGACCAGCCAGGCCAAGATGGTGAAACCCCGTCTCTACCAAAAATACAAAAATTAGCCAGGTACGGTGGCGGGCACCTGTAATCCCAGCTACTCAGGAGGCTGAGGCAGAATAACCTGAACCCAGGAGGCGGAGGTTGCAGTGAGCCGAGATCGCACCACTGCACTTTAGCCTGGGTGACAGGGAGAGACTCTGTCTCAAAAAAAAAAAAAAAAAAATCCAATCTTTAGCCCAATATCCAAAGCCCAGTACAATCTAGCCTCAATATTACAAAGTGCCAAGCACACAGAAGCCACTCAATAAAAACTTTTTAAAGGCAGGGAACCACTGTTTCTCTGTTAATATCTTTTGTGTTCCATTCAAACAGAACAACATGCCATTCTCCATGCACGCCATTCCCTTCCCCTCAGACCCTCCGCTCACAAGACTGGCCCTGCATTCAGAAGGGCCAGTTCTGTGGATGACGTACTTCCTGTCCTCCTGAAGCCCAACATCACTTTCTCCTGAAAGCCTTCTCTGAGTCCCCCGAGTACAATCACACATGTCCACCACTGCTATCTGCACCTCTCTCATGTTCCAGCCACAGCACTACAAGGCCCCCATGAAAGCACACTGTGTCTTGGGCCCACAGTGCCAGGAAGAATGTCTTGTCCATTAAGAGCCACTCAAAAATATGTCGTGAATGAAATGCTTTACATTTTAAAATACCACAAAGAACAGGTCTTTTTCAAAATAAAACGCTAAATGCAGTGATTCTGGCTTGGTACCCTCATAGAAACAGTGGTATTGGTCATACGGGATGTTCCAAACGCCTCAGGCCTAACAGCTTCTGCTATCTACTGCAGTGACAGAGCCTGAAGTTGTTTACTGCAAAGCAGAAAGAAAAGTGAAATAATCTTAAAGTCACATACTAGAAAAACTGTGTGTATATATATTCTACTGCTTAAGAGTGTTTTAGAGGGATTTATTGAAGGGTAATTTACAGAGTACAATATATGGTTCTACGAATTCTGACGGACACATTATCATCACGTAGCTACTGCCATGACCCCACCACTCCCAACGTTCTCGAATTCCTCTCCGTAGTGGAGCCCCTCCCGCATCTGGCAATCATTCATCTGTTTTCTGTTATTGAAACGGAGTCATACAGCATATGAAGCTTTCTGAAACTGTTCACTTAGCTGCAAAATGCATCTGAGAGTCCTCCATGGAGATGTATGTCTCGGGCATTCATTCTTTTGTATTGCTTGGTAGGACTGGGCTGTATGAATGTACCATGGTTTATCAGCCCATTCACCAGCTGAAGGGCATTTAGGCTGTTTTCTTTTTGAGCAATCCTGAATAAAGCCACTATAAACATTGGTGTTGAGGGTTCTTGTTCTGGCGTTTTCACTTCTCTTGGGGAAGTACCTAGCAGCAGAACTGCGAAGCTGCATGGTAAGAGTAGGCTTGGTTTTATAAGAAACTGTTTTAGGAAGCGACTGTGGACTCTGCATTCCCACAACCTTGTGAGAGGGTCCTCGCTGCTTCCATGACTGCCAGCCTTCTGTTTCTGAAGCCACTCTCCCAGGCACATGGTGGTGTATCACTGTGGTTGTAAAAATCTGCATTCCCCTGATGACTCATGGCGTTGCACACCTTTTCAGGTATTTATCTGTTATTCTTCTAGCTTCTTGGTGAAGTGACTGCTGCATCTTCTGCCCATTTTATACAGTTGCTTGTTTTCTTACTACTGAGTTGAAGAATCTTTATATTTTCTCCCAGTCTATGCTTTTCGTTTTCTTACTATTTCTCAAGGAGCAGAAGTCCTTAATTTTGATGACGCCTAACGTATTAACTTTTCTTCAGGATTCACAGGCTTCTGGTATCCTAAGAAATCTCTGCCTAAACCAAAGTAGCACAGATTTTCTCCTAGAAATGCTACTGTTTTGGCTTACAGTGTAGTTTTTGCTTTTACATGCAGGCCTGTGATCCACCTGGAGTGCCTTTCATACTCCGTGTGAGTTACGGGCCAAGGCTCATTGTTTTGCACATGGCTGCCCAACTGTTACAGCACCGTTTGCTGACAAGACAGTCTGTTCACCACTGAATTCCCTTGGCACTTTTACTGAGGTCAACTGAAAATGTGTGTGTGTGTGTGTGTGTGCGTGTGTTGTGTTGGGGAGGGGTCTATTTCTGGACTCTCTATCCAATTCCATCATCTACACATCTATCCTGCCAATGCTCCATCATCTAGGCTACTACAGCAACGACATCTTCACAGGAAAGATGCTTTTCAAAACCCAAGAGAGACTACATTCTACTTGCCAAAGCACTGACTTTGAAGCATCGTTTCTTCTCATTCAGGGTATGTTGCCCCTGGGTCTGTGAACTATTTGGAAAATCGAGATACAAATCTGAGCTCCTTATTCTCACTTGTGTTTGGTTCTGATGATGAAACACCCAAGAGAAGCAGGTGGTCCCAGGGCACCACATGGCTCTGCACCTTTGCCTAGGTGCCTCCTCTCCACCTGGGTGGGCTGCACCTACCGCTTCCCACACCTGGGGTCTCCACGTTCCGTAGAAACTGCCCGCTCCTCCCATGCCCACCTGCTCCTTGCACACACCCAGCCATGCCCTCGTGTGATGCCGTGTCCCCTCCCCCAAAACCACGCCCCCAAGAGGGCTGTCATCTCTTAGCTTCCCCACATGGGCACAGTGACAAGCACATGGGGGGCACCTGCGGCAATAGAATCAGCAGCGGACCCTCACATCCCGCCTACCTCCTATCTAAAATCATCCTACAGGGAGGGGACAGTTCACACACACACACACACATACCCTCCTACACTTCACACACACACCCCTACACTTCACACACACACACACCCCTACACTTCACACACGCCCCCCTACACCTCACACACATACCCCTACACCTCACACACACCCCTACACCTCACACACACAACCCCTACACCTCACACACACCCCTATACCACACATACCCCTACACCTCACACACACCCCTACACCTCACACACACAACCCCTACACCTCACACACACCCCTACACCTCACACACACACACCTACACCTCACACACACCCCTACACCTCACACACACACACACACACCCCTACACCACACACACACACACATACCCCACCTCATTTTCATCCCTCATACAGAATGGAAACCATCCCCTAAACAGCTGAATGTTTCTGAAATCAACATACTGATCAGCTACTTATTTTATGAAATTCAAACTAGACAGTTTTTCACCAATGGAATACTTAAAAAGAAGAAGAAGAATTAACAGACAAGCAAATAATTTCGGCAGAATGCAGTCAAGGTGCACAACCCAGGTGAAGCGCAACTCACAGTCAAGGCCCCAGGAGCCACTGGCGACGCCAGGCGCTTGTTGATGGACTGGAAGGTGGCAGCTGGGACCCCTGCGATGGTGTTCACGATCACATTTCCACTCACGGCACCTGCGGAGACAGGCGGGCATAAGGCAACAGCGCCAGGAGAAATGGGGTCCACATTTCAGCATCTCTGTATTTGTCTTACCAGTGGGCATGCTCGTCCCAGTAACTGATGTTTTAATGGTTCCTGCCTATTTAAAAAAAAAAAATCCATTTGAATTTCACGTCAGGCTCTCCCCTGCATAAATCCTCCAAAGGCTTCCACTTCATTCAGAATCAAATCCAAACTCCACGACATTCACACAGCCACCTGTCCCATCCTCCCCAGCTCATTCCACCTGGCGGTGCCCCCACCCTCTGTCTACCTGCTGTCCCTCCACCCCTATCCCATTGTCCCTCCACCCCAGGGACCCTCCATCCCACTGTCCCTCCACCCTCACCCCACTGTCCCTCCACTCCTCCGTCCCTCCACTCCATTCATCCACCCTCTGTCCCTCACCACCTGAGTCCAGCCACACTGAGCTTTCTGGCCCCCATATCAGCCAAGCTCAGGGCCTCTGTACTTGCTGTTTTGTTCTTCTTATGACCAACTCCTTGTCATTCAGGCCTTAGCTCAAATGCCAAGTCCTCAGAAAGGTGTTTCCTAACAAGCCAGTCCTGCATTGTGCCACCCTGACTCCTCCCGCCAGCATTTAAAATGATCCCTTTGGCTGCCTCCCTCCCCTGTAGGACGTGGCTCCAGAATGTGGGCACTGCCCATCTTGCCCACCTTGCACCAAGTAAGTATTCACAAAGATCCCTTTTGAATAAATGAGGAATGAAGTTGCCTGAGTACATATAAAAATTCCACTACAGCAAACAATTTTCTAAAAACTACTGCAGGAAATGGTTCTATGTAACAAAAATATTTTTATGCCTGCCTGGTAGTCCAAAGTGTGGGTTTCCCCAATTTGGCACAGCTCCTATTCTCTGCAGGTGTGATTCTGCGCATATGATTTCAGCGTCTGTGTGGCACACGGACGCACACAGTACAGAGATACACCAGAGCGTGGTGTGCATGGCCACAGTCCGCAGCTCCGCACCCTGCCTTTCTTTTCACAATGCTTCTTGTGTGCTTTACAGCTTTTCTACAACAGGCATTAAAGACTGACCTGTGTGGGGGAGCACACATGGGCATGCTTTGAGACACCGACACAGGCAGTACCTGCTCTCTAAGTGTGTAGGAAGTCAGGAAGTGAATGCGTCACAGGTATGTTTTACAAAACCCAGGCAATTACAAACTTCCCAACCACCTCCACTAAAAGGAGCTGCCTCTACCTGCCAAATCCAATAAAGCCACTAAGCCCACAAAAGCCCTGGAGGAGAGAAATGGCAGAATCCAGGTGAAAACACACAATTCCTCTGGGATGAGACTAAGCCTTTTCCCATTTCTTCAGAGGAAGGTCTACAAGCTGGAAATGTGCTAGAACTGGCAACAAGTCTTCGTTTCAACAGAAAGCACTTGAATCAAGTGCAGGTGTGGGTGACTTCCCGTAGAGGGGAAGCCCGGGAGGAGGCCCCTGCTCACCAGTACGGCTGCACTGCCCCCCGTCGTGATTGCGGGCTGCGCCTTCGCTGGGGCCTGCACAGGCTGTGGCTGGGTCTGGGGCTGTGGCTGGGGTTGGGGCTGGACAGCTGGTGGCCCTGCTGGCGGCTGGCTGCCCGCTGCCTGTGGTTGTGGCAGCGGTGGCGGTGGCTGCTGCGGGGGTGGTGGGGGCTGCGGCTGGGGCGGGGGTGGCTGGGCCACGGCCGGCTGCTGTGCCTTCTGCTGATCAGCCAGAGCCTGAGGGGCCAGGAAGGAAGAGGAGCCACTGGAGGGGCAGACTCGGCCTGCATACCCCCTGGATGAAGTCACAGTCACCACATTTTCCCACTCAAGCAGAAGGGCCCAGGGCGCTGACCTTTTTCTCTTTTGCGATTCGCTCTGCACGGAGAGATGCCACCTGGATGGGAGGCAGCGGCTTGTCATAGTTGATTCCACTGAAAGACAGACGCAAAGGTTAAAAACATACAGGCAAGTTTTAAGACAGACAAGTACCACGTACCCTAGAAACACCATGCTGCCAGGTGCTGGGGCAGCTCCAGCCCAAGAGATGAGGGCGTAAAGCAAGGTGCCCAATGTGCCCTGCAGGAGATCGAGCCACCTAGACCTCATCCTCAGCCTGGCGCTGAGTCCTCTTCCTTGAGGCCGAGCTCTCCCACTCTCCAGGAAAAGTATCTCCGAACACGTCCCCAGCGTACTTGTGGCAGCCCCCAAACGCACAGCCCACCTCATGTGTCTGCACTGTACTTGGGAAAATCTCTGTCTGTTCCTTCTGTGAGGATGCCCTCGAGTTCCTCTCCAGGGAGGTAAAGGGAGGGCGGGACTGTGCCTCTCTCGCTCCCCCGAGAATGCCCAGGCTCCACGCCGCGCAGGCCCGCGGTCCATAAATATTAGTAGGGTGAATTAACTCTTCATTTAATCGACAACATCAATCAAATGATGGGTCTGTGCTCCCAGACGCTAGAGTCCCAGCGATCACAGCACTCACATCAGACGACAAACAGGTAAAATGTGCAGTGGGTCTGAAGACGTACTGGCTGCTATGGAGGAAAACAGCAGGGCGGGGCTGCAATTCTCAACAGTGCGCTCTGAAAACATCTCACGAGGGCAGTTAAGTGAAGGGCTGGGGCGCGGCTGCCAGCACACTCAGGGAGCACCAAGGGGCTGAAAGCCAGGGCCAGGCGACTCAGAGCGTGGGCAGTAGGGAGTCCTGGGGGTTTGCGGAGATGGGCCCTGAGCCAACTCCTTCTGACAAGGATCACTCCACTACTGTGCGGAAAGGGGGCCACAGAACGAGGAAGCCTCCCAAATCCGCCACTGTGTGACAACTGTGGGCGGCAAGCCACTCAGGTGCCGAGGCAAGAGACCAAGGACACGAGCTGTTCCAGTATAATAAAATATAAAACAAGAATAGTTATACCAGATATAGATCTTAGATATGATTATCTATGAATATCATTAATCATTAGTTGGTAGCAATTACTCTTTATTCCAATATTATAATAATCCTCGCTCTATAATCATAACCTAGGAAAAGCCAGGCCATACAGAGATAGGAGCTGAGAGGACACAGTGAGAAGTGACCAGAAGACAAGCGTGCAAGCCTTCTGTTATGCCCGGACAGGGCCACCAGAGGGCTCCTGGGTCTAGCGGTAACGCCAGCGTCTGGGAAGACACCCACTGCCAAGCGGACCGTGGTCTAGCAGTAGCATTAGTGTCAAGGAAAAACACCCACTACTTAGTGGACCGGGAAAGGGAGTCTCCCTTTCCCCAGGGGAGTTTAGAGAAAACTCTACTCCTCCACCTCTTGTGGAGGGCCTGACATTAGTCAGGCCCGCCCGCAGTTATCCGGAGGCCTAACCGTCTCCCTGTGATGCTGTGCTTCAGTGGTCACACTCCTAGTCTGCCTTCATGTTCCATCTTGTACACCTGGCTCTGCCGTTTAGTTAGCAGCAGCAAATTAGTGAAAGTACTAAAAGTCTCCGATAAGCAGAAATAATAATGTAAGATGTTTCTCTCCTTCTCTCTCTACCTCGGCTGCCAGGCAGGGAAGGGCCCCCTGTCCAGTGGCCATGTGATCCACGTGGCCTTACCTATCACTGGAGATGGCTCACACTCCTTGTCCTGCCTGAGTCTTGTATCCAATAAATATCAGTGCAGCCTGGCATTTGGGGCCACTACTGGTCTCCATGTCTTGGTAGTAGTGGTCCCCCAGTCCCAGCTGTCTTTTATCTCTGTCTTGTGTCTTTATTTCTACGCTCTCTCGTCTCCGCACACGGGGAGAAACCCACCGACCCTGTAGGGTTGGAGCCTACAGACAACAGTGCCTAAACCAGATGCACATCATTTCATCCCAGCAGACCTCCTTTCCAACATTTTATGGAAAGAGTCCGACAGTCAGAAACGCTACAGACACCCATGTGCCTGGCAGTAAGGTTCCACACTGGGGTTCCACCATCCATTACCCCATTTACTTTCTTGCATCTACCCACTTCTGTACCCATCCATTCATTCATTCCTCTTTTCCCCTGTATAACTTCAGGGCAGGTACACACACCCCTAAATGTGGTGTGTTCTTAAGATATGGCGAACAAAATCAGTGCCTGAGAGGTGGGGTGTGAGGAAGAAAGCCCCTTGTGGTTGGCCACATGGCCCTGGCACACTCATCACATCTGTCAGCGTCTTTCCCCACTGAGGGCCAGCAAGGACAATCCCTGTAACACAGAGACAGGGCAGGGGCCGTCCTATGCATACCCTAGCCCACGGCAGGAAAAGCACCTCTCTCCTGCAGGTTCTGCGCACTGCCACGTCCAGCTGATGCCTGAACACGCTAAGTGCACAACGATTTGCTGAACTCACTGAACTTAGATGACACTGGAATGAAATCCTTCCAAACAGTAACAAATGTGTCACGAATAGAGAAATACCTTTCTGCCAACACAGACGCGTGCTTGGGGTTCTTCTGAAAGGGATTCATGCCAAGCCTGAAGTATAGACAGTGAGACAGCAATTATTAAATAAAGGAAATATCTGAAGAAGGGTATGTTAAAAACACATCAAAACCAAGCTTCACGCAATCTACTCAGTCATAATGAACATAAAATGAGCACTCAGGAAACATACAGAGGTTTGATTGGGGGACTCCTCTTGCCAGCAGTCATTTTCATTAAGTCAAAGTGGCTCGTGTACAGCTGGGTGTGTGTGGCATTCTCATCCTGGGCATAGATCTGGCTCGTACGGAGAGGACGGTTGTTTTTACTCTGCAATGAAATTGACGAGAGTGCATCTGAATTAGGCAGCATGGACAGACGGCTGCGTGGGACACAGGGCTCACTGGGTGGGAATCTGAGGCTAAACTCCCCATGGCTGAACACAAACTTCCTTTTCCTGGGCCTTCTTTCCAAGTTCAGGCATAACCCAACAGCAGCGGCATTAAGTGGCTGTCGCGGCCGACTGCTGTGACACTCTCCAGTCCATGCTAATCCTTTCCAGGTGTTCTCTCACGTAAGCCCCATAATCACCCCAAGAGGGAGAGGGAACAAAACAGGTGTGCAAAGTGCCCAAGGTCACATGGCAGGTGACTGTGTGGAGCGGGCTGTGAGCCTTCACCCGCTAACACCAAGGGGCAGCGCGGACTGCCACGGACAACACTGTCATCTGCCCACGGTGGACAGTGAGGCTGGCGCATGCCCAGTGGTGTCTCAAAGTACATTCTTGGGGTCTCTAGCAGTGCTTATGGCTGGCAGTCTTTCCTTCATAAATGGCACAGCTAAACAATGGGCCACTCAATTGTGGGCTATGTGCTCCCAAGACATCTTAGAATCCTGCAGAATTTTAAAGCAACTCCTTATCCTGTGAAGTGAACAGCTGTCCCAGGAATGCTGTCTGTGCAAGGTCACAGAGGTAGCGACAAGTCAAGACCAGGGCTCAAGCACCTCCTTCCTCACCCAGGGCTCTTCCCCCATGCTCCTCTAAACCCTGGTCAAAGAGAGTGTGCCAAGGCGAAAACCAAGACTCTCACATGACACAGCAGCACAGGCCCAGGTATGGGTGTGTCTGTGCAGGTACATGTATACATGTCTGTGTGCACATGTGTCCTCCACTGCTAGAGGAATGCCTTAAATTCTGAAGGCAACACCAAGGACAACCAGAACTAGAAACCAACATGCAAGGCCACAGCAGTCTGCTTCCGGAACACTGTACCATACAGGGAAGCATTCTCCTCCTACCTATTATCCTAAGAGTAAGCAAAGGGAAGCAGGGAGAAGGGGTGCATAAGACTAATACCAGGCCTATCACACATGACACTGGATGGCTCAACTGAGCCAAGTCAGAGATGGAAAGACCGTGTGTCTGGTAATGGAACTCCTGTGCAGGCTCTAACCAGGCATGAATGCCCCGCCCCGCATGGCTTGCTGGAGCCCCCGCAGGCTTTGAGAGGTGGGGCTGTCCCACTCACGCACACATCCGACCACTGTCACTATCATGGGCTTCCACAGGGAGTGAGGGTCATGGAGGCTCAGGATGTCCTTTAGGGGGCTCGGCAAGTCACCATGGGGTCCTCTAATGCAAAGAGGCATGTCCTCTATGTACAGAATGAGAGGCCCTGGAGAAAATTCTAGGTCTCAGGTTTCTGTTGATTCCTAAAATACAGGTTAAGACTGAATCTTACTCTATGTTTCTGTGCACAGGCTCTTAACAAAGTGCTCCAACTTATTCAGAACATCACCCACAGCCAGGGCTGGTGGTTCATGCCTGTAATCCCAACACTTTGGGAGGCCGAGGTGGGTAGATTATCTGAGGTCAGGAGATCGAGACTAGCCTGGCCAACCTGGTGAAATTTAGGGCATTCCTCTAGCAGTAGAGGACATGCCTCTACTAAAAATACAAAAATTAGCTGGGTATGGTGGCATGCACCTGTAATCCCAGCTACTCGGGAGGCTGAGGCAGGAGAATCACTTGAACCTGAGAGGCAGAGGTTGCAGTGAGCCGAGATCGTGCCACTGCACTCCAGCCTAGGTGACAACAGTGAAATTCCCGTCTAAAAAAAAAAAAAAAAAAAATCACTCTCAAACTTTACAAATATTTTTGCCTTTTTCTTTGGATTAGCTTCATAAATCAGCTATAAAAGAAGACAATATTGTTGCAGGAAGTCAGGGACCCCGAACAGAGGGACTGGCCGAAGCCATGGCAGAAGAACGTGGATTGTGAATATTTCATGGACATTTACTAGTTCCCCAAATTAATACTTTTATAATTTCTTACGCCTGTCTTTACTGCAATCTCTAAACATAAATTGTGAAGATTTCATGGACACTTATCACTTCCCCAGTCAATACCCTTGTGATTTCCTAGGCCTGTCTTTAATCTCTTAATCCCATCATCTTTGTAAGCTGAGGGGGATGTATGTCGCCTCAGGACCCTGTGATGATTTTGTTAACTGCACAAATTGTTTGTAGAGCATGTGTGTTTGAACAATATGAAATCTGGGCACCTCAAAAAAAGAACAGAATAACAGCAATGTTCAGGGAACAAGAGAGATAACCTTAAACTCTGACTGCCGGTGAGCCAGGCGGAACAGAGCCGTATTTCTCTTCTTTCAAAAGCAAATGCGAGAAATATTGCTGAATTCGTTGAATTCTTTTTCTCAGCAAGGAACATCCTGAGAAAGAGAATGCGTCTCTGAGGGTAGGCCTCTGAAATGGCCGCTTTGGGGGCAGCTGTCTTTTACGGTCACAGCTGTAGGGATGAAATAAGCCCCAGTCTCCTGTAGCCCTCCCAGGCTTATCAGGATGAGGAAATTCCTGCCTAATAAATTTTGGTCAGACTGGTTGTCTGCTCTCAAACCCTGTTTCCTGATAAGATGTTATCAATGACAGTGCCTGCCCGAAACTTCATTAACAATTTTAATTTCGCCCTGGTCCTGTGGTCCTGTGATCTCGCCCTGCCTCCATTTACCTTGTGATATTCTATTACCTTGTGAAGCATGTGATCTCTGTGACCCACACCCTATTCATACACTCCCTCCCCTTTTGAAATCACTCATAAAAGCTTGCTGGTTTTACTGCTCAGGGGGCATCACGGAACCTGCCGACATGTGATGTCTCCCCCAGACACCCAGCTTTAAAATTTCTCTTTTTTGTACTCTTTCCCTTTACTTCTCAGACCGGCCAACACTTAGGGAAAATAGAAAAGAACCTACGTGACTATCGGGGGCAGGTTCCCCCAATACAATATTTTAGCTTTAATTTTTTTTCCATAATAAGGTAATGGCTATTATTATAAATGCTTCCAAAACACAGAAAACCTAATTAATGCAAGATTCCAGGAAGTCTTATTGGTGAAGGGACCACAAAGTGGTATTACGAAGAAAACTTGCTTTTCTACATTTAACAAAAAAAACAAACAAATGCTTTGAGACAAGTGTTTTTAGAAAAATGAAAAGACAGATGACTGAAAGAGTGGGTACAGAAATAAATTAAGTGTGATGTTCGCATCCTGAGGATGGATCTGGCTACTATGGAGAAAATGTTAATTCTCACAAATTAGGAACAAAAGTAAATACAATAAAAGTACTGGATGCCTGCCTCTACTATATGTGTCCCACCCTGTTCCATGCAAGAAGATGTGCCCACAGCTCCTGTTTGGATGGGCTCCATGAGGTGAACTGAAAGGCGGTGGTCCCCACACGCCAGCATGGCACGTGCCCTGGAAGTCAGGCAGCACACCTCCCAATGGGTGTGGACACTGGCAACGTGGGCACAGTAGAGCATGCAGACGCTGCTGGTGTGGGGGCTCTGGATGCTGTCCTGAGGCGAGAAAGGCAGGCAAGCAGCAAGAAGGAGCTGCCTGAAGAAAGCCAGATGCAGAACAGAGAGGGATGACTCAGCTCGAGGGAAGGCATGCCACACGCATGCCTGTATGTTACTGACCAGCCGCCTGGACTCTTCGGGGGTCAAGCTACAAACCACACAGCTGACTTCTTACATGAAAGACCAATGATTTGACTACACTACACGTAAATAAACATTTGCAATACTTATAGTTAACCCTGAAACAGAGAATATTATGCTTGTCAAACCATTGCAGCCAGCCAGTCTTTCGGTACCAGAATAGCAGAGGTACCAGTAACAGACTTTTCTTTAAGTACGCCACGATCAAAACAAAGCGAGACAGCTTATCAACTTATCTTTTCATTCACCCAAAACCTTCTTGAAAATGTCTATCTATATATGACCAAGTGTTTGGATGACACCCTCATTTAAGTACGCCATGATCAAAACCAAGCGAGAGGTCTTTTCATTCATCCAAAACGTTCTTGAAAATGTATATATATATGGCCAAGTATTCAGATGACACCCTCATTATCTTAGAAATGACAACGGCAGTGCAAATGTTGGTATCAGATAAAACATCAGGTACGAGGCCTGCTGCCAACACCAAGCATGATCCCAACAAGCACAACGTGAACTCCTCCATCACTGCTCATGCCATAGGCGAGGCACAGTGCAGACACCTGACCTCGCTGGGTCCACCAGGAGCCCAAGGAGATGGACTTCACCGCAGACCCACAGGGATGAAGGAGCCCAGTCAGTGAAGAGCAGGACTGGAGCTGAAACTGCAGGCCACGGCCACCACACCTGCCTGTGCTCTCCTCGAAGGACAAACGAGACCGTGCTTACCTTCCCCTCCTCTCGTGGAATGATGACATTCTCGTAGCGATTCCGGCACTGTTTGGAAGAGCGGTAGATTCGGCTACAGGAGTTAACAACGTCACTGACAAGATCCCAATTAGGTGTGTGAGCAGGTGACACGATTGTGAGGTTCAAAGGCAGCTCCAGTAACTGCTTTACAGCCTAGAGAAGGAGATTTCAGGTAAAACAGGTGAATACACTCTAAGTCAGAAGGTCTTCCCTCTTGCCAAAGACTCCCTGCAAAGTGATCACAGTGAGCTGGATGCACGGACGTGCGTTAGAAAAATGACCGCACATGACCGCTGGCACAAAGACCACGCCCACCTACCTGCAGCAGCGCCCAGTCCTCACTGATGAGCCACTCGGGGTTGTCTTGACCAGGCTCAGCTGTGGGTTTGGCAAAAGTTGGCAGGGGCTTGGCGAATGGCACCTGCTGCTTCAGCAGAATATTCTTCTTCTGCTCCTTGCCCTCTCTGCGAATTTTCAGAAGTCCTGGTGTTGCGCGGTCAAACAGGGACCGAGGAGGGACGACCGCCTCCCCGTGACGCTGCTTCTTCTTCCTGCCTGCAGCTGAACAGAGAGGCAGTCTTCAGCAAGAGAGTAAACCAGGAGATTCCACACGGGCAGGCAAAAGACAAAGGAAACAGGTCAGGCAAGTCTGGAGGTGCCTGGGCAAAGAGGCCACAGAAAGCACCTGCCAAAGACAGACCTGCTTTCGGGCCTTCATGGTCAATTAGAATGAAACACGAAGGTTTCCTCACTGGAAACAACATAACCTGTGCACATGGCCTGAGAGGCAGCGGATGGGCGTGTGATCGCTAGCCCTGCAGCAGACAGGCAGACAGCAGACAGGCAGACAGCAGAAAGTGGCTGACATGCAGGGATTCTGCAGGCCAGGGCCCCCCCAGGTCATGTGACGCCCTCGGGATGCGCACCTGAGGGGTCTGTTTTGTGTCGCTTCCGCTCCTTCCTCACGTACACAGGGGGCAGCTTAGCCTCTGGGATGGGAGTGGCTTCATACATGAGACACATGACCGAGTCGAGGTAGATGTCGCTGTCGTCCTGCGGCGGGGTGGGTGGGGTCCAGAGCTGCATGGAGAAGGGAAGGCCCATGAGATGTGGAACTCACAGGAAGCTGCCCACACAGACACAAAGGGAGAGGGCAGCACTCACCGGCATGACTTCTGTCTGCCCATCGACATCTTCGTAGACATACTCCTGTAGGGAACACGGCAAGCTCTGACTTCCACCAAGTCTCAGTGTCATGTTATAAGCCACAAATCATGTACCTTCATACTCATTAAGTCTTTCAAATAAGTTCTGATCAACATGACTATTTATAAGACTTATAAATGTTTTAATCAGAGCTGGTCAATATCTAACTGACAATCTCCAAGTGTCAATTTTTAAGAAAATTGTGTTTTTAGAACATAAGTGAGGTTGTGTTGATATGAGAAGTAAAAATTCCTAGGCATTTTCTCATGTCAATGTACACAGACTTTGAACAAGCCAAACATGGCTGCACAAGTGCCCCTCAGCAGGGGGGCAAGAGGGCAGGAGGGCCCCGGGCCGGGTACCATGCTGTAGGCATCCTCTCGCGTGTAGGTCAGGAGCTCCGCCTCCTCCTGCTCCAGCCGCAGCCGGGCCTCCCTCTCCTGCAGGGTCTTCAGGTTCCAGAACTCCCATGCCCTCACTGCAGTCATCACTGCGTCCTGACGGGGAGAGCAGCAAGAACTTTCAGGATCAGGAGTGCAGCTCAGAGCAGCCCCCGAGTCCCTGCTCCAGGTTTCCCTGTTGTCTCAGAGCCACATGTTCTCTACACACACTGCTCCACAATGCATCACCCCCACAAGCAGCAGCCTGCTGCAAATCCAGTCAAAGACATCGAGGGCAGAACAAGCCCCATGGTCCCTACAGGGGTAGAACAAGCTCCACGGTCCCTACGAGGGGAGAACAAGCCCCATGGTCCCTACGTGGGGGTGAACAAGCTCCACGGTCCCTACGGGCTTCTCGAGACTCTCTTCATTTTAAGTTCATTTCCATACTTGTGGGTTTTGGCTTTTGTGACTTTAATTTAATGAAGTCACATTTACTTCAAATCAAACTTAACTCTGAAAATATTGCAAATTTTTTTCACTGACCAAAAGTTGATTCTCTTACCTCACTGTTTCTCTCCTTTTCTTGCTCAATAGAAGTATGGAATAATTCCAGGTAATTTAAAGCATATTTTTCAATTGGTGTAAGCTGTTCCAAAAGTATATTTTTTGAATAGGGTTAATAGCAAGTTAATAAAAGTCAAGTTCCTTATACAATCCACTAACCAACATTTGAATCAAAAAGTGATTTTTCTTGCAGTAAACAATAAATATTTTATAGAAGCGTCAAATTTTTAAAATATGTAGTTGTAAAGGAAAACATGCCCAAACCTGCTCCATGAAGTCAGCTAGCTCCTCTAATTGGGATGGTTCTTCATCACACGGCATGTTCTCAGAGTCTGATGACAGAGCATCAGTGTGTGGTCCCAGCACCCCCTCCTGTGCGGACTTCTGGGCATCCTCCTCCAGATACTCAATACTCTTGAGGGCCTGAGGAAAGTCTATGTTTAGATTGCCTTGATAGACTTTTTAAATGAGGGTAGTTTGAAAAAGAGCTATCCCATGTAAAGTTAATGGAGATGCCTCCACTATAATCACCCACTCTCCATAAAGGTAATCCACTCCTTCCCTGAGGTCCTCTTACAGGTGAAAATGATAAGGCACTTAGGGAATACAGAAAATGAGTGGGAAACCTCCTGGGCCTTGCTAACCTTACTATCGAGTTGGACAGGCAGGCCCCATGGAAGAGCTGAGCACTGATGCAGGCAAAGCGTGCCAGGGCACCCAGGGCCAAGGAAGCTTGGAGAACAAGAAAGGCCCAAGGAGGCTCCATCTCAGACCCGATGCACACCACTGCCCACAGCTCCTGACAGACACAGCAGGACAGAGGCTGCTGTCCAGGAAACAGACAGCAGACGGACAGCCCAACGTTACAGCAGCCGGAGCAAGTCCACCGCGAAATGTAGCATGGATGACTATGAACATACAAGACAGCTTTACCACAGTGCAAGATACACAAGTTAGAATGACGAGATGCCACTGTTCATCTGCTGAAACAGCTAGGAACACACATCTATAGTTACTAGCAGATGTGGGCAAAAGACATCTGACATGGAGGTATGGTTTTTAGTTAGAAGATACAAATTAAAAACTGGTACAATCTGTTTCCAGGGCAATCTGGCAAAACCCTCAAAGTGATATAACACTACTTTGACACGATACACAGAACTTATTGCCAGATAGGTGGTGCACCTAAATAGCAAACATAAAACAATGCAACATGTAGAAGAAAATAGAGGAGGATGCCCGGTGACCTTCAGGTGGGCAGAGTAATCTCCTCAGCAGAGCACAAAAAGCACCCACTATAAAGACGGCAGATGTGGGCCCTGGATGGTGTTAGAACTCAGAACTTCTGCTCATCAATACACAGCGTTTAAAAAGGCAAACCACAGAATGGGAAAGATATGTCAAGTGTATCAAACAAAGGCCTTTTATCGGGATACATAAAGAACTCCAACAAGTCATTAAGAAACAGAGACAACTGGCCGGGCACGGTGGCTCATGCCTATAATCACAGCACTTTGGAAGGCCAAGGCGGGCAGATCACCTGAGGTCAGAGGTTCAAGACCAGCCTGGCCAACATGGAGAAACCACGTCTCTATTAAAAATATAAAAATTAGCCAGGCGTGGTGGCATGCACCTGTAATTCCAGCTACTTGGGAAGCTGAGCTGGAGGATCACTTTGACCTGGGAGGTGGAGGTTGCAGTGAGCTGAGATCACACCACTGCACTGCAGCCTGGACGATGAGTGGGACTCCGTCTTAAAAAAAAAAAAAAGAAAAAGAAAAAAAAAGAAATAGAGAAAATCCAATTTAAAAAAAATTGGGAAAAGCCTTGGCATTTCTTTAAAAAGTACTCAAACTGCCAGTAAATATATGAAGAGGCACTCAAACTCATCAGTCAACAGCAAAACCACAAATTAAACCACAATGAGACTATCCCACATTCTGCCCTGCAGCTACAGTGAAAGGACCAGCAATTTTGCCTCCACACCACCACCCAGAACAACCCCATGGCAGGAGCATCCCCGGCACAGCCACAGCATCTCCTGAAATCAAACATAAGCAGCCTGAATTGCACATACGTGCTTACCAAAAGACAAGGATACAAATATCCACAGGAGCACAATTCAAATGAACCACTCCATCACGTCCACAAGCTGCAGATCTGATAAACGGCGGTATATTCAGACAGAACTCTAGACAGCAATGAGAACGAGTTACAGACTGCTACGCACAAGAAGGCAGACCCGAAGGAAGAGGCTCCACGTATGGAAAGTGCAGAAGCAGGCGGTGCTGTCAGAATTCGCAAGAGGCAGCACCGCTGGGGGACAGGCCTTCTGAGGAGCCCGCCGCATCCTCCTCCTCCACCAGATGCTGGCTACCAGGTGCTTCTACTGACTGAACATTTCTCCAGCTGGAATCTTTGTAATGTGTACACTTGCTGTATGTTTTGTTTTTGCATGTCAACAAGGACTTTTCTTAAAACCATTTTGCAGGCACAAATCCTCTGATGAGCGTTGCCAATGACAGAAGAATCCTATAGCCACAGTCCCATGCGGCAGGTACGAGTACAGCACGCTAACGTGGATCTGTCTCCGCTGGCAAAAGGCCAAGGCTAACCTACCTCTCTGTCCCCAGGGGCCGGTCAAGCCAGTGAGGAGCAGCCATCCTCCTCACACACCCACTGCAGCAAGTCCTGCTGGCTCTGTCCTCCAAAGACCCGCCTGCTGCCCCCACATGTCCCCCAGTTGTCCTCACCAGCCTTGCTCACCAGTGTTACTGCTCTGGGACTCTTAACTGGTCCCCAGGATCCCCCTTGCCTTGCTACAACTGAGTCTCAACAAAGGAGTCAGAGCGACTCTCTTAGGTGATGCCAGACCCCGTGCCACAGCTTGACTCAAACCCTTCCAAGGGCTCCCTACAGTCAGGCCTCACCTGGTCACACCCTCCCCACCCCCTCAGCCACACTAACCTGTCTGCTGTGGTGACCACATTCTCCCCTGGATTCAGCACTTCACAACTTCTCATGTGAATAAATTACATGCTTTACTCACTAGGTTTGGTTTCTGCCTCTCTCCTTACTAGAATAAAAGCTTCATGAAATTTTTGTCTTTTTTCGACCCTGTATCCCCACTGCTTATAACAGTGCCTGACACACAGTAAGACAATCAACAAGTATGTTTCAAAAGAATCTGTGTGTTGAAATACTATGCTGCTGGGAAACAACACAGCCAATATGGAAAATCCACAGACTTCTGATGGACACTTGGGTTGATTCCATGTCCTGGCTGCTGGGACAGTGCTGCGATGAACACGAGGGTACAGACGCCTCTCCTACACGCTAATTTCAACTCTTTGGATATACACCCAGCAGTGGGATTGCTGGATCAGGTGGGAGCTCTATTTCCACATTTTTGAGGAACCTCCCTGCCGTCTCCCATGGTGGCTGTGCCAACGACGTTCCCAGGGACAGAGTGCAACGGGCCCCTTTCCTCCATGTCCTCGCCAACACTCGCTATCTTTTGCGTTTTGATGACAGTCATCCCAATAGGTGCCAGTTGGTACCTCCTGTGGTTTTTATTTGATTTTCCTGATGATTAGTGATGCTGGACATTATTTCGTCTACACATCGGCCACTTACATGTTTTCCTTTGAGACATGCAGAGTCAGGTCCTTTGCATATTTTATCTTTGAGACAGGGTGTCACTCTGTCACCCAGGTTGGAGTGCAGTGGCACGATCACAGCTCACAGCAGCCTCAATCTCCTGGGCTTAAGTGATCCTCCCGCCTCAGCCACCCCAGTAGCTGGGACTACAGGTGCTCACCACCACACTCCTAGTTTTCAAAATTCTTCTTGTAGAGATGGGGTCCCACTATGATGCCCATGCCAGTCTTGAACTCCTGGCCTCAAGCCATCCTCCAGCCTCGGCTTCCCAAAGTACTGGGATTACAGGCCTGAGCCACCACACCTGGCCCCAGCTACGCTTTTGTGTTGTTTTTCTTTTTCAACCTCATGCATGTATTACCTCCTTAAAACACAATGAGGTTGATCCATACCTCCTCATATGTAATAATCTGTAAGGTATTTCTGTGCAAAGGAAATGATACACATGCAATCTCTAGAAGAAATGTGAGAAACGGGGTGGTGGCGGGGTTGGGGGCAGGGCAGGAGACTGGCTTTTCATTATAAATTCTCAAAGGTTTGGGTCACGGGTGGATCCCTCAGGAATAGAAACGCTCTGGGGCTGGGGGAGTGGGTCTCACCCTGTTCGTCCTGTGAGGGCCAGTCTATTAAAGGGAGCCTGCTGCCTGCCCCTTGCTCCCTCTCTCACTCCGTGGCCTGCACATGCAGCTCCCCCCTCCCCTTCCACCACCATGGAAGCCGTCTGAGGCCCTCACCAGACAGATGCTCAATCCTGAACTCTGCTGCCATCAGAATCACCAGCGAAATAAACCCCTTTTTAAAATAAATCACCCAGTCTCAGGTATTCCTTTACAGCAACACAGACAGACTAAGAGAGTCATACCCCAAGTATTTCTTACTTATTCAGTAACTGAGTAATGTTTAGAAATGGAAGAGGAGACAGCACCAGAGTTGGTAAGAACAAGCTGAGCACAGGCAAGGAGGGGGCTGACACCATGAGGCTGGGAGGCTCAATCTCGGGTGTCGGCGGACAGGTGCTGAGGGGCTGTGTAGTGTGCCTGGTCTGGTCTTTAACACTTTCACAGAAAAGAAAAAACATACAGAGAAGCCCATGCAGTCATGCGCTGCAGTCAAACAGGGCAGGAAGAAAGATGTACAGGGATACCAAATCCTTCCAAGGTAAGAGGCACAGAAACGGGGACCCCACAACAAGTTCTGGAGGAGTGGCAGGGCCACATGAAGGAGGAGGGGACTCAGAGAACAAAGGCAGCTGAAGGCCTCCATCTCCAGGACGTGGGGCTGCAGGGCTTTGGCGGGCAAGCCACGGGGACAGGGAGGGAACAGCGGCCCCGTGACGGGTCTGTGACATGTCTACACAGCAGCACCCCCAAAAGGGAAAAATCAAAGGACCCAAACATGCCCTCTATCTTCTACTACCCACACCGAAACAGTAAAATATTGACATAACCCGATAGCCAAAATATTATCACTTCAACATGTAGTCAACACTCAAAAGTATCAACGTGATAGTCTGTGTTCTTTCTTATACTCAGTCTTTGCAATCAACCAGCACCTTACACTCAGCACCTGAGTGCAGACTCATGGCTGCACTGCTCAGGGAGAAGCCAACACAGCCAGCTAGAGGGGAGTAGGGGTAGTGCCCGCAGAGCCTCCAGAGGAGGCAGGGATAGATTTCCATGGGGAGGGGAAGGAGCTGAGACTGTGGCAAAGTGCAGATGAAGACGGCAGCGACTGCTTCGGTGACAGGCCTGTGGTCCGCGACCTTCGCCACCATTCCCCTCACTTGTATTTACAGTTCAAAATCCCCATGACAGAAAGAAGGGAGTGGGGAGGTTCCAAAAGCAGGGACGGGAAGAGGGCTTCAGGCCAGGGAAGAGTGGGGACTGAGCACCCAGAACCCTGGGGGAGGGTGCAGGTGTTCCGCCGGCTCCCACCGTGCAACTCTTCAGCCAGATTCAATGTATTCTTACCTCTATGAAAGGTCTTGCAATTTTGGGTGCAATGGTTTCCGTGACAGAAGGTTCCTGAGAAAGCACCACAAACTCCTCAGCTTTGACCGGGAAGCCAGCATCATCCATGGGAGAATAAACTTCAAACAGCTCCTGGATGGTTCGCTGAACACAGAGATGTGTGTTACTCCCCAGTACAAGGTCCAAGTGTGCATCTGACCTCAGCTGGAGACCTAAGCCCCTTGCTAGTGTGCACTAACACCATGCGATTCCACGCGCCGCATGGCGGGTCTCACCTCAGGCCTCTCATTGAATAAGGAGTACCTGAGTTAAGAAAGCCATGGAGTAGTCATTTCCCTGAGCAGCCACTTCTCGGATCAGATCTTTAGTTCCATTTTTCAACAATTTCTCTTCAATGGAATTGCCACTCACAAGCCTGCAAACAAAAGATGTAAGATGCTAAGTCAGTCACCAGGAAACACAGTGACAACAGGTGGGCACAGCATGCAGATGGTGATCAACGAATCCACGTCCCTCCTCCAGCTACCCCTGCTCAGAACATGCCTTCGTGGGGCACCAAAGGCCGCTCTCAGCCAGCCCCTCCAATCTTAGCTCTCCCGCCTCCCAGAGAGCTGACAGGAGGCCCCTCCGGAAGACTCTTCGCTGTGCCACCTCATCCTTCCACCCGCCATCCCGTTTTTCTCCCACCAGTCTCAACCTGGAAATGTCCCACCTGGTCCTTCCAGATGTACCTCCAGCATCTATCTTCTCTGAAGCTTTCACTGAGCCCAACAGGCAGAACTGATCACTTCACAGACTGGCTTGTTAACACTCATGAGACACCTCATTCTCATGTAATTATGGGCGTTTTTCTCTTTCTAACCCCGGTACACTACCAGACCCACAAGAGGTGTTCAATTACGACCGTGAGCTGCAGATGTCACCCCACTGGACAGACGGACCCCCAGTGCAGGGACACAAGGCTTCCTCAAGATTCCATCACTGGGGACACAGAACAGACCATGCAGTCTATTGCCTTCCCATGAGGCTCATCTGCCTGTAAAATGCTAAATGCTAAACCTCAAAAAAGCTCACATTAAACAACTTTAACAGCATGATTTTCAGAGATGAAAACAAAATTTTTTTCAGAAAATTCCAAATTAAAAGGATCCTAAATATTAAAGAGAAACCATCATAGGGAACAGCACGGAAAGTGAAGACGTGAACCCAGACACAAACAAAGGAACTAAATACGTGATAAAGGGAAATAGTGGATGGACAACTTCATCAACAGCAAACCACCACCTGGGAAGACTTTCCTGGCCTTTAAATGAAAATCTACTCTTTCTTGATTATATTACTACATGCTCATCATAAATTATTTGATTACATAAAAGCATAAGAAACAAAACAAAACAAAAATCGCCTGGATTCCAATCACCCTGAGAACCACTAAAAAAAGTGGGGATGGCATTTCCACCCACCTTGGTTCACAAGAAGGTGCTGCTGCACGTGTGACAGTGTGCGCTTCCGCGGGCACACTTTTCCTAACTGGC
The DNA here is from genome assembly GCF_000001405.40 of Homo sapiens. NCBI lineage: Eukaryota > Metazoa > Chordata > Mammalia > Primates > Hominidae > Homo > Homo sapiens. Next base: position 132,036,561 of record NC_000012.12, on the reverse strand, counting down.
ATATTTCATGGCTGCTTCAGGGAGGGTGGCCTGCCTCTCCTGCCCCCCGCCCCAGCAGCCACGTCAGTGTGAACCTGGGTGCGTGCTTCCACGACGTTCCGTGTGAACCTGGGTGTGTTGTTCCATGATGCTCCATGTGAACCTGGGTGTGTTGTTCCACGATGCTCCGTGTGAACCCGGGTGTGTCCTTCCACGATGTTCCATGTGAACCTGTGTGTGCCCTTCCACGATGTTCCGTATGAACCTGGGTGTGTGCTTCCACGACATTCCGTGCGAACCTGGGTGTGTCCTTCCCACGACGTTCCGTGTGAACCTGGGTGTGTCCTTCCATGACGTTCCGCGTGAACCTGGCTGTGTGCTTCCATGACGTTCCGTGTGAACCTGGGTGTGTTGTTCCATGATGCTCCATGTGAACCTGGGTGTGTTCCACAATGCTCCGTGTGAACCCGGGTGTGTCCTTCCACGACATTCCGTGTGAACCTGGCTGTGTGCTTCTAAGACGTTCCGTGTGAACCTGGGTGTGTGCTTCCACAGCGTTCCATGTGAACCTGGGTGTGCCCTTCCATGACGTTCCGTGTGAACCTGGGTGTGTCGTTCCACGATGCTGTGTGTGTGAACCTGGGTGTGCCCTTCCACGACGTTCCGTGTGAACCTGGGTGTGCCCTTCCACGACGTTCCGTGTGAACCTGGGTGTGTCATTCCACAATGCCCCGTGTGAACCTGGGTGTGTCCTTCCACGATGTTCCGCGTGAACCTGGGTATGTCCTTCCACGACGTTCCGTGTGAACCTGGCTGTGTGCTTCCAAGACGTTCCATGTGAACCTGGGTGTGCGCTTCCACAGCGTTCCATGTGAACCTGGGTGTGCCCTTCCATGACGTTCTGTGTGAACCTGGGTGTGTCGTTCCACGATGCTGTGTGTGTGAACCTGGGTGTGCCCTTCCACGACGTTCCGTGTGAACCTGGGTGTGCCCTTCCATGACGTTCCGTGTGAACCTGGGTGTGTTGTTCCACGATGCTGTGTGTGTGAACCTGGGTGTGCCCTTCCACGATGCTCCATGTACCGTCACTTCGTGCACAACCGTGTGGGGAAAATGTCCGCCTTACTTCCCACTTCTCTGCATTTTGCTGTCCTCCCTAAGCAGTGTATTACAGAAATCCCTCGACATGAGCTCATTTTCCACCTGGCTGCTCAACACCGTGGGATGGCTGTGCCCCAGTGACTGCTTTGTGCCATGTGACAAAGCTGCGACACACATCCTTAGATAGCAATCCCACATCCCCATCAACATGAGGACGTCCCCTTTTCTAGTGCCAGGCTGAACAGGCTCGTTCCCTTAAGGTCTCACCTGTCCGGGGCATGAGAAGAGAGATCTCATCGTGCATTAAACTGGTCCTTCCTTCTCCAGACCAGTGAGCTGGAGCGGCCTCTCACACTTTCTGGCCAATTGGGATGGACTGTTCATATTCACAGGCCCTTCCTATTTAAGAGTAAGGGGGGGTCTTTATGTATCTTCTCGATTTTTAAGAGGTATTTAACTCTTTACTTGCACTGAGAATGGCAAATCTCCCTGTTCTATCACCCGCCTGTCCACTGGGCTCACCGTATCTGTACAACGCTTGGCTTCCTGTCTCACTGCAGCTGTGTGCCTGTCTCCCCTGACTTTGGGGTCTGTGTGGGTCAGGCGGTCCCTTCCAGCTCTCGGCCACAGGTACTGTCTCTTCAAGAGTGTTCTAACACTGCTGCTCCACCGAAAACATTCAAGTCCTTCATCCCTCTGGACTCCGCCATGGTCAGGCGTGGGAGCAGCACTCCAAGCCCCTCCTCTCACTCGTGGAGCACAAGGTGTGCGGCACATTCATGACAGAAAGGCCCTCCAGTTACTGCGACAGCCAACCTTTGTAACATGCGAAATCCCCATGGGTGCCGGGCTATCTGCCCCGACACCAACAGCACCCTTATGCAGTTTGGGGGTTCCCATGGCTCATAGTGGGGCACACTCCCACCCGCAACACTGAGCATCATGATGGCGGCCTTCATCAGGACGTCCACACTGCAAGCACATTGGCACCACCTTACCCAACCGTGTGTGTGCACGCATAGAACCTTCACACCCATGAGGAGCGTTTTCACAAAAATATATTAAATTTTAGTATTACTTTGGAGAAACTTCACATGTTCATGAATGAAGTCTACCCACTCGAGAACAAAGTGTGTCTTCACACTTGGCACAGCCCATCCTGCATCCTTCAAGGCCACCTCATGCCTCACTTCAGATGCCCTGTTCCTGCACCGCTAAGGCCATGCCTGAGACTTTATTGATACTGAGAATACAACACTTTTCCAATTTCTGGCTAGTAATTGCTAAGGGCCAACAATGCAGAATGGATTCCACACTAAGCCCTTATCCATTCAACATAAACCATGCACCAAACTTATATTCATCACCATGGAAATGTATGTATAATGTACTGTTAAAAGAAAAAAAAAGTTTACAAAAGAAGACACAGTGTGAGCCTTCTTCAAGAAGCAGAAGCGTGTCTGGGAAGATGTGCAACTGAATGTTAATAATTGCTGCCTCTGCAGGATCCTTGTTTTTCTTTACAGGCTCTCCTTTTTTCCCTCGAGGAACATGTAATGCATTTATAGCAAGAAAAATAATAATAAAACAATTTAAATACAGCATTTGAATTACTATGACACCAACCATCTTGTTAAAAAACAAATGGTTGGCCGGGTGCAGTGACTCATGCCTGTAATCCCAGCATTTTGGGAGGCTGAGGCGGGCTGACTGTTTGAGCCCAGGAGTTTGGGACCAGCCTGGGCAACACAGCAAAACCCTGTCTGTGCAAAAAATACAAACATTAGCCAGGCATGGTACTGCACACCTGTAGTCCCAGCCACTTGGGAGGCTGAGCCGGGAGGATTACCTGAGCCTAGGAGATAGAAGCGTCAGTGAGCCAAGATCATGCCACTGCACTCCAGCCTGGGCAACAGACCGTCTCAAAAAAAAAAAAAAAGAGGTTAAAGCACACTTGGGTTTTAGTTCCAGGGTCAGCTACCACCTAGGAGACCTCATGCAGGGACCATATTTGTCTAGTCTCAGGCTCCCTACTGGGAACTGACGGGTCACCATGAGAGGTGAGCCCAGGATGTGCTCGGCACACAACCAGGCATAAAATAAGCAGAAGAAGTAAATCTACTATTACACTGTAACAGTAAGCACTTAGAAATTTAAAAATATACAGTAACCTTTCCCCATTTCCCCCAATTGTGTTTTGACAGTTATAGTTTTTATCTTTACAGATAATAATAGGCCAGGCGCGGTGGCTCACACCTATAATCCCAGCACTTTGGGAGGCCAAGGCGGGCGATCACCTGAGGTCGGGAGTTCCAAGATCAGCCTGGCCAACATGGTGAAACCCCGTTTCTACTAAAAATACAAAAACTAGCAGGGCATGGTGGCGCGCACCTGTAACCTCAGCTCCTCGGGGGGCTGAGGCGGAAGAATCGCTTGAACCCAGGAGGTGGAGGTTGCGGTGAACCAGGATCACGCCATTGCACTCCAGCCTGGCTAACAAGAGCGAAACTCCGTCTCAAAAAACAAACAAACAAAAACATAATAATAGATTTTGGCTGGGCACAGTGGCTCATGCCTGTAATCCCAGCACTTTGGGAGGCCACGGCGGGCGGATCACGAGGTCAGGAGTTCGAGACCGGCCTGGCCAATGTGGTAAAACTCCGTCTCTACTAAAAATACAAAAACTAGCCGGTCGTGGTGGTGCACGCCTGTAGTCCCAGCTATTCGGGAGGCTGAGGCAGAAGAATTGCTTGAACCCGGGAGACAGAGGTCGCGGTGAGCCAAGATCGTGCCACTGCACTACCGCCTGAGCGACAGAGTAAGACTCCATCTCAAAAAAAAGAAAAAAAAAAAAAAAAACTAATTCTCTTTTCTCTTCTTTTCACAGGTGTTGACCATTCTTTCAATAGCCATTTTACTAACAGATAATTTATAGTTCATAATTAAAACAACCCAAAATCTAAATCGTACTTTTAAGACTGAGATACTCTGCAAGAGGTACCACACGTAAAAACTGAAGATGGCAAGATGACTTGTGTGAGCAGCATCACTAACTTACAATTTCAAGCAAATGTTGAGTATAAATAAAAGGAATAGATAGATAAAATAGCAGAAATGTAAGTTTGTCTGAAGGAAAACAAACCCTAGTTTAAAATTAGATATCATGCATTGTCTTTAGTGCTACCTTTTGTTTCTGCATTAGTGCTTCTTGCACCAATATCTCCTGCAAAGCTTCTCATTGACTCCATTTCCACGCGGCCATCCCCGCAGGCCCTCACCTGTATATGTGGATGTCTTTGCATCTCCTGATCCTATCCCCCGCAGGCCCTCACCTGTATATGTGGATGTCTTTGCATCTCCCGATCCTATCGCACCACTCCTGAGCTTTGGCATCCATCACTGGATTCAGGTCATTGTCATAAAACACGACGGTGTCCGCCTCTACAAGGTTTATACCTGTGGTACGGCTGTGAGTGGAGAGAATGGCACAAAAAATCCGCCTGTCTCTGTTGAAACTCCTCATCAGTTCCTAAGATGAAACAAAACACAGGAGTTAGTATTCTTGGAAAATGTTGGGAAACCTTTGACACGTTTCAACATTTATTAATTAGAAATAATCCCACAGCAGGCCGGGCGTGGCGGCTCACACCTGTAATCCCAGCACTTTGGGAGGCCGAGGTGGGTGGATCACAAGGTCAGCAGATCGAGATCATCCTGGCTAACATGGCGAAACCCCGTCTCTACTAAAAATACAAAAAATTAGCTGGGCGTGGTGGCAGGCGCCTGCAGTCCCAGCTACTTGGGAGGCTGTGGCAGGAGAATGGCGTGAACCCGGGAGGAGCCTGCAGTGAGCCAAGATTGCGCCACTGTACTCCAGCCTCGGCGACAGAGCAGGACTCTGTCTCAAAAAAGAAATTATCCCATAGCAAAACTGCTTGGTTTGTATTCCATTCAACACGAGGCTCATGTTAAAGCAACACCAAGGTCCCCGCACTGTATTCCAGCTCTTCTGTGCAGCCACTATCATCTTACGCTCACCCATCGCCAACACCCTCATGCACAGTTTAAATAACATCAGCCATGAGTGACAAGAAGGAAAAAGTTAGAGTCCACCTTGCATTTACTGTCAGCTCAACTTGTAGGCCCCAAAAGAAAACAGCGTCTTACTGGGGAGGGATATGTGCTTTCTCATCTATCCTCAGGCAATGCCAGAGCACTTTACAGGCAACAAAAAGTCCCTGGAGTAAGGCTGAGGAAGCAGGAAAAACAAAACCGTGAAGGATAGTCCTCTAACCTCACTGTTGACCATGAAGGGAGATGACTTGAATACTTTTCTTCCATAACGATTTCTGTGCCAGAAACGAAACCTAATCACTGACCAACTCTCTTCCTTCCAGGCATTCTACAGATAATTTGCTATAATATTACCAAGAAAACTTGTTAAATCACCTTTTGCTCTATTTCTTTCTAGGCCTCTCCAGCGTGTACATGAGCGTGTGTGTGAGATAAAGCAGGCTGCGCGACTTACAGGGCAGCAACTTGGTTTTGCGCTGGGGGACACTGGGCCATGCTACTAAAACTGGCTCTGAAATGCTGCTGACAAGGGCCTAGCACACCACGTGAAATGCTGGGCAGTTTCTGCTCATGAAGCTGCCAGGGCACGGGGCCCATGGACAACCCCTTATGCACTCACTCTTCTGCTGAACACTGACTTTGTTCTCAACTGTGAATTACCATAAACATTTCAACAACAACTATGTAGACAGATCTTAAGTGGTGTGTTTGTTGTCATGTAAGTAAAGGGTCCTAAATACAGAATTACTAGGTCAAGCATACATCACTATTAAGGTTCAAATCCATACTGCCAGGCTGCCTTCTAGAACTATACTAGTTTATGCTTTCACGGGAGGATATGAGAGTGTCTGACTCACTGTGCCTGATGAAACAAAACAGCCTTGGCAAATCTTGTAAGTAAACAATGGGCATATTACCCTAACTTGTATTTCCCTTCATTCTAAATTGGTTGGAATTGTTTTCATATTTTTACCCTGTAGCCACCTCTTGAAGTACGCCAGTATCGTCTTAATGATGATTGCAGGTCACCGGCATTTATTCTGAGACATCAAGACTGCATTTACCTAACAACGTGGCTTTTAATAAAAAATATCGAAGGATGGATTGAGACTTTAAAAAGTTCAGAAGCTCATTAAGTCCCTCCCCTTTCACTTAGAAGGGCCATGAGACCACTGAATTTACACAGCACTTAGGCATTCAACACCAGTGACTGACCCATCAGAGACAATGTAAACAATGTGCTTCTCACCTGCCGTTGCTCACTGCTGGCATTTTCATCGATTCTTACATAGGTGAGGTAATGGAAGTTCAAGAACATCTCTAAAATGTCCAACATAAGAATCATCTGTGATAAAATCAGCACCCGACGTCCTTCAGATTTCAATTTCTGAAGCAAGATAGCTAAAGCTTCCAACTTCCCTGGGAAACGAATCACATCAAGAGCGCCTCATCATCCAGGGCCGGTGCAGCTCCCGCACGGGCCACGCCCCCAACTGCCGCATACCTGAGTCGAACTGCACCAGCCTCAGCTCAGGGAACTGCAGCAGGCGTGGAGCCGTGGTCTGCCGCAGCTGCTGGAAGTACGGCGCAGCGTGCTCTCTCAGGCCCTGCCTCAAGATCCTCATTCTGTGGCTGTACAGGGGTGGCGGCCGCGGCACCCGTAGGGACGGGGGTGCTGCCACCACCGGAGGAATCACAAAGGCCACCCTGAGGAGCAGAAAGCATGTTTTGTCACCACCAGGAGCCACACACCTTCACCCAGCATGGGGGCTCCTGAAAGATGGGGCAGACTTCTGACAGTCCAAGTCCCAGGAAACAGCAGGGCTCAACCCAGTCACATGGGGATGTGGGTGTTGGCACACGGGCAGGGGCCCAACGAGGCAGATCCTAACCAGTCCTGGCCAATAACCACCACCTCGGGGACTAATTCAGACAGTCCAGGGCTGATGGATCAATGGGGGTGGATTCCCTAGGCCGCAGGCACCAGGTCAGAGATAAGCCATTCTCTTTCTAGTGTGTCTTCAGCTGGAAACTTTGGGACAAAGGTGCACTGTCTCGTGGACCCTAGAACTGCTATAGCCACTGTGCCACCAGGACGGGGGCCAGACTCAGGGTGAAGGAGCCTTCAGGACAATGACAATAGAGCGAAGATCGCACAGCCAACCTAAGGCCCACCTTGCAACCTGTGGAGGTCACCTGCACCAGAAGGCCCTTGCTATGGACATCAACTATGACTCACTCCCAGCTGTATTCAAACTGAACGAATGGTCACCCATGATGTTCAATGAGGGAGGAGTACACAAAGACAAATCAGTACTCGAAAGAAAAACTCCAGGAGCACAAGGTCACTGACATAGTCACTCCCAGACCAGGAGAAGCCAGAAGTGGCTTGTTCGGCCTTGGAGAAGCACTCCCAGTTTTCTTTTTTTCCATTAATTCTGCTTCCTGATCTGAAAGAACTGAAATAGGTAGATCCTGAAAGCTGAGCTGAGCCAAGGCACAGGAAGAAGCCAGGTTGCCCTCTGCAGACAGGAGACAACTGAGAACTACAACAGCTGCAAAGAAGGGAAGAAAACATGTCTGAAGTGGAGCCTGGAGATGGGGTCCAAGCAGGGAGTGGAAATGCAAACAGGGTAACGCACTCTACTGAAAGCAAGCTCAGTTGAGAGCGGCCGGGTGCCCACCGTGCCCACCGGTGCTCAGATTTGCTCTCCATTAAAGCACGTTCTGAGATCAACTCCTGCCCACATTTGTCATCATGTAATGTTCACTCACTCATGGGGCTCTTTTAATGCAATCATTTTTTGAAAGAGTCAAATGGAGAAAGTCCTTAGCAACACAGTGATCTGTCCCCAAGCACAGTGTGAGCTCAGTGCTGCGGCTCTGCCCCCAGGGCTGCCAACTTCCTTCAGAAGCCGCACCTGGCACTGAGACCCAGATAACAAAACCATCTGATCCCAAAGCTGAAGACCTCAAAGACTAACTTCAAAACAGACCGCTAAGGGACAGCGTGGGGAGAAGCCGATGGGAGTAAGATGTACATCCACGAGACAAGAAGGGGTCTTGCCGGGGTGCAATGCAGCCAGAGAGCACCGAAAAGGTCACGAGGTCTGCAGTACCTGTCAATAACATCCTGCAGAGACTCTCCACACCGACAAAGCGTCAACATCAGCTCACTTGGACTTTCTGAGGATGAAGTGTAACTGTGCGCTGGCCCGGCCTCCTTCCCACGACGGCCATCCAGGGACCCACGCCACTGTACCCTTCCATGGCTAGGCAGGGCACAAATCCTTAGCAAGTCTCTGCCATAGACTGGAGCTTGAGAACAGCGCCGCTCGTTGACTAAATAAATCTGATCCAGGCGCTCTTTCAAGAGTCTGGTCTTTTCCTCCTTTATCAAAAAGTGATGAAAAACAGTTACTTGAGAAACAGAATGACAAGTTCCTGTCTTCACCAACCCCCCACCCAGCCCGTGATTTCCCACATATGAGATCCACTTCAATATCCCCGGTCTTGTGTTACAGGAAATAGAGATAGAAATGAAGCCGAGAGCTACAGGAAATAGAGATGGAAATGAAGCCGAGAGCACAAGCGTTCTCTTCTTTGCCAAGATGGGAAGTATTTCTCAAGACACAAGTGAGCAATTCTAATGCCCAGGAAGACTTGCAGAAGGACATAAAAAATACAAAAAAAGATTGTGGCAGTCGTAAGTCCAGTTTCATTTATTTTATTAGAAAATGTGTGTTTTAAAATAAGAATTCAGTAACATCACTTGAGAATTCACAGGAGCCTTTAAATATCACAACCAAACACAACGAGCAGCTCTTGGAAAGCTACCTGTCCACGTGCACCGGGGTCTCAAGCTCAGGTGCTTACCTGGGTCGGCCCTCCAATGGGAGAAGCTGGTTTGGAGGCCGTTCCGGGTTCTCCTACAGCCAAGGCATTCACCGCCACGCGGCCCGGAACGCCAACTACAAATGCATAAAGGAAGAGGTGAAAAGGAACGCCAAGTTCACAGGATTTCATCTGACACCAGCATGCTCCATGGAACCTCACCCTCCACCAGCACACTCCACAGAAAGTCATTCTGCAACGGCATGTCCCCAAGTCCTCATCCTCCACCAGCACATGCCTGGAATGTGCATGGGCTCAAACTTAAATGCTTTAGACCTGCCACGGAAGCATGCTGGCTCGCAGGCCATGACTGGAGCTGAATGGAGCCAGCAGCTTATCCCTTTCTTTTGGGAGGCACTCCAGAGCCACCCAGAAGCATCCCAGCACACCTCCGAGGCCCTGGGTACCCCATCGCCATCAGCACATGGCCACCTCCTAGCCCAGGTGACCGCCTGATGACTGTGAGGCCCTTGCCTGCCATGAGCAGCCCAGCCCCGGCAGGAAGTCCACCCAGTCCTCACAACTGCAACAGAGCAAGCCAGTGCCCGTTTCATATCCGTTCCCTGGAGCTGCTCCTGACATGACACCTGCTACCAGCCAGGGCCAATCAGGAAGGCAGAAGCCATGCCACTTAGTGCGGCAGACTTTCCTACAAAGATGTGGTCAAAGAGGTGTCTGAGTGCTGAAAAGGGGCCCAGGGGTAAGAGTCACCTTAGGGAAAAACAAGAGGAGAGGCTGAGGTTGTCAGAACTCAGCACTTGGGGGTGGGGGTGTCTGAGCTCAGACCCTCAGGGTCCAGGACTCCAGTTGGTACTGGGGCCTCTGAAGCTGAGGAGGGCTTCCACGGGACAGTGACTCATCAGCCCGCAAAGAAGGGTGCAGCAGCTGGTTCTGGAATCCCCAAGATGCCTGGTTCTGGGGGTAGCGGCAAAACCTGGTGAGTGGAACTGCTGACCATGCTGGCATGCAGGACTGCTGCTAGGTGATGCTAACAGGACTGGAGAACAAGCCATGGCCCCTCCCCACTCCAGCCTTGCAGCCTCCTCTGATAACTAACAGAGCCTAACAGGTTGGCAGTGACCCACCCAACATCACTGCCCACTATGCAAAGGTGGGGCTGGAACTGAATGGACACCACTCGGCCACCAGGACAAGGGCTCCATCCCAAGGAGAGAGCCTCACCCCTCTAGGCTCCCACCTGCCTCCACGGGTCTCTGGGTTCCAGAGGACACACCACATCATGACAGAGCATGTCCAGAGAGACCTGGGGCCAAGGCAGGCACAGAGCGGGGACTCAGAGGTGAAGCAGGTGGCGAGACAGGATGAGGAGTGGCAGCTCGGGCCGGACAAAGAACCAGACCCTGCGTGGGCGGCCACACACTCCCACTCCCAGGGGAAACGGAGCACACTGGCGATATACAAACAAGCAAGATTTCTCATGATTCCAAATTTCTTGTGAGAACACAAACAAAACAAAAACCTAAGGACAGTGGAGGCTGGTTATATCCAACCAATACCTTTGAAAGCACAAGAAAAAGAAAATAAATCAGGCTGACACTAGGACACATCTATAGAAATCAGAGATGGCCACACACTAGACTGTGCTGTTCTGAGATACAGTCAAAGACACATGAATGCTTTCCACTCGCCTTAGATGGAAGAGAAAGAAGCATCCAAGCCAAGTCTCCCTCCTGCTCAGAGCACCCTACCTTGTGGGGTCAAGGGTGCAGGGCTGGGACCGCCGGCCGGGGGCTTGCTTCCCAGGGCGCCGTGCACAGCGCCCGCCTGAGACACGGTCTGCATCACCACAGGGCCAGGGGCTCGAAGGTAGGGCTGCCCGGGGGCGGACACGATCTGGAGGACGCTGCCTGCAATCATAGGTCCACTAGGTGTCAATGACAGGCATGTGTACATCACAGCCACACACTCCAGGCACTTCCAAACAGTACAAAAATAAGTTGACAAACTGAAAATCAAATCTACACAAAAAAATCAATGCAAAGTTCAGTTACTGTGAGGAAAGTGGCAACCCATCACCGACAGTGGATGACGACACACTAAGAGACAAGGTATCTTGCTCCATGTCAAGAAAAGGCCATCTACCCTCTGTCCCTCATGGAAGGTGGGTGACACACAGCTGCTGAGGACCTGCCATGCTGTTCGAGGTACTGAGGCGGACATCCCCACTCCCAGATCACAGCAGTCAAGGAGAATGAAGAAATAGAACAAAACCCTGTTTTTAGCCCAGATGCCTGTGGCTTTTCTGCTGCTGTTTAACGAGGCTGCCACTTTGGATCTTGTGTGACTACATCTTTCTGACTTCTTTTACTCTGGAGAAGATAGTTTCCCAGGTCATCTCTATGAATAAACCGGCGGCCATCAGAGATGTTACCAAGCGACCCAGCCTCTGTGGGCCAAAAAATGTTTTGTTTTGTTTTGTTTTGTTTTAAGAAAAAAAAAAAGGAAGTAAACCAGACTGAATCGTTTCTCTGTGGCAGGCCTTGTTCTGCTGAGACGTGTGTGTCTCTCTAAGGAGGTCAGTGGGCTCACCCTACTGATGATGAAACCCTCCACCCTGACAAGTGCCACAGGCAGCAATCATGAGGAAAGCACTGGGGGAAGGCAGTCGCTGAGGCTGCAGTCACGGAAGGTGAAGGAAGGTGAGGGAAGGTGGGGGAAGGTGCCACCGGGGCTGCTGTGGGGGGGTGGCGGGGAGGCAGCCGCTGAGGCTGCTGTCGAGGAAGGTGAGGGAAGGTAGCCGCTGAGGCTGCTGTCGAGGAAGGTGGGGGAAGGTAGCCGCTGAGGCTGCTGTCGAGGAAGGTGGGGGAAGGAGGCTGCGGGGGCTGCTGTGGGTGTTCCTTGAGCCCTAAACAAAAACACAGGGAGCAAATGATCCCACCACGGGGACAAGGCGCCACTCAATTCCTCTCCCTCACTTTTTTTAAAGAGCAGTTACTATATAAACACACTGCTCTTCACCAAAGGTCTGGGCTTTGGGTCTGGGAGTTAAAATTAAGTCTGCTGATAGAAGAAAATGATTTCTCATACATAAAATTACTAATCCTGTGGTGTTTTAGGGACAATTTGTCTCACACCTATATTAGAAAGCAGCAAATATTTCTGTTACTTATCTATTACTTAGAGATGGGGTCTCAGTCTGTGACCCAGGCTGGAGTGCAGTGACACGATCTCGGCTCACTGCAGTTTCAACCTCTGGGGCTCAGGTGATCTTCCCACCTCAGCCTCCTGAGTAGCTTGGACCACAGGAGAGCACCACCACGCCTGGCCAAATATTTCTACTTTGATCTACAAAATACGAAACTCTCTTCAAAGCGCAGATGCTGGTAACGAAAGTGCCTGTTGTTTATCTGACACGCATCAAGTGCAGGCAACCCGGTGGCTGATGAACGTCATCTCGCTGGTCTTCCATGAACCCATGAGGTGAGATGCATCATCGGACACAGGGAAAAGCCTGACACTTAAATGCACAAGGCAGGCCCGTGGGCAGCAGGGCTCATGGTGAGGCGCTTTTGTCATTTTTGGCATCAGTGCTCTCTCATCCTTATCCTTACCTTGCAGCTGCAGCGGCTGGCCCGCTGTGAGCTGCCGGAGCTGGCTGTGTGACAGGGTGAACTTGCTGCCCTGGAACTGCAGTGTCACCGGCGTCTCTGGCTGAGCCACGCGGCTCTGTGGTCCTGTGATGGATGCCAGCTGAGCTATTTTCACTACCTCTCCACCTGTTGAAACGTAGAGGAAAAGGTGAATTCAGATCATTTTGGAAAAAATTTGGGAGTGTCATATTGACAGTCGTTTCTTGTATATAATGACCATCTATCATAAACTGAAGCACCACAGAAATGTTTATCAGGTAGTGTTTTCTACCACTTCTTAAAAATAATTATTTTAATTAAAAAGAGAAAACAAAATGTCAGATTTTAATGGTTAACTTTACTTAACCATAATTGGTTGGGATTTTAGATATCAGATATTGATATTATTAACGAAGCTATTAAGGAACATTTTACTTTTCTACCGAAACAACAAAAATAGCAGAAATCAGCTGGGTGCAGTGGCACATGCCTGTAATCCCAGCACTTTGGGAGGCTGAGGTGGGTGGATCACATGAGGTCAGGAGTTTGAGACCAGCCTGGACAACAGGGTGAAAACCCATCTCTACTAGAAATGCAAAAAAAAAAAAAAAAAAAAAAAAAAAATTAGCTGGGCATGGTGGTGGGCGCCTGTAATCCGAGCTACACACGAGGCTGAGGCAGAAGAATTGCTTGAACCCGGGAGGCAGAGGTTGCAGTGAACTAAGATCAGGCCATTGCACCCCAGTCTGGGCAACAAGAGTGAAACTCCATCTCCAAAAAAAAAAAAAAAGCAGAAATGTATTTGTAATACACTTGGAAACTCACATATGAACCTAAACTTTAGAGAACTTTAAAAATGTGAAAAGTACCTGTCCAATTTAGCTCACAAAGAGAGATTATATCTTTACAAATATAAAAAAATAACTAGCTTCAATTACACCCATAACTCTTCAAAATCTAAGAATGTATTTTTATTTATTTTGTGAGAGACAGGGTCTGGCTGTCACCCAAGCTGGAGGGCAGTAGCAGGATTATAGCTCACTGCAGCCTCAAACTCCTGGGTTCAAGCGATCCTCCCACCTCAGCCTCCCAAGCAGCTGGGCCTACAGGTGTGAGCCACGGTGTCTACAAGATCTAGCAATGCCTCTAGATACATAAAGAAATCACATACATAAATAAAGCTTTAAGATATAAAGCTTCATACTAATTTGAATTAGATGGTAAGCGTCAATCTATAACATTTACTGTTTAAAAAAAAAAAAAGTAAAACTTAGCGTTGCTTAAAACACTTTTTTTGAAAAAACATAACTCAGATGTGGTCATTTGCCCCCAACTCAAAAAGGTACTACCTTCCGGCTACAACTGAACAACAGGTTTAAAGACTTATTTCCCAATGGTTGATACTTGAATCTAAATGTTCTTCCCGAGAAATCCATGCCAGAATTATTAGTGATATGATAAAAAGAATAGTTAGTAAGAGGCTAGAAAAATGTCTAGAGATATCTTGCCCACAGAATAACCGTGAACAAGGAGGGGAAAATGAAAACAGAAGACAGAGATTTGTGCATAGAAGTGTCAATCTCTCAACAATCCTCCTTGTTCCATACACAGGTGAGGACCGACCCACAGGAAAAGCAGTTTTGCTCACTTCACAGATCTCCCAAAGAACAGCTCCTCTGGCAACCACCAACATGACTCTCATCCCACGCAAGACAGTGTCTAGTTTGATGAAGATGTAAAATATGCAACTGCTTTCTCCCTTAGGGCACTTAACTAGGACAATTCCTCTTTATTTTTGGGCAATGGGAGAGAGAGACTTGTAAGGAAAGAGAATTAGTTTGAACTCAAGTGTCTCTGTGCATCACTCCCTCTCCCATCTGCATCTTTCCAGAAAGGCCTCCACATAATTTGGCTATACCAACAACAAAAGGAGTTGAGGTGGCACTTGAGAAATAACATAATACTTTAAGTCAGGATAATTTCCACCACAGAATGAATAGGGTACATGTAAGGTTTGAAAACATACTAATCCCACTGGACACAGCAAAATGTTCTGTATTAAAAAAATTAATAACTGTGTTTTTTAAGTCATAAATTATTACAAGTTATCTTGGTTGAGCAATCCCAAGTTTAAATTTGGTAACAGGCGAGAGACTAAAAAGAGCTAATGTTTTTTAGGAACCTAAAGCTAGTTCACATGACTGGCAAGGAAGCGACCTTCCCAAATGCAGTCGCTGTCACTCTAGGAGCATCTGCTCCCCCAGAGTGCACCTGTGTGGCTGGTGGAACAAGGCCGGGGCTAACACTGGGAAGTGCCGTCCACAGCACCAAAGCAGTGAGTGAGTGCAGCAGAAAAGCAGAGCTGGATGGCGGGGTCAGGAGAGAGAGCACAGACAGGAGAAGGCCGGATGTGGCCTCCACAGAGGCGCTCCCTGCTAGACTCATGCCGGAGGCAGCTGCACTGGTGAGAGGCAGCACCGGGCATGGGGCTGGGGAAAGACAAAGGAGTGGACAGCAAGGCTCCTCCTACATCCCCGTGTTCTTAACACAACTCCTCTGGGGTAGAGAGATGGCAGAAACCTGGAAAGGTGAGGCCACTTACTGGGCAAGCGGGCCTGGGCCTGCGAGGGGAGCACCAGCCTCTGAGGCAGCGCGCTCTGCCCGGCCGCGTGCGAGGGGGCCTGGGGCTGGGGCGGGGGCTGGCCTGGGGTGGAGGCCTGTGCTGTGGTCTGGGCCCGCAGTTTCGCAGGATGGGCCGGGCTAGCGGCTGTGCTGGAGGCCGAGGCGGGCTGGTGTCGTGGAGCACTGGCGGAAGCCTGAGAGGTCTGAAACGGGGCTGCTGCTGCTGCAATCGATAAGGTTTGTTTGTGCAAAGCTGTTAGAGGTTCTTAATAAAATACAATATTTTAAACTGAATTTTAAAGAAATAAAATAAACATTTCACACCGTCTCTCAAATGAGAAGTCCCCTCTTAAGGAAAAAAAGAGGGGCCATATAGTTTACAGGGTGAGAGAAATATAATTTTACTTGTTGATAATTATCTTCACTTCGAGCTACAGTACGCTACGCGGTACATTTCTCAGAGTAAACAGAAACTGTTAGAAGTCAGCCCAACCAAACATTAGTATCAATTAGAAACTATTTCCTAAACACACAAAGAAAACATCAACAGAGCTTCCACTCATATTTCTATAGAGAATGCTGGCAACAATGCAGGTCTGAGCATTTATTTTTAGCTCAGAAAACCTGGATGGACATGGCGTGGAGGGCCCCTTTGGCCAGGTGGTGAAATACTACTTTTAACTCTTTTGATGGCCTTTTCTACTCTACCCTTCCTCAAAAGAATAATTAAGTTCAAGTGACAGCACAAAATACAATATGAGCAGACGTTCTCAGGAGTCTCCTAGACGACTGCACGCACGCACCTCTGTCAACAGAAACAGCCTGCCCAGTGGCTGTGAGCATCAGATCAACACTTATCACCTAGGAGTGAAGCTTCTTCAATAGGGAAAACATCCATTACAAGCCATCAAAAAGTCTAAAACTCATCAAGAACTAAACAAGGCACCTTCAGAAAGCCAGCGGGTGGTGCCTGTTCCCACTCAGGGACAATTACCGCATCCAGAGGCGCGAGAAGAAAGTGCCATGAACTTGTCCCACAAAAACCTCCATAAGGCGGAGAGCAGACAACTACGTGAAGTCTACCTTTTGCCTCCGGATTGGCAGAGAACGTGGCGATGGGCGGCCGTCCTCGAAGCGGGCCCTGTGGAGCAGCAGAGGCCGTGGTGGGGGCTGCCGTCCGGGGCGGGTGAGTGCTGGGGAAAGCCACGGTGCGACCCTCGGGCTTCTGGCCATACTGCACAGGCTGAAACAACCTAGATGCCCATTGGTCCAGGCAAGAAGATACAGAGCATCAGACCACAGAGAGGACAGGCCACCTCATGGAGCCGGGGTTCACCGCTGCCCATAGGAAGCCAGCTCAGGGACCAGCACCCAGAGTGCAGTTTACAGAGGGAAGGGGAAAGATGCCTAAGTACTGCTCTAGGTAAGCTCACCCCGGGCCCGGGCGCAGTGGCTAACAAGACTAAGTACACCAAAGTGGTATGGTACATCCACCCAGATTCCTGGGAATACAAGGGTGAATGCTGTTTTAACTTTCACAATCATATCAATGTA
Organism: Homo sapiens; assembly: GCF_000001405.40. Taxonomy (NCBI): domain Eukaryota; kingdom Metazoa; phylum Chordata; class Mammalia; order Primates; family Hominidae; genus Homo; species Homo sapiens. The sequence continues at coordinate 132,019,747 of NC_000012.12, read as the reverse complement.
GATAGAAAACAACGCATCTATTACAGCACAAGGGCTGAGGGGAGTGAGGAGAAACATCAACTTGACAAAAGTCTGATCAAGCAGCCGTTCAAGTGATGGTTCACTGTTGCCTCAAACTCCCGGCTTCAAGCAATCCTCTTGCCTCAGCCTCTAAGTAGCTAGGAATACAGGTGTGCACCACCACGCCTGGATTTGATTTTTTTTTTTGGAGAGACAGGGTCTCCCAATGTTGCCCAGGCTGGTCTCCAACTCCTGGGCTCAAGCAATCCCGCCAGCTTGGCTTCCCAAAGCACTGGGATTACAGGCATGAGCCACTGTGCCCACTTTAAGCTGGGAACTATATTGGCCATTTTCAAAACCCCTATACAATGTAACAGGCAGAGACGGCCATCAAAAGCCATTTTTAGGCCGGGCGTGTGGTCTCACACCTGTAATTCTACCACTTTGGGGGACCAAGGCAGGAGGGTCCCTTGAGCCCAAGAGTTCAAGACCAGCCTGGCAACACAGGGAGACCTCTGTCTCTATTAAAAACTTTTATAAACTTTTTTGTAAAAAGCCATTTTAAAAAGACAGACTAGCACCCACTGGAATGGGTGCTGTTCATTTAACTGATGGCTGCAGGCTCTCTGAGGAGCAGCCTGCTGGGTCGTGAGTCCTCAAGCTAAGCAGAAACCTCTGGTACTGATGAGGGGACGGTGATCCACTCAAAGTCCCCAGTGAAGCCAAATACAGAAGTGCCAACAAGAAAGACTGCAGAACTCCTGGAATGGCAAGGATCACAAGACTGTCTGCAGAGCTGGCCCCTTCATCTCCAAATACCTATTTCCTTTCCTTTCCTTTCTTTTTAACCCAAGCATAGGATTTTGGATATTTCCAATTGCTAGATTTAGACTATGAGTCATTTATATCTCGTTTTAATCATCTAACGTGTCTGTCCCTCCCAGCCTCATGACACCCGCAAAAGCATCACTTCAGAATCACTCACATGTCACTTGTTAAGACAATGACATCACCGTGGGGGTGGAGTCCTCTGCCTGCCACACTCACGACACATGTGTGGTTCGGCCACACCAGCCTCCACCACACGAGGCACCAGGTCAAATGCAGCCCTGACACCCACCCTACCCTAAAACTGCTGCAAAGACGATCAAGGAGGTTGCTGCTCAGGGAGGCAAGCAGTTGCACTGCACCACACAGCCTAAAAGGCATCTGCAGAGCCAGGCATACCACAGCCAAGGACACCAGCAAGGTCCCAAGAGCAGCAGATAACCTAACTACATTAGCAGCCTTTCTTTTCACCACGCATAGACCTGGGTCAGCTGTGGGGGCCCTGGGAGCCAACCCTCCCCGCTGCCTCTGGGTCGCACGCACCTGCTGGCCTTCAGCTTTGCTGCTGCTGGTCGGGCTGCTGGGGCTGCTGAAGTGGAGATTTCCTCCATGAGTTTCCGCGGTATCTTTTTCTTAGACAGCAACTCTGCCTCGTGACGAGTGATTTTATTTTCTAAGCCGATGAGATCAAACATAGAAAGATCTGCTTCCTAGAGAGAAAAAGAAAAAAAGTCTTGCTGCATGAAGAGGCAAAAAAAGCACCTAAGAATCAAAACTGATTTCTATGGCAGGGCCCTAACGTGGGCATCCAGACGCGCCCCCTCTAACGGCCACTCGGCAAGCAGACCCTCCTCCGTGCCAATACACAGGTGCTGCCACACCCTTGGTGAAGCTCTGCTGATGAGCGTGCATGCTCAGCTACTTCTCACAGCCCACAATCCACACAACGCCAAGAAAGCCTGCCCTCTGCATCTTTCCACTCTGTGAGCCTGTCTCCCTCGGGTAAATTTCCGGAGGTGGAACACTCCGGCAAGGGGTGGCAGGCCATCAGTGCTGCTAGACGGTGCCATGTATCGCGGAGCTGCAATTGCAATTGCAGAAGAGCTGGTTGAGAACCCATTTCCAAGAATGGTTTTATCTATAATGTGCCTAGAAAAGATATCCAACAGTAATTCCGCTTTCTGGATCCTCCACTTACCTTCCAGAAATCTCTCTCCAGTGCCTTCAGGATTAGAGATGCGGACGGATACTCCAGTGGCCCCGCCACGTAGGAAGAGCCTGGGTGCCGGGGCTCGACGAGCCCAGGGTGGTTGCAGATGCGCTGCAGCCGCACAAGGATGCTCAGGACGTTGACAAAGTGCCCGCTCTTCAAGGCCTCCTGAGTGCTGCCCGTGGAGAAAGAAACACGAAGCATTCAATCCAAACGGCACATGGACATAGTCCCACCCTCACCATCGACTGTCCCAACTCCAGAAAGGCAGGCAGGAGCAGATTTTCTAGGTCCGCTTAATGAGTTAGACAGAGTGGCCATTCAAGTCCACATCCCAGGCAGGCCCCTCTGCACTTGTTCGCCATCCCCATTGAGAATGACATCCGCCCCACCAGAGCTGACGGAAAGACAGCCACTCCACTTCATTCACAATCATACCGAGTGCTCTGAAAGAGAAGTGGGGGCATCCAAGGGGGATGAGCAAAGTGAGGGGCAGGGTGAGCGCAGCAGAGTAAAGCCCCTCACACACCCGCTCGGCAGCTCTGACGCCTGGTCCTACACTGGCCCTGCAGGCAGTGAGCGGGGGTAGACGAGGACCCAGGTCCATGCCCTGTGCGGCTTACCACCCAGTGAAGGGGGCAGACAGAAGGACCTACAACGCACACTGGGACCAGGGCTGGGCAGGAAATGGGACCATGGTGGGGAGTAGCTCTCTGGTGTGAGCACAGTGCACCAGGCGGCCTGAGGGAGGAAACCGGGGTGATAGTGACGACAGGTAACTGGTCGGGAGAGAGACTCAGGAAGGAGATGGCAGACTTGTGGGAAGAGGAGGGAGGAGAGAGCAATGGCAAATTTCCAACTCAAACAACTTGGTCGATGGTGGCGCACACCCTAAAACAGGAACACCAGGGAGGGAGCCAGGCTTGGGAAAACACGAGCTCAGTTCTGCCACGCCGGACGTGAGGAGCTCAAGGGTCAGCTCAAGTGCAGGTGACAGAAGCTACCATGACAGCAGTACGCACCACAGAACCCAACCAAGGCCGGGTGCGGTGGCTCATGCCTGCAATCCCAGCACTTTGGGAGGCCAAGGTGGGCGGATCACTAGAGGTCAGGGGTTTGAGACCAGCCTGGCCAACATGGTAAAACCCCGTCTCTACTAAAAATGCAAAAAAAATTAGCCAGGTGTGGTGGCACATGCCTGTAATCCCAGCAACTCGAGAGGCTGAGGCAGGAGAATCACTTGAACCTGGGAGGCAGAGGTTGCAGTGAGCCCAGATCGTGCCACTGCACTCCAGCCTAGGTGACAAGAGCGAGACTCCATCTCAAGAAAAAGGAAAAAAAAGAAAAAAAAAGCAGGAGGGCTCCACAGGAGAGACGGCGCCTGGAGTCCTGAGTCCCCACACAGCTAGGCCTTGATGCGTGAGGAGCACATTGCATGGGGGCTGAGAAATGAGTGGAGACCGAAAAATGGAGACAAGCATCAGGAGAGCTCCTGTGAGCCTGGCTCTAGAGAGCAGCGGTGGGAAGGAAAAGAGGCCAGGGAAGGACTTACATGCACAAGGGCCAGGGCAAATCACATGCTTCAAAAAGAATGGCTGAGACGACGGATGGTTCCGGAGAAGGGATGGAGCTTAAAGCCCATATGAACTGGCTGGTAACAGAAAGGCAACTTGCCCTGGCTAACAGGAACCAGGAGAGGCCGGCACAAGCACAGGGGGGTCTGGGCAGGTAGGGAGTCTGGTCTGGCAGCTCTGGAGCTCGTGGTACAGAAACATGGGTGCCACCCTCACGGCAGCGGGTGTGGCATGGTCCCTGCAAGAGGAGGGGGGAGCTGACCAGGACAGGACGCTCCTGGGCCACCCAAGGATCCCGTCAAGCACCAGACAGCGCCCAAACACTTGATTACCAGGTGCTCCAGGGGGGCGAGGCGTGCGCACACCTAATGCACTAAAGCTTGATTTCACAGGCCCGGAAAGAAAGAGGAAAATGTGCTTGAGGAGTCCAAGCGCTCTCCTGCCATTAACCCAGGGAGCAGATGCCACAAAGCTGGCCTAAGACCAGCAGAATAAGACGTGCTTTCCCCCAACAGGTCCCAGGGCCACCAGCCTCTCACACCTCAGACGACACTGCAACCCTGAAGGCAAACCACCATATTGTGTGGGCACAACCACAGAAGGGCAATGGGTCGGACTCCCTAAGACGGTCTCTGTACGCAGGGCGTGGTCAACGTGACTTCCCTGATAGGCTGGCGCTCAAAACCTGCATAAAGTTATGAGTCCTCTCCACTCAAATGACAACTAGTATGTTACCAAAGCTGACATAGGCTGATTTCAGTATTCTACTGAAAAATCTGACACCAGAGCTTCAGCAACATGGCAAAGCGGTTTCTGTCCACACATACAAAGTTTCTACAATGCTTGGAGAGTCTCGCCACTAATGGTGTGGAATGAAGTGCTGCTCCACTGCTCCGCCTCTTGGAGAAAGGACGGTTGTACTGTGTCATTTGTGGAGGACTGAGAAATTCCACAGTCATCATGCACACTTACCTTCCCTCCTGAAATCTCCACTCACCAGGATTAAGCATGCTGCATTCACAGGCACCTGCCTCTCGAGGGTGCCCAGGCTCCACATGCGCATGCACAGAACCCTGGCGAGCCCATGAGTGCACGCCCTCTGGCTGCAGAGCAGAGGATGAGGCACAGAGAGGGAGACCCAGAGCAGAGGATGAGGCACAGAGAAGGAGACCCAGAGCAGAGGATGAGGCACAGAGAGGGAGACCCAGGACGGGGGGTGGGGTGTGGCTAGCATGGCCTCACCCCTAGTCTCCACAAACCACAGTCTGCTGTGCCACGGCCAGAGTGCACTCATACGATCACCTGGCGTCTGCTCCCGCCACAGCACCTCATCAGGGTCCCCATGTCATCTCCCCACAAGGAGGGGAGCACATCAGCACGTGGCTGGGGGAAGAGTGGGGTCACCTGATCCAGTGTGTCTGACTGTGCCTGTGAGGGACGCTGAGGCTGAGGTGGCACGGGGTAGGGGGTAACCCTGCAGCAAAGCCTCATGGCCACACCCCCAGCAGAGAGTGAGGTGTGATGACTAAGCACAGATAAATTTCAAATCCTCCAAAACTTGATTTCCAGGGTTTTTTGTGTTTTTTTCATCTAAACTCAGGAAAATGGAAAGCCTGACAGACCAAAACCATGCACATCTGAAGACCTCGGAGAGGGTCAAAGGGGGCCCCACACTCTGTGTCAACTCAAAGGGCACAGCTTCTGGCACCAGCACGTCCCTGCCAGACAGAGGCACAGCGGCTGGCCATCACATGGTGTGCATTGCGTGGCGCATTCCACCCCATGCAACGCACGACTCATTGCGCCACAGACACCAGCGTGCCACCTCCGGTGGGCCACAGCCGACCCAAGTCCTGGGGCCTCCAGCTGGCTGTGGGAAGGCGAGCTGCTCAATCACCATCCCTCCCGGATGAATGGAAACTAAAATTCACAGAATTCTCTGGGCAACACAGGGAGCAGCACCAGGACACCACCCTACACGTGGGCAGCTACACAGGAGTGGGGCTTCTGAGACGGGAAGTGCAGCAGGACCAGCATGAGCCTGAAACAGCTGGAAACACCTGAGGCTGCAGAGCCTGCTGCCCCCAGGAGGGTGCCTCGGTCTCCAGCTCCAGACACCCAATCCTTGCGGAAAGGAGCTTTCTGCTGAGGCCACAGAAAGGGCCGTTTTCCCTCACAGGCAGGGACAGCAAAGGGGGCACATGCCCAGAGCCCACACTCACCCAGGTTGCAGGATAACGTCCTCGTATAAGGCTTTTTGTCGGTTAGAAAGGCGACACTTCAAAACATGCTCATATTTCTTTGTTAGTTGCTTTTCCACATCTCTCTTAGTTCTCCTCAAAATAAATGGCTGTGTCACCTGAAAATAAAAACTGTTTACTGTTTTCTTTCCAAAAATGCTGCTGTAACACGTTTATAACAAGGCATACGCATGTTTAATTAATTAACTGAAATGGCAGAACCCAACCTACCCTGTGTAACCTTATGACCACTTTATGGTAGTAATCCTGGCTCTCTTCACTGGGGGCCCTCAGAGGGGAGCTCAGGTAGGGCCTGGAGATCCCTGGGACCAGGAAGTGCACCATGGTCCAGAGCTCCAGGAAGGTATTGTGCAGCGGCGAGTCGATCAGAAGCAGACGTTGTTGGCTGCAAACAGGACAAGAGACAACACTGGAGTTCTACAGCCACGGGGCTGGCTGCAGCAGCATCTTCTCTGACAATGTGTGAGAAAAGGGACAGTAATTTGACACCGCAAATGTCAACGTGCACATGCCTGAAAAGGGGGGCTGCACTGACCCAGCTCTGGGGCTCTCTGGCCCATGTGCTGGGATGAAGATGAAAAGCAATTCTCTAGCTCAAAGGCCATTGTTTGTGTCTGCAATTATGCAGATTTCTTCAAGAGAATCTTCTACATCAACAGCAAAGAACACTCAATGACAAGCGCGTAACACACAGACCTCTGCAGGGTGAAAACCGCTTCCCAGTGCCTCTCGGTCATGCCCTTCACGCGCTGCATCTCATCAATGACCAGGCACTTCCAGCGCACTCGTGTGAAGGCGGTGAGGCCCCGGAAGAACTGAGTGTAGGACGTGATGCAGACGTGGAAGCTGTTGGGTTCGGCCCACTCCTGCAGCACAGAGAGGACAGCTCAGTGCCTTCACACTCCACTGTCTTTCAAAATCACCTTGAGGACACACACTTCCCAAAGCTTGCCACCCAGTGACTCCGTTCCCACCTATAATTTTACTTGCTTTTTTAAATAACTTGCTATTACCGCACAGAAAACGGCTGTGTTTATGTTTTTATCTCTACCTCTAGGGGTCTAAAGCAGTTTCGTTGACAAATTAAGAAGCTATTTTGCAGGCGCTGACAATTACCATTTGGAAAATACTGAGATTATGGCAGAGGATCCTGAAGCAGGGCGAGCTCTTCTAGTATCTAATCAAAACAAGGGGAAGTGTGCTCAGAAAAATAAGAGATGTCAACATCTGTATTGCAACTGACTGCATTATACACTTTTTAAAAACAAACTAAAAGCCAGACATAGTACTATGGCTTGAATGTGTTCCCTCCAAAACTCATGTTGAAATCTAATGCCCATGGTGGTAGTATTAAGAAGTGGAGACTTCCCTGCTCTCAAGGATGAACTTGTGCAGTATGAAAGGGCTGGAGGGAACCAGCTTGGACCCTTTTGCCCTTCCATCCCTTCCGCCATGTCCCCTCCAAAATGTGCAGCAGCAAGGCCCCATCTGGGAAGCGGAAACCAGGCCCTCACCAGACACTAAATCTGCTGGCATCTGGATCTTGGACTTCACAGCCTCCAGAACTGTGAGAAATAAATTTCTATACTTACAAATTACCCAGTCTGTGGTATTTTGCAATAGCACCAAAAACAGACTACAATAGTAAAAAAGAAAATACTACTGAAAGCTCACTTTTTCAGTAAACACTACTCAACACAATGATGTCTAATGGTCCAAAACGTTCTACTCAATGGAAAACTGTGATGAATCTACCTTCAGTGACCTAGTACTAGAAACTATAGGGCAGACAAAAATCTTTAATAAGTTAAAATTTGTTCCAGAAACGTTATCTATTAGGCATGTTGTGGAAATGGTTCTATGGGTTTTAAATTCAGAGCTGGGAGCACCTAGCTTCTCCTCTGTGCCTGTGGAAGCCAGCAGGGCCTCCAGGGGGAAAGTGTTGCACTGTCCCAGAGAATACCATTTTCGGAGCAAACTGCCCCACTTTCTGGGCAGTGACACTGAGATCTGTGCACACCTGGGCCTGCGAGTGCGTGGCCCTCCTCACAAGGAATGGCCAGGCCGATGCGGTATTGTCTATGCTTTCGAGGGGAACAACATAAAGGTCTGTTAACTCATGAATGAGTGATCTTTAATAATTCCATGAATAAGCATGTCTTCACATTTTTTAATGTGTCTTTTATAAAAATTAACATGGCTTTCTGTTTAGCTTTATTTTATGTTTAAAAAAAAAATACCTGTCTCTTTGCTTTGAGTTCTCTGTGGCTGCCAATATATGAGAGGATTTTGAGTCCGGGACACCAACGTTTCAATTCAAGCTCCCACTTGAGTATGTTACAACTTCTCACAACAACAAGATGGGGGCCCCAATTACCTACAAAGCAAAAAACAGAATTTTCCACGTCAAAGTATCTGTCATGTCCAGGCACCTAGCACTGTGTCTGACCAGAGACGCTTCATCAGTATGAGTATGTGTCACATGAGCCATCGCACGACTGAGGCAGACTTGGGGGGGAACAAGTGCATTCATCTGGAGCCAGCACACTGCCCAGAAGCTGCTCCTTGGCCCCCAGGGCGCTGCTGCACAAGCACCAAGCCTGCACCAGAGGAGGCCTTAGTAGACACACATTGAACGAGCAGTCCCAAGAAGACACTAGTGTTCATTCAAACCACAGAAAACCCCTCCAAGATCCCAGGGGAAACGAGTAACACTCAGAAAGTGGACTCACAGACTAAGAGAGCCCCAGACCCTGCTCAAGTCCTTCCCACAAGCCAGGCACCCACACAGCAGGCGTCTAAACTGTGTTTTGTTAGCCAAGGGCTTGTGTCCATCGCTGCTTCCCAAGCTTTAGTCAGGGCACATCCAAACCATCCTAAAATATGTTGTTTCAAATTTCATTCTTCAGAAAACTAAGATTTTGTTTTTTTTAAGATGGAGTGTTGCTCTTGTCACCCAGGCTGGAGTCCAACGGCACAATCTCGGCTCACTGCAACCTCTGCCTCCCAGGTTCAAGCGATTCTCCTGCCTCAGCCTCCTGTGTAGCTGGGATTACAGGCACACGCCATCATGCCCAGCTAATTTTTGTATTTTTAGTAGAGACGGGGTGTCACCATGTTGGCCAGGCTGGTCTCAAACTCCTGACCTCAGGTGACCCGCCTACCTCGGCCTCCCAACGTGCTGGGATTAGAGGCATGAGCCACCAAGCCTGGCGAGAAAACTAAGGTTTTTAAAGATTATTAGAGGAATACATACAAATTTCAACTTCTGTGCTATAAATGTAACATAAACCAAGTTACAAGACAGACTTAGCAGACTTTAAACAAATATTTACAACACATCCATCTATGGCCATTACTGCTAATATGCAAAGCATTCCTGCTGATCCTGGAAAAGAACCACCCAATAGAAAATAAACAAAGGATATGAACAGAAATGTCACAAAGAAAAAAATATAACAGGACAATAAACTCTTTAAAAGACACAACCGGCTGCATGCAGTGGCTCACACCTGTAATCACAACACTTTCAGAGGCTGAGGGAGGCAGATCAGGAGGTCAGGAGTTCAAGACCGGCCTGACCAATATGGTGAAACCCTGTCTCTACTAAAAATACAAAAATTAGCTGGGCGTGGTGGCGTGTGCCTGTAATCCCAGCTACTCAGGAGGCTGAGGAAGGAGAATCACTTGAACCCGGAGGCAGAGGTTGCAGTGAGCTGAGATCACGCCACTGCAATCCATCCAGCCTGGGCAACAGAGCAAAACTCCGTCTCAAAAAAAAAAAAAAAAGACACAACCTCAGAGTAGGTAAACACAAATCAAATCCAGATGATATTTTAACACCCAGTGAAAAACAAGATTTAAAAAATAAATAAATAAAAAAGAAAAGCTGGCTAGGCACGGTGGCTCACAGCTGTAATCTCTCTAATCCCAGCACTTTGGGAAGCCAAGGCAGGAGGATCTTTTGAGGCCAGGAGTTCGAGATCAGCCAGGGTAACATAGTAAGACCTCATCTCTCCAAAAAAAAAAAAAAAAAAAAAAAAATTAGCCAGGCGTGGTGGCATACACCTGTATTCCCAGCTATTTGGGAAGCTGAGGCAGGAGGGTTGATCACTGGAGCCCAGGAGGCTGAGGCTGCAGTGAGCCATGATCACACCACTGCTCTCTAGCCTGAGCAGACACCTGTACCAACACCTGCACTGATGCAGACCACACACTAAGGCAAAGCCACATCAGCTCCCAGGGCCTGATAGGCCTCTATCGTGGCTGACCGCAATCTTTCTGTTGTCATCCCCCACCGTCCCCTCACACCCTCTTACCCTCTCACCCTCACACTGGCCTCGGTGCTGTTCCTGGACACCAGCTGCACTTGCAGCCCCCACCCCCACTGCCCCATCTCCCTGAGACCTTGCTCCAGCTGGCCAGGCTCCTGTCACTATGCTGGGTCATTAGCCCATTTCAAGGTTCATCTGTACCAGTGTGGGGTTCCTGAAAGCAGGGCTGCAACCTCAGGACCTAGAAAAGTGCCTGGGGTCTGTGACAGTCATCAGGTAAGGAGCAGATGAATGAACGCTGACTGATTCACTCATCTGTTCAACTGACAAAACACAATCCCCTAGTTTTAGAAGCATAGGCTACTTCCAGGCTGGGCACGATGGCTCATGCCTGTAATCCCACCACTTTGGGCAGCCAAGGCAGGCAGATCTCTTGAGCCCAGGAGTTCAAGACCAACCTGGCAACATGGCAAAACCCTATCTCTGCCAAAAATATAAAACTTAGCCAGTTTTTTGTTCAGTTACAGTGATCCTCCCACCTCAGCCTCCTAAGTAGCTCCTTAGGAGGCTGAGGTGGGAGGATCACTTGCACCTGGGAAGTCAGGGCTGTAGTGAGCCCTGATCATGCCACTGCACTCCAACCTGGGCAACAGCTCCTAAAAAAAAAAAAAAAAAAAAAAAGGCTGGGCACGGTGTCTCACGCCTGTAATCCCAGCACTTTGGGAGGCTGAGGTGGGTGGATCACTTGAGCTCAGGAGTTCCAGACCAGCCTGGGCAACATAATGAAACCCTGTCTCTACCAAAAATACAAAAAAATTAGCCAGGCATAGTGACAAGCGTCTGTAGTCCCAGCTACTTGGGAGGCTGAGGCAGGAGGATCGCCTTGATCCTCCTGCCCAGGAGGCCTCAAGCGATCCTCTTGAGCCCAGGAGACGGAACGTGCAGTGAGCCAAGGGTGCACCAGTGCACTCTGGCCTGGGTGAAAGAGCAAGACTCTGTCTCAAAAAAAAAAAAAATGTATAGGCTACTTCCAATATTTTACTATTGTAACAGTGAACACTCTTTTAACCCAAATAATAAAGTAGCAAGGCAAGGTAGCTTTTCCATCTTGAATTAACTATGCATATGAATGTATGCTATAGCACTACATCTAAACTGTGTGACACGGGCCAAAGACAGAAACAAATAATGGAAGAAAATATGAAGCTCAGAAGTTGATCTGCTTATGCTTAAAAACTTATCATGAGATGCACCGAGTTTTTCAAAACAGAAGGCAAGGAAGACGTATTCAACAACAGTGCTGTGGCAAACTATGCAAACAGCTTAGAAGGGAACTGTTAAGAAGAACCCTCAGGCCGGGTGCGGTGGCTCACGCCTGTAATCCCAGCATTTTGGAAGGTCAAGGCAGGCGGATCACCTGAGGTTGGGAGTTCGAGACCAGCCTGACCAACATGGAGAAACCCCATCTCTACTAAAAATACAAAATTAGCTGGGTGTGGTGGCGCATGCCTATAATCCCAGCTACTTGGGAGGCTGAGGCTGGAGAATCGCTTGAACCCAGGAGGCGGAGGTTGCAGTGAGCCAAGATCGTGCCATTACACCTCCAGCCTGGGCAACAAGAGTGAAACTCCATCTCAAAAAAAAAAAGAACCCTCGCTGGAGGTGAAGGGACCCTCAGCCCTGCCTCTCTCTCCTTAAGCTACTTGGACTGAGACCCCCACCACAAGCCCACTGTGTTCCATTTCTTTCCACACAGCCTTCAGTCAGAGCACCCATGGGGTCATCGCTTCCCTAAGCTGACCCTCCTAATTTAAACGTGTCCAGCTTTACGTTCAAAGCTCAAATGTAAAGACAAGGCCAAATCCCCTCTTCTCTGCAGCAATAGCAAAGCCTACTTTAAGTCTGGAACATATAGTGGGAACCACATTCCAAGATGTTTACTGAACACTTCTCTTACAAGAGCAAGAACAGTGAAACCTTGTCCTGTGTTAGAGACACAAGTCACACCTTCCTCTGCAGCTAGGCACAGAGCAGGAGACTAGGGTGGGCACTTGACCCAAAAGCCAAGAGAGGAAGGGGAGTGAACAAGGAGCTGACTCTAAAGACTGGAAAGGAGGCCAGAGGGCCTACACAAGCTGTGTACCAGCTAGAAGTGTCAGGAGGGTGAAGAGCCAGTTGGGGCTGCCATGCAGAGACTGAGCCCACACAGTGTACCCAGGCCCATTCCCTAAGGAACCTGAGCAGTGGATCAGAAACGCTGCCCCATTGACAGGTGAAATCCAGCAAGAGGGACGAGAGGAGGCATGGACATGATAACATGAAAAGGATACAGTGAGCCAAGATGCATGCCACAAACCACCCCACACGGCTGAGAGCCCAACGGCGGGTTCATGCCAGTCTAGAAGCAGCATGGGAAGTGGACCACCTGCTCTGCTGCCCACACACTGCACAGTGACCTGACCCTGGAGTCACAAGGTTCAGTCATAGCCTGACGAGTCTCTGTATTTTATTAGATTTTCACTAATTGTTACTGGATGTTAACTGTGAACCAGTTTTTTATTCATTCATAAAATGAATACTTCTGAGCCTCAATTTGCTCAGGTCAACAGATAGGAGCAAAGAAGTAGATAAGATAGCCAAGTCCCCACACTCCCATCAAACACACTGGCCTATAGGTAAGTCCTAGCAAATAGGTATTGTTAAAAAAACTAGCAAACTCTTACCTTCGTTACAAGCTAGGTGGGCAAAAAAAGCAATGATCTGCACTGTTTTACCCAGCCCAGCTTCATCTGCCAATATGCCATTGAGATTCTTCCTGTAAAGTTTGGCCAGCCAGTCCAGGCCAATCTTCTGATAATCTCTGAGAGCCCCATACAACAAAGATGGAGCATTAAACTTGACCTGCAGTGATGAACAAATAAAAGAATGACAGCTCGTCAAAATAATCACCCAAACTTTTTCTCAAAACTGAAATCAACAGTCACATGATAAACCAATTAGAAAGCCACAAAAATGATCTACAGAAAACAGGAAGAGGAAGAATTGCTTCTTTTGGAGATCGAGTCTCGCTAGGTCACCCAAGCTGGTCTTGAACGCCTGAACATCTGGCCTTAAGCAATCCTCTTGCCTCACCCTCCTGAGTAGCTGGGACTACAGGCACATGAAGAATTGCTTTTTCTGACAACTCTGCAGTTGGGATAGACCATTTCACTGGGAAGAGGAAAAGCTTTTCTCATGGCTAAGCTATGTGCTCTGTCTCTCAAAGGCCCATCCCACACTTGAAAGCTTAGCGCCTCACCGAGGTTGTGACCCGAGCACTGCCCTTCGGCAGGATGGCTTCAGCCACCGCAGTGACGTCCGCAATGTCCTTGGCGTTTGGCTTCCCGATATTCATCCTCTCGGCAGCTTTGAACTGATCCATGATGAAAAGCGAGTCGATGAGAACCAAGTCCTTGCGACTCTCCCTGTCGCCTGGACAGTCATCTGCATCTGTAACGACAATAAAACAGAGAAGTGAGGGCCACTGAGAAGGCTTTATAAATCTAAACCTTTTTTTAAAACAGGAAAAAGTTTATAGAATCCAACTACTTTAAATACTGAATTAGGCAATAATTTTTTATTTGTAATCCAAAATATCTAACAATGCTACCTGGATAAATGGGAGAGAACTCTCATGAAACTATCAAACCAAGGACCATTCTGGAAAGCCCTCCAAGAGTATAATTTGCCCCAAATAGTCTGGCATTTTGGAAAATGTCTCCATAGCAATTAGGAGCTGGTATCACAGAGAGATACATGTAGGTGTCTCAGGGTTTAGGGATCTCCCGTCTATCACCAAGAAAGAAAAAAGCAGAACCCTTTCCCAAATGTGGGAAACCGGGAGGAGACCAAACCCGCCACTCCTTCCTCTGGTCCTGCTGGCAGCGTGGGGTCTGGTAAGGCCTGACCTCCCCAAGGCTCCTGTGGGCCACTCCCCAACTCGCATGCAGGTGTCTAACTGTCCCAACAACTGGAATGAGAGCAGGAAAGGCAGACCTTTTCTGGTATGCTCTGTGCATCTGTTTAGAAAGTCTAATACCAAGTAAAATAAACTACTCAAAACTGGTGTGTTGAACAAACACAGCACAGCCTGAATAAATATATCTAGGTCCATAAAACAATGATGTTTATAAATCTAGAGAAAAATATTTTTACATCCTTCACAACATGATCAAGTGCCCCGATAACTGTGCCAGGTTAATAAATTAAAAGCACGGAATTTAATAAAATTCTATTCAATATAAAGATACTTATTAAATATTTCTAATTTTTTATTTTATCAAACTAAAAGAAATTTTCTAAATCTTATTTTAAGTCTTTGTAAGTACTCCGGCTTCTGCTTTTAACCCTGAATTCTTCCAAAGGCTGGGAGCGCACCTTCCTCTCCGCTTGTGTCCTCCCCATCAGGCTTCGGCCGGGGCCACTGAGAACTCGGCAGGAAGGCGCCTTCGTACAGCTTCATCAGGTCCAGGAGGGGCAGCTCAGCTGCAGAGGGTTGCGGGCAGAAGGGCTGTTACTTTATAACAACAACTGTAATTTAAATTGGGAAGGAGCAGCAGCCAGGAGAACCACGGTAAGAAGGGCAAGGGGCTCCCTCTCACATGTATTCCTTTTTCCAGCTTTAGATCACTCCTTGGAAAAAGATTATATTGTCTAAAAGCACACTTGTTTTTTCTAAAAACTAAAATGGTTGCCCATTACTGATAAAAGGTGTAAAATATTTTGTTGGGGGATGCAAGGGGAATGATGAGAAATTACTTAGTAGGTGCAACACACATTTGGGTCATGACATACCAGAGACCCAGACTTCACCACTACACAGTACAGCCAGGAAACAGCACTGTACTTGCACCCCTGAAATTTATGCAAATTTTTAAAAGTATAAAATATTTTCTCTATAAAGATGAGAATCTTTGAAAGAAACTCAATTGTATTCACAAAAGATTTAAAATATCTGAAATAATCTAAATGAACAGTAACAGTATAGACTAATAAATAAAAATGTAAAAAGTGAACACCATTGATAGGAAATAACTGATGAAGATGATATATAAAAATACAAAATATCAAATGAAGAAACAAAAAGCAAAAATGTTAAAAAGTATAATAAAACATAATTAAGCTTTTTTTATAAAACACTCACCCTAATTGCTTAAAAAAAAATACCACACATTAATTAAATCCCCAATAACAGTGGGCAAAGGATATGAAGCTGTTACATACATAAAAGTGTAAAGGGCAATAAAATGTTTTTTCATTAATCATCCCTGGAAATCAGTGCACAATTTGTTAAGTACCAAATTATCAACCACCTTAAAATCATAACACTGGGAAATTATTATGAATTAGATACTCCCACATGCTGCTGATAATGGCATAAACTGGCTGGATTTTTCTGGAAATCAACACGGAAAGCTGAAGGGCTTTGGAATCCAATGCCCTCAACCTCATCATTTCCCCTTTTAGTGAGTCTATCCAGAGGAATGACAGAAATGTGAACCCAGATTTCTGTTCAAAGAATGTTCACACAGTGGTAGATCTAACAGGGGAAAACCCTTTAGTTGGGCTGTGTACTTGTGATATGTGAGCTTGTTTGCATCTGTATTTTATGTCAAAGACTGTTGAGCCAAAACAACAAATGCCATGGACAAGCACCCTACAAGGACCATGTTAAAGGCACTGTCCACTTGGGACTAGCAAAACACTTTTTGAATTCATTTGCTCAGGATGTTAAATATTTGCCACACTGGCTTGATGGACATAGACCTAATGGAGCCCAGTGAAAGTAAGTGTTGGCTGTGGAATTCAGGTGGTGTGTCCATGATGTTCCTAACAAGGTTCTTCACCTTTCCTGTCTGTCTGATGCTTCCAGAGCGAAATGCTGGGATGCACCACTACAGCATATGATGCTATATGTAAGTAGGAAAAACAAGCCAAACCACTGGAAACTTCCAGTAAGAAGATAATTCTGTAAGGTGTCTCAGAACAAACAATACACAGAAATCAGCCTCCACATATGGAAATGAGTTAGAAAATGAAATCGAAGAAAAAAAAACCTGTTTAGACAGAAAATTAAATACAGTCGTCCCTCAGTATCCCTGAGAAGGTGGTTCCAAGGCCCCTTTCGATACCAAAATCCAAGGATGCTCAAGTCCCTTATATAAAGTAATGTATATTTGCACGTAACCTATACACATCCTCTCATATATTTTAAATAATCTCTAGGTTACTTATAATACCTAATACAATGTGAATGCTATGTAAATAGTTGTTACACATTTTTTTGGTATCTTTTTTGTAATTGTTGTACTGTTATTTTGGCTTATTTGGTTTGGGGGGTTTTTTTGGTTGGCTGTTTTTTTTTTTTTTAATATTTCTTTTAGAGATGGGGTCTTGCTATGTTGCCCAGGCTGAACTTGAACTCCTGGGCTCAAGTGACCATCCTGCCTCAGTCTCCCAAGCAGCCAGGATTACAGGTGTGAGCCACCACACCCAGCTGTGTTCTTATTTTTTACTGTTTTGCTTTGTTTTGTTTTTGGTAAATATTTTCTATCTGTAGTTGATCAAATTCATGGATTTGAAACCCATGGACATGAAGAGCTAAATATACTTAGAATTAAACTTTCAAAAATTCCACATCTCTGTGAAGAAAGCTCTAAGAGGTTCCTGAAGACCATGAAGAAGCCTTGACCCAATGAGAGGCTCTGCTCATGGATTCAGCTCGACACCATAAAGACAATGGGATCCCCAGGAACCCACCTCCTGGTGTTCACTCCTGGTCTCTCCCACACTGACCTGGCCTGACCGGTGTGACCACCATATGTGAGAATGACCGTAGGTGACTTCCAAGACTCAGCTACAAAAGATACTACAGTGTCTATCCTGCTCCCTCATGGATATTTGCTCTCGGACACCAGCCCCAGGTCAGGAGGACACTCAGCCTGCCCTCAGCATGCAACCAGAGCCCATCAGCTGGCAGAATGAACCAGCCTGGAATGGCATCCTCCAGCCTGCTACATCAAGCCTTCTGAAAACCATCTTCACAGGAGACCTGTGCCACAACCACCCAGCAAGGCTGCTCCCAAACTCTGCCCCACAGAGTATACAGCGCTAATTTAATAGGATATCTAGTAAGTCAAGAATGCGCACCATAATCAGATAGCCCCTACAACAAGAATACAGAAAGCTAACAGAGAAGAGGAAATGAAATAATTTGTAAATACTTGCCTGATGCTTTAACCATAAAGAGATTGACTAAAGAACAGGTGAGAAAATACAAGATAAATTTTAAAATTAGGATAGATCTAGGCCCAATTATTAATAGAACAGGCTTAAATTTAATACAAATGTACTAAACACTCCAATTTAGAGACATAGGGACATTAGAATAAACTGTAGGGCAGAGAAGACCAACTATATGCTGTTTACAAGAGACATGCTTTACAAAAGAACACAGATCAGAAGTTAACAGAAACTCTCTCTAGAGGAAACTCCTTCACTGTCAGGCCTAAAGTAACTTCCACAATGAAGTTCCAATATGTGGGCGGCAAGCCATCCAGGTGCCGAGGCAAGAGACCGAGGGCACGAGCTGTTCCAGTGTAATAAAATATATAAAACAACAAGAGTTATACTAGATCTAGATCATAGACATGATTATATACGAATATCATTAATCACTAGTTTGTAGCAATTACTCTTTATTCCAATATTATAATAATCCTCGCTCTATAATCATAACCTAGGAAAAGCCAGCCCATACAGAGATAGGAGCTGAGGAGACATAGTGAGGAGTGACCAGAAGACAAGAGTGCGAGCCTTCTGTTATGCCCGGACAGGGCCACCAGAGGGCTCCTGGGTCTAGCGGTAACGCCAGGATCTGGGAAGACGCCTGTTGTAGCCTCAGTGTCAAGGAAAAACACCTGCTACTTAGCGGACCGGGAAAGGGAGTCTCCCTTTCCTTGTGGGGAGTTTAGAGAAGACTCTACTCCTCCACCTCTTGTGGAGGCCCTGACATCAGTCAGGCCCACGCACAGTTATCCGGAGGCCTAACCGTCTCCCTGTGATGCTGTGCTTCAGTGGTCACACTCCTAGTCTGCTTTCATGTTCCATCCTGTACACGTGGCTCTGCCTTTTAGATAACAGTAGCAAAATTAGTGAAAGTACTAAAAGTCTCTGATATGCAGAAATAATGGCGTAAGCTGTCTCTCTCTCTCTGCCTCGGCTGCCAGGCAGGGGAGGGCCCCCTGTCCAGTGGACACGTAACCCACGTGACCCTACCTATCATTGGAGATGACTCACACTATTTACCCTGCCCCTTTTGCTTTGTATCCAATAAATAATAGCGCAGCCAGACATTCGGGGCCACTACCAGTCTCCGCGTCTTGGTGGGAGTGGTCCCCTGGGCCCAGCTGTCTTTTCTTTTATCTCTTTGTCTCGTGTCTTTATTTCCACAATCTCTCGTCTCCACACACGGTGGGAAGAAACCCACCGACCCTGTGGGGCTGGTCCCTACACCAATAAATTGTCAAAAATCACAAAGTACGCTAGGAAACAATGTACCATCAGCAGAAACCAGGATTCATAAACGACAGCAGAATCAGACCTGCAAAAACATCACCCATGCAATTATTAGGCAGAGATTATAAAATTTCATATTTGAAGAAATAAAAGAGATGACTGAAAGTCTGAATACAGAGCAAGAGATAATTTTAAAATTTCATGTAGGTTTTCTAAAAAACCATTGGGAATGTCTTAAAACAAACTGGTAACTGGAATTTAACACTTAATCAATGGGTTAACAAAAGACTAGGAAGAGCTTAAAAGAGAATTCATAAAATAGAACACAGATGTGATAAAATTATCTAGAATCAAGTAAAACTGATGACGTAATAGGATAACAATTCTAAACCTATATATGCACATACTAACATAGTCTCAAAATACATAAAATGAAAACTGACAGAAACTTAAGGAGAAATAGGTACTCATTATCATAATGGAACATTTTAACATACTTCTCTCAGTAATTGATAGAGCAAGAAGACAAAAATCAGTAAGGATAAGAACTGGATAATGCAATCAACAAGTTCTACCTGGTGGACTGAGAGAGAGAATTGTACCATAACCTGATGAATGCATGTTGTTTTAAAGCATGTATGGAATGTTTATAAACTGGTCCATTCAAAACCTACCTCAACAAAATCCAGGTCAGTGAGAATCCCATACATCTTCTGTCTGATCAAAATGCAATTAATGTAGAATAATAATAAAAATATATATTGAAAACCCTGTATTGTTTGGAAATTAAGAAACATCCTTCTAAATAACTCATGGGTCAATAAAATATATATACAGGGGAAATCAGAAAATATTTAAAACTGAATAATAAATATGATATTCAGCTAAAGCAGTATTACGGAAAAATTCAGACCCTTAAATGTTTATATTAATGAGCTGATGAAAATTAGGAAGCTAGTCATCCAAGTTAAAAACTCAGAAAAAGATGTTTTTAAAAAAGAAATACTACGAGCAGAAACAAAACAGAAAACAATATACAGGCGCCAGATTAAAAAAAAAAAAAAAGAATCTGACAAACTTTTGACAAGACTATCAAGAAAACAGGCATAAATACACAGTATTAGGAGAAAGAAGGGACATACATACAAACACAGCCAAGATCGGAAACACTGTAAGGAGAAATTATTGACAATGTATGCCAATAAATTTTAAAATGTAGATGAAATAAAGAAATTCCTAGAAAATTTGACTATCATAATTGACTATGAAGAAAAGAAAAAGTCATATTCCTCAATTTAATGTATGAGGGCCAGGCACGGTGGCTCAGCCTGTAACCCCAGCACTTTGGGAGGCTCAGGTGGGCAGATCACCTGAGGTCAGGAGTTGGAGACCAGCCTGGGCAACACGGTAAAACCCTATCTCTACTAAAAATATAAAAAATAGCCAGGCATGGTGGCTGGTGCCTATAATCCCAGCTACTCAGGAGGCTGAGGCAGGAGAATCGCTTGAACCCAGGAGGCGGAGGTTGCAGTGAGCTGAGATCGTGCCACTGCACTCCAGCCTGGGCGACAGAGCAAGACTGTCAAAACAAACAAACAAAGCATGCAATACCCACCTACAACATAAACACTGAAGAATAGATACAAACTTCACTAATCTTATAAAAATATCTACAAGAACCCTATACACTATGTCCATTTATGAAACATTAAAGGTATCATCATAGTCATCCTGAGAGCAGCAGTGAAGAGCACACCGTAGGACACGTCAGGCCAAGGCTTCCACGCACTGCAAATCCTCAGAAGAACACTGGTTATCCCATTTACAACTGAGAAAAACACCACGGAGAGCTCAGACAACCTGACCGAGGCCGTGGGGTCAGTAGGCAACAAACATTAGGTTTGAACCATGCAGTTATGACTCAAAACTCTAATAATCTGCCTTTCTACTGAAAGTGCTCTCTTTCAAAGCAAGAACAAGCCAATGTTGTCCACCACTAGCACGAACTCAACACTTTACTGAAAGTCCTACCTAGCACAAAACGGCAAGAAAAAGTAGTATAAAAGGAACAAGGATTATAAAGGAAAAACTCTTCAGAGAAGTATACAAAGACTTTGTATACAAGACTGTATACAAAGACTTTGTATACAAGACTGTATACAAAGTCTTTGTATACAAGACTGTATACAAAGTCTTTGTATACAAGACTGTATACAAAGTCTTTGTATACAAGACTGTATACAAAGTCTTTGTATACAAGACTGTATACAAAGTCTTTGTATACAAGACTGTATACAAAGTCTTTGTATACAAGACTGTATACAAAGTCTTTGTATACAAGACTGTATACAAAGTCTTTGTATACAAGACTGTATACAAAGTCTTTGTATACAAGACTGTATACAAAGAATTAACAAACAGAGTTCAGAAAAGTTGCTGAGTATAAGAGAAATAAAATCAACTGTACTGACACATACCAGCAATATATTTAAAATATAATTTTAGAAAATATACCATTTAGCACAACTTTTAAAAATATATAGTACCTAGAATTAAATCTAACAAAAGAGACACAATCATGAAATTTTATGGAAAGCTATTTAGGAAGACCTAAGTGAAGGGGAGAACTATATTTTGATCATAGACTGGAAAGGCTGAACTTCATAAAGACAGCAATTCTCACAAAACATCCATTAATGCAATTAAATTCTAATCAAAACTCCCAATAGGTTTTTCTGTGAAACTTGATGAGCTGATTCTAGCATGTTTCTGAAATAGTCCCCAAATAGACAAGATCCTCCTAACACAGAGCAAGGCAGAAGAACTTACCTAACCAGACATCAAGAACTATTATAAAGCTATAGTAAGAAAGACAGTGTGGTATCAGTACAGACTGGTACAAATTTGCCAATAAAAGAATAAAGATCCCAGAAAGAGCCATGCATAGAAGGAAACCTGTTTTACGTCTGAGCTGGCACTTAAGATCAGTGGGGAAAAGATAGGCTTTTCAATATGGCTTTCCAAATATGCATTTTGGGGAAAAAAAGGAAACTGCACTCATTTCACAACCTAAGAGTAAAAGCAGAAAAATTTTAGATGATATATCTTTGTGAACAAGATTGACAAATTCAACTACAGTAAGTCCTCACTAAACATCATCAATAGGTTGGTTCTTAGAAATTGTAACTTTGAGCAAAATGACGTATAGCTGATCGGTGGACAACTTGGGTTGGAACTGTGAGGGTCCTCTTCCATGCAGATTTTATCCACAGCAGGACCAACCCCTTCCCCTCCCCCTCCCCCACTCCCTCCTCATCCTACTCAACGTGAAGATGACGAGGATGAAGACCTTTATAATTATTCGCTTCCACTTAATAAATAGTAAATGTATTTTCTCTTCCTTATTTTTTAACAACATTTTCTTTTCTCCAGCTTACTTTGTTGTAAGAATACAGTACGTAATATTAAATACACATAACATACAAAATAGGCCAGGCACGATGGCTCACACCTGTAAACCCAGCACTTTGTGAAGCCAAGATGGGAGGCTCGCTTGAGCCCAGGAGTTTGAGACTAGCCTGAAATCCCGTATCTACAAAAAACACAAAAATCAGCTGGGCGTGGTAGCGCGCACTATAGTCCCAGCTACTTGGGAGCCTGAGGTGGAAGGATCGTCTGAGCCCAAGAAGTCAAGGCTGCAATGAGCTGTGATCCGCCACTCACTCCAGCCTAGGTGTCAGAGTGAGACTCTGTCTCAAAAAAAAAAAAAGAAAAAGAAAAAAACCACATAAAATATGTGTTCATCGACTGTTTCATGTTATTGATAAGGCTTCCAGTCAACAGTAGGCTATTAGTAAGTTTTGAAGGAGTCAAAAGCTATATGCAAATTTTCAACAGTGCAGGTGGTGGGGGCGGGTTGGCACTCCTAATCCCCACATTGTTCAAGGGTCAACTGTATAACAAAACCAATTTTTTTTTCCTCATGGCTATAATAAAACAACATTAATGTAACGTCATTTCACTTAAAGTTGCAGTTTCCAGGAACTTATTGACAACATTAAATGAGGACTTGCTGTATGCTGAAATTAAGAACGCCTTTCATCGAAAGGTACTGCAAAGAGTGAAAAGACACACCACCAACTGGGAAAATGTCACTGCAACACAGAACTGACCAAGAATTCATGTCCAGAATATATAAAGACCATCACCAACAAGTCAATAAGGAAAGAAAACACCAAAATAAGCCAAAATGAACAAAGGAAGAAACACGAAAAGATGCTTCACTTCATCAGTTATCACAAAAGTGCAAATTAAAGCCACAAGGAGATACTACTTTTTACCCCCAGAGTGGCAGACAATATCAAGAGTTCTTGAGATGTGTTACAGCAATTAAAGAATGGCAATAAAACTAAAGATATATATATGTAATTGTTTTTAAAAAGAGTTCCTTCTTAGGCTGGGCGCGGTGGCTCAAGCCTGTAATCCCAGCACTTCGGGAGGCTGAGGCGGGTGGATCATGAGGTCAGGAGATGCAGAACATCCTGGCTAACATGGTGAAACCCCATCTCTACTAAAAATACAAAAAATTAGCCGGGCGTGGTGGCGGGCGGCTGTAGTCCCAGCTACTCAGGAGGCTGAGGCAGGAGAATGGCGTAAACCCAGGAGGCAGAGCTTGCAGTGAGCCGAGATCACGCCACTGCACTCCAGCCTGGGTGACAGCGAGACTCCATCTCAAAAAAAAAAAAAAAAGAGTTCCTTCCTGAGATGTGGAGCTTGGCACCCCCACTCTAAACAACAGTTACTCTCCTGCCCCTGAGCACAGGCAAGCCACTCATGCACACGTGCCTGGGGAATAGGAGAATGCTCACAGCAAACACAGGGAACCAGGTGAATGGCCACCAACAGCACAAAAAAGAGTCGGTCACATATTTACAAAAAGAATACTGCCTGGCAAAGACACTGATAGCAACACCTAACACTGTGGCTGAAACTCAGGACATCCAGGCTGAGTAGAGAGAGCAAGCCCATCAAACTGTGGTGGATTCGTTCGTATGAAGTTCTCACACACTCAGGATGAACGGTACATTCAGTCAAGCTGTGGTGGGATTCGTTCGTATGAAGTTCTCACACACTCAGGATGAACGGTACATTCAGTCAAGCTGTGGTGGGATTCGTTCGTATGAAGTTCTCACACACTCAGGATGAACGGCACATTCAGTCAAGCTGCGGTGGGATTCGTTCACATGAAGTTCTCACACACTCAAGATGAACGGTACATTCAGTCAAGCTGTGGTGGGATTCGTTCACATGAAGTTCTCACACACTCAGGATGAACGGCACATTCAGTCAAGCTGTGGTGGATTCATTCACGTGAAGTTCTCACACACTCAGGATGAACGGCACATTCAGTCAAGCTGTGGTGGATTCATTCACGTGAAGTTCTCACACACTCAGGATGAACGGTACATTCAGTCAAGCTGTGGTGGGATTCATTCACATGAAGTTCTCACACACTCAAGATGAACGGTACATTCAGTCAAGCTGTGGTGGGATTCATTCACATGAAGTTCTCACACACTCAAGATGAACGGTACATTCAGTCAAGCTGTGGTGGATTCATTCACATGAAGTTCTCACACACTCAGGATGAACGGTACATTCAGTCAAGCTGTGGTGGGATTCGTTGGTATGAAGTTCTCACACACTCAAGATGAACGGTACATTCAGTCAAGCTGTGGTGGGATTCATTCACATGAAGTTCTCACACACTCAGGATGAACGGCACATTCAGTCAAGCTGTGGTGGATTCATTCATATGAAGTTCTCACACACTCAAGATGAACGGTACATTCAGGGAGACACACGCAGGTGGCAGGGAAGAAAGACAGTCAGGGCAGTGTCCGACACACAACCCAGGAGGGCCAGGACCTCCAGGTCAGGAGAGAGAGCAGCAGGAGGCACACAGGGACTGTTTTCCATAAAACAGGCACTGCTGCTGTTGTTACTCAATATATTATTATTCACATCTCACATGTTTTAAATGTTTCTTTTTACTTACTGAATGTTTAATAAGGTAGCAACAGCCTACCTTCCTTGGCTAAATTAGAAAGTTCTGTTTGGTGGTCCACAACGCCTTCATTTGCTTCCTCCTCTTCAATTGTTTCCTCTTCATCGTCCACTAAAATGGTTATCAGCAAGTGTCACTGAGAGGCAACACCACTTGAGTGTCTGTTACTCATTACACACTATAAGGCTTCGAAATTATTTTGCATAGCTATTACAGAAATTGAAACTGAGCTTTTAAACTTCTCAGGTTAAATTTAATTAAATGGGCAGGAAACTGGAAGTGTATTTCCCCTTCCACTTCAGGCTGTGAATGACAGCCCTGGTTTTTCCACACATGGCAGACCTTCTTCAGGCCAACATACGGAATGCTGTCAACCCTCCTACCTTCCTGCAGAGCCCCACTGTGGAAAGCCCACAGGCATGCCATCTGGGATCACCGTGAAGTCATCATCGCCCATCTCACGAGGCCCAGCCACATCAGCCTAACACTCTCCTTGACTCTCCTGTCCTCCACAATCACCAACCCAAGCCCACTCCGCTCTCTTCAGCCCTCCAGCCCTGAACCTCACGCCTCACTCGCCATAGAGATCTTGGCTCCTGGCAGAGAAAAGAGCAGCTACCAGCATCCCCACAGCCAAACTCCCTCTGTCCACGGACCCTCTCCCCACCTGGGGGCCTGCAGGGGGCCTGCACCATCTCTCCTCTCAGCTGGCTCTCAACTTTTCTTCTCTCACAATCTAACATAACATCTCTCCCTTCCTACCATCAAAACTCTTCCTCATTTCTTCACTACAAGACCCCCACTGCCCACCAAGAAGGCCTAGGCACCTGACCCCAACCACACAAGTCGCTGGGCCTCCAGGTGCTGCCTTTCCTGACTGTACTCGACACCCTGGTGGCTCACGACAGGCCTGGCCATCCCCTCCTCTTGGAAACGCCTTCTGCCATTCCTTCTGCCTTCTGATCACTTGGTTTCCAGGGTGGAATTTTGGAAAAGAAAAGTAAAGACGACCTCGGGTGGTTAATTTGGCCTTCTCTGAGTTACCCTAAGACATCTTTAGGCATTAAACAGAAGTCAAATAAAAGTCTGTTTCAATACAGTTGAGCACCACATAATGCCGTTTCTGCCAACAATGGACCGCATATGCAATGGGACCCTGTAAGACTGTAATACCGTATCTTTACATTACCTTTCCTGTGTCAAGATATGTTTACATGCACAAATACCACTATATTCCAATTACCCACAGGATTCAGGAGAGTCACCTGTGTGCAGGTTTGTAGCCGGAGGCACAGGCTGCACCATCTAGGTTTGGGTGAGTACTTTGTACGTTCACATAACAACAAAATTGTCCAGCAACGCATCTCTCAGAATATATCCCCGTTGTTAAGAAACACATGACTGTACACAAATGTGCTCCTGAGAATGTGAGAAAATAAGGAAAGCGGAGAGGTCAATCTACATAAAGCCGACCGCAGCTACCAGAGTGCAGGCCAGAGAAAAGGTGTTCCTCATGAAGAAATGACCTAATCCTTTCCAGGTAACAAGAAAGACACAAACCTACTGTACTCTGTTGTGCTTCTCTTGTTGTCTGAAAGGCCAGAGTTCAATCCATCCCCAGTGCAGGATGGTACTATCTAGAATTCAGCACCAGGCCAGGTGTGGTGGCTCACACCTGTAATCCTAGCACTTTGGGAGGCTGAGGCGGGTGGATTACCTGAGGTCAGGAGTTTGAGACCAGCCTGGCCAACATGGTGAAACCCCATCTCTACTAAAAATACAAAAATTAGCTGCGTAGTAGTCCGCACCTGTAGTCTCAGCTACTCAGGAGGCTGAGGCAAGAGAATCGCTTGGGAGGGGCCTGAAAATGCCACCACAATGCTGTGCCAGTCCTGGGCCATGTGCCCTCAGGCTCCTCACTCATCTGCCACACTGTTGTTTTGTTTCTGTCATACGCAGCAGAACTGAATACTGCCAGTTTCATGCCAACAATCTGGCCAAACTCCCTGTTGACTTCCAAATAAAAATCAACACATAGCAAAGATCAATCTTCAAAAATTTGGAAAAGTTAACACACTTCACCAAACCAAGCCAATAAAACCACACTGATGCTGATCAAAGAGCCGAAGGAGAAACTGCAGGCCTTACCTGGCACCTGACAGGAACCGCCACACAAACGCCCAAGAAAGTTTCTCCAACCTCTCTACTCCTGCTCCCCACTCTGTCTCTAAAAATCCAGTCTGCTCCTGAGGACTTCTGTACTCAATCCACATGGGTTTGGAAATAGGTCATGGCCGTGGGCTGTCCCCAGCTCACACACTGAGTGCTCAGGTATCTGTTCTCATCTGAACCAGGTTTCTCCAACATCTAAAATTCACATGAGTTTCTCCTGAAATCCCAATGGCTGGCAACCATGGGTCTACCAGAGGACATACCAGGGCCACCTCTCAAGGACAGAAACAGGCTTGGCCCTGTGCCACAGGAGCATGGGGCCCCAACACTCTCCAAGATGCACCCAAGTTTCCAAACCTCAAAAAGCAGATACGACCATGTTGCTCCAGAAAACATCCCAAGTCCTCTAGAGATACAAAAAGTACTCTATACACTGAGAGACATCTGGATAAATACAAAGGTTGAGCTTTCCAACCAGCTGAAGATGACAAGACTAAACCCCAAGTCGCTGCAGCTCTGTGTCATCTCATCAGCAGCCCTGGAGATGACAAAGATAGTGCTGAGGGGGAACAGACCTTCGTCATCAGTCAAAGATATGCTAGCTTTTCTTTTTCTTCCAGACATTCCTGAATCCTGAAAGAAAAGAAAGAAAAACCACAAGCATGAGATCCAAACACTCAGAATGGGAAACCAAGACAGCAGTGTCCATGGGACAGGTTGGGGGAGCCCCGGGGCAAGCCTGCTAGGCTGCCCTCAGCCTCCATTTGGGGTCGGGGCAGGGCAGCGGGGGAGCGAGGACATGATCAATGCTCACTGTGTTCAGCTGTCACTGCCAAATTAACACCCCACGTGAGACTAAGGCTATAAAGCACCAGTTTATTTTCAAAGTAGACTGAGTCTATAATGAAAGGGAGTAATAGGCGGGGCACGGTAGCTCACGCCTGTAATCCTAGCACTTTGGGAGGCCAAGGCGGACAGAATGCCTGAGCTCAGGAGTTTGAGACCAGCCTGGGCAACACGGTGAAACCCCATCTCTACTAAAATACAAAAAAAAAAAATTAGCCAGGTGTGGTGGCGTGCGCCTATAGTCCTAGCTACTCGGGAGGCTGAGGCAGGAGAATTGCTTGAACCTGGGAGGCAGAGGTTGCAGTGAGCTGAGATCGTGCCACTTCACTCCAGCCTGGGCGACAGAGCAAGACTCTGTCTCTAAAACAAAAAAAAAAAAAAAAGAAAAGAAAGGAAGTAATAGTCACAGCCTACAAATTCCTCTGGATAAGAATGAAAAGGCCCACTCTACTGGAGCTGCTTCTACTCCTTCTCACACAGCACAGTAACAACCCCAAACTTACCAGAGAACTTTCCTGTAATGCGTCAAATCCTTTAGGTCTCAATTCTTTCCCTAGAGAGACAAGGAGCACAGTTCGTTCCCAAGGCCCCCCATGCTTGGCGAGGGCGTCTCTGCTTTCCAGGCAGGGTCCTGCTGCCTCCACCCACGTGCAGGGAAAGGAAGGACGCGTGAGTTCTGCCTCCTCATCATCATCACGCAGGGCAGTGGTTTTTACTAACTTGTGGCTCTATGACTTTCAGCAGCAGCCACCTCTCAGCCTCGGGTTCCTCATCAATAATGGGGGAACACAATGCCCACCCTCCTGGGGGTGTCCTCAGAGGCAAAGGAAACAGTGAATGCTGCTGCCACTGGTGCCGTGCACATCCTAAGTGGAGTGGCACATAACGAGCGGAGGCAGCTGCCGAAGAAACATCAAAGGAAGGCGTCACCCAGCCAGGCACCCAAGGATCCTCCTGCATGGCAAACACCTCAGGAAGCTCCTCACTCACTGTCCAGGGACTGAACCCCAGTTCTGTGTCCCAGAGTTTATCAACTTGGGGGTGCTGACTCACACTAGCACATCTCAAAAGCACTGAAGCATAAAACTAGGATGGCCACACAAAGAGAAATGTAACAATCAGGCAGCTGGCTGATGAGCAGATGTCCTCTGTGGGAAGCCACAGCGCCAGGAGACTGCCTGCTGAGAAAAGAATCCGAACAAAATACCACCCAAGCGTGGTGAGCCTTTTTTTAAAGGGTCCTACCTCTCCTGGAAACTTTCTGTAAATTTAAGGCCTTCTTCCTTTTTTCTTCTAATTCTACTCGTAGTTTTATTTCCACAACCTAAATGCAAAGGATTAAATGAATAAGCACATTACTAAGGATGGGAATTACAGACGTTCTGCATACAAAACACTAAAGCACATAAGCAGAGTCTGAAAACAGTGTTTTCCAGCCTCGTCAGTTTGGTGCTTTTTCATTTATTTCATACTAACTACATCCTGCCCAGGTTCTATTAGGTGGTGAGGTAAGAATTAAAATTTCAAAAAAGGAAAGCAAGTGAGCGAGCGACCGCTCTAGAAGTAACCGTGGTGGTGACTCACGCTAACCCTGAAACAATGCCCAGAGCCCCTCCACGGCATGAAGCACCTCAGAGGGCAGCCACAGCTGAGGTGCATCCCCTGTGCAAGACAGACGGAGGCACGAGCAGCTCATTCAAAGGCCAACAAGCAACAGCCCAGGAGAGTGCACACGTTGCTGACTCTGGTGCTCGAAAGCTTCCTAAGCAAGGTGCCCGAGCTCTGGTCTCGGGAAGTGGCCTCACCAGCTCCGACAGACTGATTCTTACGACCCCATGACAACGGCAGCACTCGCCTGTTCAATATTCGACCAAAAGCACTCTATCTCCCGGGCCGTGGAGGCGGCTATCCGCCTCAGTCTGCTCTGCTCTTCCTTCTTCCCCCTTTCTTCACGGAGCTGCTTCTCCTCGTGATGGCGCACCACAGTTCTAACGAGCTGGTGAATAAAAGTGCAAGAATTGTATGTTGTACTCTATGTCATGCTGGAAAAAAAAGGATATGTAACTTTTTTTAAATCTTCTCAGACTAAAATTACATACAATTCACTGTCATATACATCCTCGTATGCTCTTAGGGTGGATTAGGAGAAACATGACTATAAGCAAAAACCACCATCAATATTTAGCTTGACTTTTCTAGAAAGTGTTTTTATACTTTTCACCAAATACACATTATTTTCCTCAAAACTAGAATACCACATTGTGCTATAATCTTCTTTTCCCATTTAATAGATGATTAACATCTCTCCATTCAATAAACATGGGTCGGCATCTCATTTCATGAATGCTGCACCAGTTATAGAAATTATTGGGCTGCGATAATTCACATTTTTAAAGCTTTTGCTTTAAATTGTCAAACTGCTTTCCAAAAGTTTAGACACTTCACATACCCACCAACAGAACCTCAAATGGGTGGAGAGAATTAAGATGAGAAAACCTTTGGAGCCCTGAGAGCACAATGGCTGTCACCCCCACGCCCGTTCTAGGGATGGAAATGCACTCAACTACCGCCAGGACTCTGCGCACACGCCGTGTTCCCACTCGGCCTCCAACGGGGCTCACTGTCGTCAACACAGGCCCTGATCGGGGTGGGCTGCTCTGCAGCCTCTCCCTGTCTACCCCAGCGAGAGGCAGGAGGCACGGGGAAGGGCAGGCCTGGCTGCAGATGCATCACTCAGCTGTTGAGAGATGGCCCTGGCCTGTGCCCTGTAGGTGCTGCACTGCTCTTCAGCCAACCCCACCAGCTCCCACTCTAGCCCATCGGCCAGCCCCCACCCATCCAGCCCAGCATCCACATGTCCAGCCTGGCATCTACACGTCTGGCCTCCTGCCCTATCCAGCCTGGTGTCCACCATGTTCAGGACTATCTTCTTTGTGGAAAGGCTGGTTTAAGGAAGAATCTGGGTTTTTCTGGAATGCTTATGAATCTGACTTGAGACCCTTGACCCTCAGAACCCCACGGTTCTCACCCTGTGGTCTCAGCTTCTCTCTGCCTACCCTACATGAAGACAGCAAGGGGGAAAATTCTGGGTACGGAGTGGACAGGGCAAGGGATGGAACACAAGGCCATAGCGTTAAGAGTACAGAAAATATGAACAAAGACCCTAGGGCCCAAGAAACAGAGGCAGCGACACAGTAATGAGGAGGATAAAGAAGGGCCACGGCTGTTCACACAGTGAAAGCACAGCTGCTTCCCACTGAGGCCTGGGGTTTCTAGAAATCTACCACTTGTTCTCACTTTTCTAGTGTTAGCAGTAGGGCCTCCAGAGTCTTCCAAGGACTCTGCGCCTGCTTTGGCAACAGTTAGGAGAAAAATAAATTCTCAGCCAAAATTAAAGAGAAAGCTAGACTAGAAGCCCAGGAGGAAGGGCAGGAGGCCGTGTGGCCAGGCAGGAAAGCCTAGGACAGCCCCTTGCTGTCCCTTGACTGATACCAGGTGCCTTCTAACTCTTAGCCTCTCAGCTCCCTGAACAGCCCCAGCCACCAGCCTGAACCTGTGGCACTGCAGGTATCCTAACTCCAACTGCCAGGCAAAGCCAGGCAACAAAATGAAGCTAAATCCACATCATTGCTTAGTGGGTGAGCACTGAGCACAGGCTTGATCCCAACAACGCATGCTGGGCTCTGAAGACACCACCTCAGAGACTTAATTACACAGCACAGTTATTCTCCAAACAACAGGGAAGTATCCTTCCCAGACTTCACAGGTTAAGGCCTCTAGAGTGAGTCTGCCAGGCACAGTGGTTCACGCCTGCAATCCCAGCACTCCAGGAGGCCGAGGCGAGCAATCACTTGAGCCCAGGATTCAAGACCAGTCTGGGTAATGTGGCAAAAAACACAAAATTAGCTGGACATTCCAGCCTGGACAACAGAGCAAGACCCTGTCTGGGGGAAAAAAAAAAAAAAAAAAAAAAAAAGTGGGTCTGGAGACCTCCCCACCACTTACACCACTGCAAACTCAAGCCCCCACCAACGCACACAGCACAGCAGCTCCACGCATTCCAACCCACCTTCTTCGCAGCAGCCACCTTCCACCTCCTCTCCTGGGCAAAGTCTGTGGCCATCCACTGCATCTCCTCCAGCAGATAGTCCCAGTGGGACTTGGGGCGTGGGGCCTCCTGCAGCTTTGGCAGACGCCTCTGGGACCACAGACCTGCTTTCCTCAGCTCCGCAATGCGCTGATGCACCTGGTTCTCCTGTAGATGATACATGGGGGATGGTGGGGTCGGCATGTGATGAGTGTGTTCCACCAACTCAGACCCCAGAAATTTGAAGCCCTACTATGCAAAAGGCTCAGTCAGGCACTAAGAAAGAGAGAAAGCACAAGGTCCCAGTTTAATATCAAAGGTAAGATTCGAACACAAAGGTCAAAGTGGTTCTAGGAGAGGTCTAGGAGCATGTGACCCTTCCAGGAGCCTTAGAAGAAGCTGGAGCAATAGTCCTGCCCCAGCTCTATAAAACAGACTAAAACTTTAAAACCTCATGTTTCTACCAAAGTGTTTACATGGGAAACCATAGGATGTCTGGAATTTGCTTCTAGATAATCTGGAAAGGAGTGGGATAAATGAAATGAGACTAGCTGCATACTGATCACTGTGATAAAATCAAATAATGGGGAACATGGGGTTTATGACACTCTATTTTGATACACATTTCTTTTAATTCCCCTAATGAAGTTGAACAAAATAAATGCTTAGTCATCCAACCCAAAGTAAGTGCTAAGGGCTGGGCAGTGACTCTCAAACACAGGGCTGCAGACTGGTGGCTGCAGGGACCTCACAGCCTGCAGGGCCCCAGCGCTCAAGCTTGTCCCTCTCCGCCTAACTGCTACACGTGACCTCTCCCACCCTCGTCTACTGCCCATATGAAAGCAGCCCAAGACTGCAGGCTTTATCACAAAAACGCAGACTGCCCCCATGAGTCTGCTTCCAACAGAAAAGGCTAACCCTTGGTTTTCATCTTGTGTCTACTGATTCCCAAGCCATGCTGAATTGACCAGGCATTCGGTTTTACGCCATCACATTCTTGACAATTAAAACTAAATGTGCTTCACCAACTGGAGTACATTTTACAACTTTCTTAAGCATGCTTACCAGAGTTATTTGTTCTGTCAGCGTATCCTGAGAACTGTCTTGGGACGAGGTGGCATTCTGAGCAGGACTCTGTGGTTTGGTGGGGGCAGATGCCACCACCCCTGGGGTCCGGGAAGTGACTGGAGATAGTGCCTTATTGGTGGCTGAGGAAGGTCTATTTACTGGAGAGGATCGAGCAGGGGAGGGTCCTGGGCCGGAGCCACTCACAGGCGCGAGGGACGAGGTAGAAGAGGTGGGCAGAGGCCGTGGGCAGGGCGGGGCAGGGTCCACAGGGAGCCTTGTCGATGCTACCATCTGTAAGGGCAGGGCACAAGTGGAGCAAGGTGAAGAAAAGATGTCGGGGCAGCCCACGGTGCCAAATACCTGAGCGCCCACAGCACCAGAGACGCGCACTGCCAGCACCTTCCGCTCCACGATGCAAGCAGACAAATCACATCGTATCCACAGCCCAACACTAACGTGTCCACAAATAATACATCCTCCCACTTCCACAAAACCAAATAGGAGTTTTCATTATGAACTATCTTTAGGCCATGCCCAGTGGCTCATGCCAGTAATCCCAACACTTTGGGAGGCTGAAGTGGGAGGACTGCTTGAGCCCAGGAGTTTGAGATGAGCCTGGGCTTTGACAAAGAAAGACCCCATCTCTACAAAAAAATTTAAAAATTAGCCAGGTGTGGTGGTGTGCACCTTTGGTCGCAGCTACATGGGAGGCTGAGGTGGGAGGACTGCTTGAGCCTGGGAGGTTGAGACTGCAGTGAGTCATGTTTGTGCCACTGTACTCCAGCCTGGGCAACGAAGCAAGACCCTATCTCAACAAAATATAAAATAAAATAAAATACAAATTCAGTGTGCCTCTCTCATGGCAGACAGGCTAAAAGGGTTAAAAAATCCTCCTCAGGCCAGGCGCAGTGGCTCACGCCTATAATACCAGCACTTTCAGAGGCCGAGGTGGGCGGATCACCTGAGGTCAGGAGTTCAAGACCAGCCTGACCAACATGGAGAAACCTCGTCTCTACTAAAAATACAAAATTAGCCGGGCATGGTGGCACATGCCTATTAATCCCAGCTACTCGGGAGGCTGAAGCAGGAGAATTGCTTAAACCCAAGAGGCGGAGGTTGTGGTGAGCTGAGATTGCGCCATTCTACTCCAGCATGGGGAACAAGAGCAAAACTCCGTCTCAAAAAAAGAAAAGTCCTCCTCTTCGCACCACCTCAACGACAGACTTAAAGTCACAGAGAACTGCTGCGACTCTGTGACTTAAATTCACAGAGAGCAGGGAAGGTGGGCTGAGTGAAGGCTCACACAAGATTTAGCCCGTTCAAAAGCTGAAGGGAGACAGAACCGCTAGAGCACACTCTCTCTGAGCGCCCGTCCCACGACGTGGGTCTGCTTTCTTCACCTCGGCAGCGCCGTCTCCCGGCTGGCCACAGGCGTTTGGAAATGAAGCTTTATTACAGCACAGCCACATCCACTTACGTGCTGTCCGTGAGCGGCTGTGTCTTCACTTCTGCCACAGAAACTGAACAGCTCGCAAAGCTGGAACATTTACTCCCTGGCCCTTGACTGAGAAAGTGTGCCAACCCTGGCTAACCTAGAAGTAACAGGTTCCTACAGACTTTGTAAAGCGCTTCTTTAAAATCATTTTCCAGGCTGGGTGTGGCGGCTCACGCCTGTAATCCCAGCATTTTGGGAGCCCAAGGTGGGTGGATTAGTTGAGGTTAGGAGTTTCAGACCAGCCTGGCCAACATGGCAAAAGCCCATCTCTACTAAAAAGTAAAAAAAAAAAAACAGTTGCCTAAGCATGCATAAGATATTATGTGCATTGTAAAATGATCAGTAAATGATTTCCTCTACTGTTGTTCTTAAGGAGAGAATATAAAGTTATTTAGAGAGCTAAATTGTGAAATAAATCATTTCTCTGCTGGAAAAAAAAAAAACCTAGTAGGGCGTGGTGGCGCATGCCTGTAGTCCCAGCTACTCGGGAGGCTGAGGCAGGAGAATGGTTTGAACCCAGGAGGCAGAGGTTGCAGTGAGCGGAGATCGTGCCACTGCGCTCCACCCTGAGGGACAGAGTGAGACTCTGACTCAAAAAAAAAAAAGATAAAATAAAATAAAACCATTTTCCACAGCTGAGTTTTTCAGTAACACAGGCAGGTAAATTAAATCTAAGAAAAACCACGGAGCTGCTTTAAGTCAGTATGTGGCTCGATGTGAGGAAGTGTTCAAAATAGAATCATTTCCACAAAAACCTAAAGCAAGCAATGTAAGGCCTAGAAGAGCTCAGCTGCCCTGGCATGTGTCGCCTTTCTCAAAGTGGGTGTACAAGGCTTCCCTGCAGACTTGCACAAAAGGCTCCCAACTACAGCCCCCCCAGTTGCTGGCTTTTCTGGCCTCTGGTTTTTTTAATCTATAAAATGGAGATAGTAAAGATTCTACCTCATAAGGTTGTCAGGTAAAGGAAATAAACAATGCCAATAAATCGCTCATCACAGTGCTTGACACCACACCTCACAAGTGGTGAATAAGAGATAGCTATTATTGTTACTATTATTTCATCGTTATATACTTAAGACTTTGCCATAAATCTCAAACATAAAGAACCTGTAGGCCGGGTGCGGTGACTCACGCCTGTAATCCCAGCACTTTGGAAGGCCAAAGCCAGCGGATCACCTGAGGTCAGGAGTTCAAGACCAGCCTAACCCATGGAGAAACCTCGTCTTTACTAAAAACACAAAATTAGCCGGCATGGTGGCAACATGCCTATAATCCCAGCTACTCGGGAGCTGAGGCAGGAGAATCGCTTGAACCCAGGAGGCAGAGGTTGTGGTGAGCCGAGATCGGGCCACTGCACTCCAGCCTGGGTAACAAGAGCGAAACTCCGTCTAAAAAAAAAAAAAGAAAAAGCACTTGTAGCTTGGGCAGCATGGCGAAATCCCATCTCTACAACAATACAAAAATCAGCCAGGTGTAGTGGTGTGCGCCTGTAGTCCCAGCTACTCAGGGGGCAGGGACAGGAGGATCATCTAAGCCCAGGAAGTAGAGGCTGCAGTGAGCAGAGATCGTGTCACTGCATTCCAGCCTGGGTGACAGAGCCAGACCCTGTTTCAAAACAAACAAACAAAAACCCTGAACTTAAAGCCCACCTAGGAAATTCCTTTGTTAGTGAGGGAGAAGGCAAAAGGAAGGGAAGACTCTCTGCAGTGGGCTCCCCACGCCCTGATGTGCATCAAACAGTGGAGAACCAAGGGGGCTGAGAGTCCTCCCCGGCCTCCCTGTCAGTGCCCTGTTGACGGCTGGCACCGAGGCTGTGGCATTTCGCTATTCCTTAGGAACCGAAACCAGTTTACTGTGGACATCCCAAAAACACACTGGGTAAAATTAATCAGTGGAGGAGGAGGGGCATTTTAACTACCTGAAATGTGTATCAAGCTGCATCAGTAACGCCTTACACATGTGTATCAAGCTGGATCAGTAACACCTTACACACATTTGCAGAGCATATAGCATCCCAAAAGCAGCAAAGCAGGCGTCCAGGGAGCACGTCTGGTGGGTGGTGTCCAACATGGTTTTGCACTCACATGGAGCTAGGGTCAAGCCCCGCTCATCACTTCATCGCCATGTAACCTGGGGCCAGCCCCAGAACCTCTGAGTATGTGTCTCCACACTGGTAGAATGGGTCGCTGCCACCTACCTGAGGGTTGCTAGGCAGATCATAAGGGATAACTGACACCATGCCCTTCACACAACATATGGGTGAGTAAGGAGGGACCCCTGGTACTAAGAGTGACAATAATAACAGTTGTCTATTATTATTATTATTTTTTTTTTTTTTTTGAGACAGAGTCTCACTCTGTCACCCAGGCTGGAGTGCAATGGTGTGATCTCAGCTCAGTGCAACCTTCACCTCCCAGGTTCAAGTGATTCTCCTGCCTAAGCCTTTGAAGTAGCTTGGACTACAGGCACTTGCCACCACGCCTGGCTAATTTTTGTATTTTTAGTAGAGACAGGGTTTCGCCATGTTGGCCAGGTTGGTCTCGAACTCCTGAGCTCAGGTAATCCACCCGCCTCAGCCTCCCAAAGGCTGGGATTACAGGCGTGAGTCACCAAACCCAGCCCAGTTCTCTATTACTTTAATAAAGATAATATCATAGAGCCAAATAAAACTGTATTGCAAGTACTGAATTGAGTAATTGTTCTAAATTGGGGGAGCAAGCTGCTAAGAGAAAATACACAAATTACAGTGTGGTGTGACACTCTGTCTAACACACAGGTAGCCAGCAAATCCTGCAAACCATTTTCTTTTTTTCCTCTATCTTTTCTCATACCTGTGGCAGGGAGGAAAGCTGAGAGGCCTGCACCTGCACCTTTCCAGGTGTGGGAACGTGGAGGGCCAGCTGTGCAGGCTGCGAGGGAGGGATGGGGAGTTGGCTGCTGGGCGGTGCAGGGATGGGAACATTGGGCTGCTGAGTCTTCACCGGGATTTGGAGCTGTGTCTGGGCCTCTACCACTTGCGGCTGCTGTGCAAACTGCAGCGCAGAGGAGAGGGCTGCAGTGGGAACACCGGCTGGGGGCAGCCTCCCGGGCAGCTGCGGCAGTGGGGTGTGCAAGCTGGCAGCGTTCTGCACGGGAGGCCCCGTGGAGGGGTCATACTGCTGCTGACTCTGCCTCTGTCCAGCGAGCTGCGCGGCCTGCGGCGTGGGGGGCATTCCTCCTGCAAAATAAGAAAAGTGCCAAAAGCACTGATTCCCAAGTGTGGCAGCTTCTACCAATGAGTCACAAGGAGACACGTCTAACACCCCAGTGCTTGTCCAAGACCCACCACACTCACACGAGAAGTTGGCCACAACCGAGCACACACAAAAGGAAAGAGAGGCGCTTGACCTTTGCAAGTCAGCATCAAGCAAAACAAGCACCAGATCACCACAGGGCACCCCTACAACAGCAGCAATTAGGAAAAACATAGGAGTAAAAATTGTTGAAAGACACTATGACAATGCGACGTGTGGCTCCCATTAGTGTGGCAAGAATATGTCTCCAGGGGCTTTGCATATGATATCGACTGGGACTCAGAGAAGTATCTCAATTTCAGGCACCCCACTGCAAACACGCTACCTCCACTGCCCAAGTCTGAGTCTGGTGCTGGTTTCTGGAACCGCAGTGTGCTGCCTGCTCCTGAGCGGGGAGCTGGCTCTGCTGCTGGGCCTTACCTTGTGCGGTCGGCATTAGTTGCTGGAGAGGAACGCCTGCGTCCGCCCCTGGGTGCTGGAAAACTACCCCTTGGTGACCCACTTCAAGGCGAGGCCTCTTAGACTGCTCTAGAATAATTTTCAAAAAAGGTGCAGTTTGATGTAAAAATAAAACCAGAGAAGTAGTAGAAAAAAACATGTGTGTTTTTATCATCTTGGAAAAGGGAGGCCTTTCTATACATGAACTAAAATCCAGAAGCCATAAAACATAAGGCTGATAAATACAATTTCTCATTAAAATGTTGCCGATATAAGAAAAAGCATCATGAAAAGGCCAAGGACAAGCAACAACCTGAGAGGCAACACTGCAACGTGTGTGACGGGCAGAGGTGGGCTTGCTTAGCACTCAGAAAGCACAGGCACACATGAGGAGCATCACAAGTACACGGACGAGAGCATGGAGAGCGGGCAGTGGAGCAGACTCACAAATGCCCAGCACACAGGGAATGAGGCTGCACAGCGTGCTCAAAACTAAAGAAACCCATATCAGAACAAGGAATGTTTCACCCATCAGATCAATGAGGATTAAATGACTTATACCTAATAAAACGATCAAAATGTGAAAGAACCAGAAATTGTTGATGGCAGTGAAAACTGGCCCTGTCCTTTTGGTGGGCAATTGAGCACCATTATTACTTAACTACATCTGCGCTTTGATCTAGCAATTTCATTTCTAGGCGTTTTTCCTTTAGATATATTGACAGACAGTTGGGCGCGGTGGCTCACGCTTATAATCCCAGCACTTTGGGAGGCTGAGGCAAGAAGACTTGAGCCCAGGAGTTTGAGACCAGCCTGGGCAACATAGTGGGACCACAACTGTACCTAAAATGCAACAATTTTTGCATTTAGCTGGGAGTGGTGGCACGCGCCTGTAGTCCCAGCTACTCAGGAGGCTGAGGCATGAGATTTGCTCAAGCCTGGGAGGTAGAGGCTGCAGTGAGCCATGATGATGCCAGTGCACTCCAGCCCGGGTGAACCAGACCCTACCTCAAAAAATAAGCAGATGGATAGACTGATAAACATGTAGGAAAAAAAAACCATGAGACTACATGTTCAATCCTTAGCTCACTGTAACAGACACAAGGTGGCACTAACAGATGAACACTGACAAGGATCTGACTGATAAAGAACCAACCATCCCCAAGACGGAACAGCATGGAGCACTGAGAGAGGTTATGACCTGGAGAGATGGCCTCTTCAGTTAATATTCTTAGACATAACAACTTATATATGATCGCATCTCAACTTTTTCAAAGTATCACATATGTAACAATGCTTGTGTATGAAGAGAGGAAGGTCTGTGAGAGAGAATATGGGAAACATTAACAGTGGTTACTGCTGTGGCTGGGGAGTGGGCAGGTACCAAGCCAGACATAGACTTAAGTTATACCCTACTGAACTGTTGAAGTCTTTTATATAAAAATGTATTAAGTTTATCATTTGAAAAAATCAGCTTAAAAATATGACAACTTTGGAAAGCAGATGATTTTGTGTTTAATCACACCGTGATGACTCAAGAGCCTACAAATGCATACAGAAAACCAACACGGAATACACCTGCTCAACTGAAAAATTCCTCACTTCAGGACACAGAAAAATTCACGTAAATATTGTTCAGCTGATAATCACTGTAAGACAGGTTAATTTTCAAAGTAGGAAGAAACCAAGTTTAGCAACTGCTCTTCAGAAACTCATGGCAACTGTACCTCGGCAGCCCAAGGAGAGGGGGGCATTCCCGAGGCCACGCTAGCCGTGCCGACGTACCTGCCATACCTGTGGAGGGCATCGCCTGCTGCCTCTTAAACAGGTCCGTCTCTACTGTGCTTCCGGCCCCTGCTACCAGGCTCCCTGCGAGGGCTTGCTGCTGGGAAAAAAGATGAAAAAATGAGATTT
The DNA here is from genome assembly GCF_000001405.40 of Homo sapiens. Classification (NCBI taxonomy): domain Eukaryota; kingdom Metazoa; phylum Chordata; class Mammalia; order Primates; family Hominidae; genus Homo; species Homo sapiens. The sequence goes on along the minus strand of NC_000012.12, from coordinate 131,979,664 downwards.
TGATCACTGAAGGCCATTACAAGAATAAACTCAAATTATCATAATTATCCCAAACATCGACCTCCTTCCTTTCTAATAACAGGAATGTTATCTACCCCGTGTCTTTAAATATACATGTGTAATGTATATTTATGTATAATAAACAATTTAAAGTTCTAACTTACCTCTGGGGGAAAAAAGACTTGTAAAAGACATATTATTCTGGTTTTAATGGAATTTCAAATCAATGCAAACCTACAGTCCTTGGGAAACAACAAAAGGGCTAATGCTGGGAAACATGAGTTTCAGTTCTGAGACAAATCTCAGCCGACTCATCAGTCACACTGCCCAGCATAACTTCACATCCAAAAACACCGAATAATAAAAAGGTGAAATTGCCTTTCTACTGGAAAATGACACTAAAACCCCAATTAATAACTATCTAATTAATTTAGATCTTTTTTTTTTTTTTTTGAGACGGAGTCTCGCTCTGTCACCCAGGCTGGAGTGTAGTGGCGGGATCTCAGTGCAACCTCTGCCTCCCAGGTTCAAGCCATTCTCCTGCCTCAGCCTCCCGAGTAGCTGGGACTACAGGCGCCTGCCACCACGCCTGGCTAGTTTTTTTGAATTTTTAGTAGAGACGGGGTTTCACCGCATTAGCCAGGATGGTCTTGATCTCCTGACCTCATGATCCGCCTGCCTCGGCCTCCCAAAGTGCTGGGATTACAGGTGTGAGCCACCGCACCCAGCCAACTTAGAGCTTTAAAAGGATATTTTTATAGTTAGCACCCTACATGAGATATAAATATGTGAGATATATAGAGATATAAATAGACAGATGTTATTTAAAATGTTTAAAGTGAAAAAAAGCCATCACCAGGTGTGGTGGCTTATGCCTTAATCCCAACACTTTGGAAGGCTGAGGTGGGAGGATCGCTTGAGGTCAGCAGTTCAAAACCAGCCTGGGCAACACAGCAAGATCCTGTCTCTACAAAAAAATAAAAATTAAAATGTTAGCCAGGCATGGTGACACATGCCTGTAGTCCTAGCTACTCAGGAGTCTTGAGCCCAAGAGTTTGAAGCTGCAGTGATCTAGGACTGTGCCACTGCACTCTGCATTCCAGCCTGGGCAACAAAGTAAGAGACCCCATCTTTAAAAAAAACAAAAAATGAAAGAAGCCAATCTGAAAAGGCGACATGCTACATGATCCTAACTCTGTGATGTCTTGGAAAAGGCAAAACTATAGAGACAAAAAGATGAGTGGTTGCCAGGTGCAAAGCAGAGGGGAGGAGGTGAATAGGTGAGCACGGGACATTTCTAGGGCGGTGAAACTACAGTACTATGCTAATGACATGGCACTGAAGGTTTCACCAAGTGCAACAAATGCACCGTCTGGTGGGGGACACGGATACAAAGGAGGCTGTGCACATGGGCGGGGGAGCAATGGGGTATGTTTAAAAATCTCTTGTTCCTTCCTCTCAATTCTGCTGTGAACCTAAAACTGCTCGTAAAAAATCATGTTTTTTAAAAGTTTACATGGGAAGCTATTGGCATGTTATTTTACAAAGACAGAAACTAGCCAACTCTTGGTTAGCACAGACTTAACCCTAACCCTTTTCCATCTGGTCACCATCCTTGCCATTAAAGTAAATGCTAAGGACTTAATTACTAGTTGCTAAATTATTCCTTAAATCACTCAATTATATTCACTCTACTTAGTGAGACATTTTAAACGCAAAAGTTACAGATACCTAAACAAAGCAACTGTTCAGTGACAGGGAGCTGTTTGAACCAACTGCCACACAAGGGCCACCACACAGCCACCACCAGCCATGCCACAGACTCTGTACTCACACGGGGAAAGGCTTAGGAAGAGTTACTAAAAGGAAAAATCAGCCACAATACAGCATATGTAGCAGGAAGGCACTGCCGTTTACATTTAACCAAGATGGAAAAGGAAAGAAGATGAAAGGGACAGAGGGAATGGACAAAGAGAGGGAGGAAAGAAAGGAAAGAATGTTTTGAAAACAATGGCCTGGCAGTGGTTACCTCTGGGGCAGCATTACAGGTGACATGATTTGTGTGTGTGTGCGTTTCTAAATTTCCCAAATGTTCTATAATGAACATGTATGACCAATACAACCAAAGAAAAGAGTATTTTTTAATTAAAAAAAAAAAAAACTTGATAAAGGGCTCCGTGTCCAGTAATGGCCAAGTACTTCCTATCCGGTCAAACATAATCCAGGTAACAAGGCCGGGCATGGTGGCTCACGCCTGTAATCCCAGCACTTTGGGAGGCCGAGGTGGGTGGATCACAAGGGCAGGAGATCGAGACCATGGTGAAACTCCGTCTCTACTAAAAATACAAAAAAAAAAAAAAATTAGTCAGACGCGGTGACGGGTGCCTGTAGTCCCAGCTACTCGGGAGGCTGAAGCAGGAAAATGGCGTGAACCCGGGAGGCAGAGCTTGCAGTGAGCCGAGACTGCACTACTGCACTCCAACCTGGGTGAAAGAGCGAGACTCCGTCTCAAAAAAACAAAAACAAAAACAAAAACAAAAAACATAATCCAGGTAACCATAAACTCTAGATGAAATACAAAAAAATATGAAAAGGTAGGCCAGTGATACAGGAAGGGAAGTGATATTCGCAAGAAGGGAATAGAACACGGTAAGGTTTCCAGTTTCATGGCATTTGGCATGAGGGCAGCCCCAGTCTGTGCTCTATGGAACGGCTCAAACCTAAAGACACATAGCATCTCACTGGCTTGAACAAGAGGACAAAGAGCAAGAGACAGATGGAAAAGGAGGAGGCCCCACATTCTCTCCCTAACCTCCACCTAAACCATGTACACAAAAACAGAATCCAAGAGAAGGCCCAAGTACTGAACTGAGTTTTCAGGTGCCTCCTGCCACAAAGGAGAAAGAGTATGCAGGTTTTTTGTTGCTGTTTGGCGTTTTTGTTTTTTGTTTTTTTGAGACAGAGTCTCGCTCTGTCGCCCAGGCTGGAGTGCAATGGTACGATCTCGCCTCACTGCAACCTCCACCTCCTGGGTTCAAGCGATTCTCCTGCCTCAGCCTCCTGAGAAGCTGGGACTACAGGTGCGCCACCATGCCCGGCTAATTTTTGTATTTTTAGTAGAGACAGGGTTTCACCATATTGGCCAGGCTGGTCTCAAACTCCTGACCTTGTGATCCACCCGCCTCAGCCTCCCAAAGTGCTGGCATTACAGGCGTGAGCCACCACACCCAGCCAGAGTGTGCATTTTTAATTCAATCAAGTTAAGTGTTAAAGAAAATAAATACGTTTCAGAAGAATATAACAGAACCCAGGGTTTCTACATATCATGCACAATTGTACAAAATCCAATTCAAACTTACTCCAAAATACAAACAAAATTACTCCAAAATACAAACAAAAAACACGAGCCATACTCAGACACCAACCTCAAGATGACCCACGTACTAGAATAAGCAGGCAAGGATATTAAAGTGACCTTAATATGTATGCCCAAGGTCATAAAGAAAAATATACTGCAATAAAAGACAAGAAGAAATCTTGACAAAACAGAAACTATTAAAATAAAGAGCGAAATGGAGATACTAGAAGTGAAAAATACAACATCCGAAATAAAAAAAAATTCATTGGATAGGCGTAACATCAGTGTGGAGATGTGAAAAAATCAGTCGGGGCATGGTGACTCATGCCTATAATCCCAGCACTTTGGGAGGTCAAGGCAAGAGGACTGCTTGAGGTCAGGAGTTCAAAATCAGCCTGGGCAATATAATGAGACCCCATCTCCAAAAAACAAACAAAAAATTTTAAATTGACCAGGCGCAGTGGCTTATGCTGTATTTCCAGCCATTTGGGAACCTAAGGTACACAGATCACTTGAGGTCAGGAGTTCAAGACCAGCCTGACCAACGTGGCGAAAATTCATCTCTACAAAAATACAAAAATTAGCTAGGTATGGTGGCACAGGCCTGTACTCCCAGCTACTTGGGAAGCTGGGATGGGAGGATCACTTCAGCCCTGGAGGCTGAGGTTGCAGTGAGCCGAAAGAACGCCACCACACTCCAGCCTGGGTGACAGAGTGAGACCCTATCTCAAAAAAAGAAAAAGAAAAAAAAATTTAAAAATCAGTGAGCCTGAAAAAAGATTATTGAGAGAGAAGAACCAAGTGAAGGACCTGACTTCAAGACACGCCCCAAGACTCCAGGAACCAGGACAGTGCAGTGCAGCGCTGGCGTAAGGACCAACACACAGATAAGAAGAACTGAGCTGCGCACCAAGAATCAGACCCACGCTCACACAGTGTTCCAAAGCCTCTAAGGCAATCCAATGGGGAACAGACAGTCTTTTCAACAAACGGTGCTAGAAAACTGGATATCTACATGAACACACGGATAAACTGGACTTCATTAAAATGAGAAACTTCTGCTCAAGAAGCACTGACAGGGAGGACTGTGCGCCCTGTTGACTGCTCCCCGGCTGTGGCTGACACTCAGCCTGCTTCCCAGAGGACTCAGGACACACGGGTCCTGCTGCCCCTGGGTTCTGCAGAAGACACAGGAACTCCTCCAGGCACGGCACACTCAGCCTTGGTTTTCAGAATTATTTTTAGTTTTACCTTATTCTGTCTCCATGAAGGTATTATTGGTAAAGATACTCTGGTCTTTTTTTTTTTTTTTTTTTTTTGAGATGGAGTCTCTCTGTCGCCCAGGATGGAGTACAGTGGCACAAGCCCTGCTCAATGCAACCTCTGCCTCCCGGGTTCAAGCAATTCTCCTGACTCAGCCTCCCGAGTAGCTGGAATTACAGGCGCCTGCCACCAAGCCCGGCTAATTTTTTGTATTTTTAAGTACAGATGGGGTTTCACTATGTTGACCAGGCTGGTTTTGAATTCCTGACCTCGTGATCCGCCCGCCTCGGCCTCCCAAAGTGCTGGGATTACAGAAGATACTCTTGTCTTTAAAATGCAACCTTGATTTTGATCAAAAACCATTATGACAATTCTTTAAAAAAGAGAATTTCTCACAAAGAAAAAACACTCTGAAGGGAATTTAATTCTGGGTGCCCATTTAGGAGAGACAATACCAAAACAGAGCTTATCCATGGAAAACACAGCAGAAGAAAGCTCACAGAACATCTGCCACCTAAAAGGACAGATTGATGGTATTCTGAAGGTAGAAATTAAGACCAATAGTAGTTGGCAGCTACCAAAAGGAAAATTTCTGCCCTATTTAAATAAACAAAGAAATAAACTATGAAGCCAGGTGTAGTGGCTCATGCCTGTAATTCCAGCATTTTGGGAGGCCGAGGCGGGAGGACTGCTTGAGCCCAAGAGTTCAAGACCAGCCCAGGCAACAAAGTGAGACCTCCATTTCTACAAAAAAATTAAAAAACTGGCCAGGCGCGGTGGCTCACGCCTGTAATCCCAGCACTTTGGGAGGCTGAGGTAGGCGGATTACCTGAGGTCAGGAGTTCGAGACCATGCTGGCCAACGTGGTGAAACCCCATCTCTACTAAAAATACAAAAATTAGCTGGGCATGGTGGCACACGCCTGTAGTCCCAGCTACTCGGGAGGCTGAGGTGGGAGAATCGCTTCAACCCAGGAGGCAGAGGTTGTGGTGAGCTGAGATCGTGTTCAGCCTGGCAACGGAGCAAGACTCTGTCTCAAAAAAAAAAAAAAAAAATACAAACACATACGTAAAGTAACGTAAGAAACAACAGTTGGGTTAGGATCACAAAACCATAAATAATTACTCATTTTCTCTAACATCATAATCACTGAAAAAAATGCTCCAATCAGGAGGTTTTTATAAGACATAAATAACCATAATAATATTAGTAGTATTTTTTATACTATAGCTGCACTCAACACAACCACAAAACCTTCTGGAAACAAAGAGAAATACACGCAATGCTGAGCACTCTGGATTTATTTCTGGAGTTTAACTGGCATAGATTAGTTTATTATAAAAATCCTACAATTGGCTGCAAATAATAAAACTCATCCTGAAACTCTGTCTTATTTTTTTTGAGACAGAGTCTTGCTCCGCTGCCCAGGCTGGAGTGCAGCGGCACAATCTTGGCTCACTGTAGCCTCTGCCTCCTGGGTTCAAGTGATTCTCCTGCCTCAGCCTCTCAAGTAGCTGGGAGTACGGGAACACGCCACCACACCCGGCAAATTTTTGGTATTTTTGGTAGAGATGGGGTTTTGCCATGTTGGCCAGGCTGGTCTCAAACTCCTGGCCTCAAGTGATCTGCCCACCGTAGCCTCCCAAAGTTTAAACTCTTTTTAGAATGGTTAACAGGGCTTGCAAAGCCATAATAAAACTGGGGCCACAGTCTAGCAGCACTTTTAGCTAAACACAAAGTGAGTATACGGTGGGCACCACGAAGAGACTTACGCTCTCCTGATTCACTAGTGTCACTCCTAAGAGTTTTTCTAAATAGAACAGACATAACCTAAAACTAGAAAGTGGTTAGATGAATTACAGGTCCTGAAAATAATGAAGCAGTAACAGCAGTTAAAAACAGAATTATTAGAAGTCAATAAAATAATTATTTGTTAAATGAAATAACAAAACAAAAAAGTATAAATTCATTTGTTTCAACTGGTATATATGCAACATAACATTTAAAAAATCAGTCAGGCATGGTGGCTCATGCCTGTAATCCCAGCACTTTGGGAGGCCAAGGCAGGTGGATCACTTGAGGTCAGGAGTTCGAGACCAGCCTGGCCGACATGGTAAAATCCCGCCTCTACTAAAAATACAAAAATTAGCTGGGTGTGGTGGTACACGCCTGTAATCTTAGCTATTCAGGAAGCTGAGACAGGAGAATCGTTTGAGCCTGGGAGGCAGAGGCTGTAGTGAGTCGAGATCGCGCCACTGCACTCCAGCCTGGACAACAGAGCGAGACTCCGTCACAAAAAAAAAAAAAAAAAAAAAAAAGGTTGTGTTAGGGTGATAAAATTATGGCGAATTATTCATTTTCTCTAACAGGAAAATGATGAAAAATTTCTGCTTAGAACGGTTCTTTTTATCTTTTTATAAATAAATGCGTGCCTGTCTGTATTTTATATGCAACACCCCTGCACTCAGTATCACCTAAAAATCTTTTCGAAACAGAAATTAGTACATATGTAATAACAAATTCTGAATTTATTTCTAGAGTTTCACTGGTCAAAATAAAAATTACACAATTGGCTATTAGTAATAAAACTCGGCCAGGTGCGGTGGCTCACGCCTGTAATCCCAGCACTTTGGGAGGCCGAGGAGGGCGGATCACGAGGTCAGGAGATCGAGACCATCCTGGCTAACATGGTGAAGCCCCGTCTCTACTAAAAATAACAAAAAATTCGCCGGGCGTGGTCGCAGGGGCCTGTAGTCTCAGCTACTCCGGAGGCTGAGGCAGGAGAATGGCGTGAACCCAGGAGGCGGAGCTTGCGGTGAACCGAGATCGCGCCACTGCACTCCAGCCTGGGCGACAGAGCGAGACTCTGTTTAAAAAAAAAAAAAGAAAAAGAAAAAGAAAAAGAAAGTAATAAAACTCACGCTGAATTTTTTCCTAAAGCAATGGATGTTTCCATTTTAACTCTTTTCTATTTTCTTAGACATCCACTGTCACCTGCCGCAAGTCTGTAACTCAAAATGGAGGCTCCTTGGTTTTCCTCTTTCCGTCTTACAAGGAATTTTTAATTAGGAAATACATCACACATACAAAAGAAATTATAAAATATATGTAAGACTTCCAAAGCACAGTAAAATTAATCATAGAATTTAAACAGTAAGATATCTTTCACTAAACAATCCATTCAACTTGTTTGGAATTTTCATAATACGATGTGGAGGAGGAAAGTGGAAAAATACATACATACAATTTAAAGCAGTAATAATAAAGCGATCCCTACATACTCATCACATGCCTTAAGAAATAAACATTTTGGCTCTTGAGATTATACTGGAAGACAAAAAAAAAAAAAATTTTACCCATACCTTAAAAACTCCATACACCCGCTTCTACACTTACTACCCAAAATGTCTGTTAAACATTTCCCTAAAGAACCCTTGTGCACTGTTGGTGAGAATGTAAACTATTACAGCCATTATGGAAATCAGTATGAAGGTTCCTCAAAAAATTAAAAATAGAATGAACATATGATCCAGCAACCCCACTTCTGGGTGCACAGCCAAAGGAAAGGAAATCCGTGTCTTGAAGAGGTATCTGCACTCCTGTGTTCACTGCAGCACTGTTCACAACAGCCAAGCTATGAAAACAACCTAAGTGCCCAGCAACAGATGAACAGATAATATAGTATATACACATGGAATACTATTTGGTAACAAAAAGCAAGGAAATCCTGCCATTTACAACAACATGAATGAACCTAGAGGGCATAATGCTAACTGAAATAAGCCAGAGAAAGATAAATGCTGTACAGTATCACTTACACGTGGAATCTTTTTTTTTTAAGAGACAGGGTATTGCTCTACAGCCCAGCCTGGAGTGTAGTGGCACAATCACAGCTCACTGCAGCCTCAACCTCCTGGGCTCAAGCGATCTTCCCGCCTCAGCCTTCTGAATGAATAGCTGGGACTACAGAACACATGCCACACCTGGCTAATTTTTTAATTTTTTTGTAGAGATGCTGTCCTATGTTGTGCAGGCTGGTCTTGAATACGCGGTCTCAAGTGACCCTACAGCCTCGGCCTCTCCAAGTGCTGGGACTGCAGGTGTGAGCCAAAGCGCCCAGCCTGTAATTAATAATATTGCACTGTATACTTGGAACTTGCTGAAAGAGTAGATCTTAGCCATTCTCACCAAACAAAACAAAACAAGGGTAACTGTTAATTAATTTGATTGCGGTAATCACCTCACTATCCTTATACCAAATCGCTTTGTACACTTTATAAAATTTTATTTGCCAATTATATCTCAATAAAGCAAAAACCAAAAGAAAAAAAAGTTTCCTCACAGTGTCACCACCTGTGGGTGTGTGTCTAAACCCTCTCAGCTTTGCTTACACCTGCGCATCAATGTGCACGATGGCAGGGCTCTCTGCTTTGCACTGGGTGCTCTATTAGTACTCCTCTAGGACACAGCCCATCCATTCTGTGGCCAATGGACAATCTGGTTCTTTCCAATTTGGGGCTGCCAAAAACAATGCTGCGAGGAACATTACTGCACATGTGTCCTGGTGCACAAACACAAGAGTCTCTCTAGAGCATCGTGCTGGGTCAGAGTATGCTCTCTGCTCACCTTTTCCAGATGATGCAAAACGTTTCCAAATAACTAGACCAAGCTCCACTCTCATCAAAAGCAGATGAGAATCCTACAGCTCTACATCAACGGATTCTCTCCAGTTTAACTTCTGGCAATCTGGTGCATGGAACAGGAATTCTGAGCAGTTTAATTTGTACTGTAAACACTGCATCTCTTTTTCGTGTTGATAGGCACTCCTGGCCTATTGTCCTACTGTTCTAATGCAGATACTTATCAGTGTGGTCTATAAATGCATTAATATATTCTATTCCTCCAGGCATTAGCAGTAAAGATGTCCCACTAACAAATTTTCTGATAATCTCCAACTTAAGAGTTATCTTCTTTTTCTTGGCGGGGCGGAGGCGGTGGAGACAGAGTTTTGCTCTGTCACCCAAGGGAGTGCAGTGGCACCATCTTGGCTCACTGCAACCTCTGCCTCCCGAGTTCAAGCAATTCTTGTGCCTCAGCTTCCTGAGTAGTTGGGACTACAGACGCACATCACCACACCCAGCTCATTTTTTTGTGTTTTTTAGTACACTGTTTCACCATGTTGGCCAGGATGGTCTCTTACTCCTGACTTCAGGTGATCTGCCCGCCTCTGCCTCCCAAAGTGCTGGGATTACAGGCGTGAGCCACCGTGCCCGACCAAGAGTTATCTTCAATTGTATAAAACCCATTACAATGAGTATCTAAATAGCAGAATCAAATTACTATTCCCCACCGAAAGGAACCAGGCTCTTTGTCGAAATGGCTGATTCCGGGGCTGGATCAAAGAATATATATATATATACAAGGTGCACTTTCAACAGTTTGTGCCAGAAAAGAAGGAAGTCCTCCGGAAGTAAGAGAGGTATGTCGGAAGTATACTACAGCCAGCTTGAAGAGGCTCCAATTGGCCAATCACAGATAACCTGAGCATCAAAATAAATAATAACAGAACCACCAGGAGGGGGGCTGGGCAGTAAATGACTGGCAAGGAGCATCAGGCAACTTCATGGAGTGATAGAAATGGACATGTTGACCATTGTATGGGTTACATGGGTGTATGTACTTGTCAAAACTCTGCAAACTGTTAACACTGAAGATCTGTGTGTTCTGTTTTTAAAGTATGCCTCAATTTAATATAATTTACCATTTTTACAGACTAAAGAAGAAAAACCACATATCACTGTCAATAGATGTATTTGACAAAATTCAACATCAATTCATGATATACTAGGAGTAAAAGGGAATTTTATTACCTTGATAAAGAACATCTGCAAAATCTACAGTTAACATCTTACTTAAAGGTGGAAGACTAACTGCCTTCCCCCTAGATCAGGAAGGAGATCATACTGGGTGCCCTTGCCAATACGATAAAAAAAAAAAAGAAAAGTAAAGAAATAAAAAGCATACAGATTGAAAAAGAAAAAAAATCCTGCTCTATTTGCAGACATGATTCTCTATGTAGAGAATCCCATGGAATCTACAAAAAAGCTCCTAAAACTAATAAATGAGTTTAGCAAGGTTGCAGAATGTAGGTTCAAATAATCAACTGTATACCTATATACTTACAATAAACAGCTGGAAATTTTTTTAAGTACTACTTATAATACCCCCCAAAATTGGAATACTGAGGTATAAACCTAAGAAAATATATGGTATGCTGAAAGTTACAAAATGTTGATGAAAGAAATCAAAGAATACTGAAATAAATGGAGAGATACACCATATTCATGGACTGGAAGACTCATATTGTTAAGATATCACTCCTCCCTAAACAGGTCAATGGACGCAACACAATTCTAATCAAAATCCCAGCAAGATGTTTTGTAGATATCAACAAGCTCATTCTAAAATGTATACAAAAAGGGAAAGGAACCAGAATGACCAAAATAATTTTGAAAAAGGAGAACAAACTTGGAGAACTCACACTACTTGACTTCAAAACTTACATAAAGCTATAGTAATCACAATAGTGTGACACTGGCAGAGAAAAACACATAAAGAGACGGGAAGAGAAGAGAATCCAGAAACAGAACCATAAAAGTATCAACTCATCTTTGGCAAAGGTGCAAGTCAACTCAACATACATAGATCGTCTGTTCAAGAAATGGCATGGAACAACTGAACATTCACATGCAAATTTCTTATATTTGCCATGTTACACAAAATTTTACGCAAAATAAATCATAGATCTAAAAGTAAAACTATAAAACTTCTACGAGACAACACAGAAGAACATCTTTCTGACCCTGGATTGAGCAGAGCTCTTAGATATGGCATCAAAAGCAAATCCATAAAAGAAAAAAACGATAAATTGTACTTCCACAAAATTTAAAACTTTTGTTCTGAAAAAGATAGTCTTAAGAGAAGAAAAAAACAAGCCAAAGACAGGAAAAAATACTTGCAAAACATGTAGCTGACAAAAAACATGTCCATATTATGTGAAGAATTTTCAAATGCAGTAATAACTCTGAAAAAATGGGTGAGACATGAACAGATACTTTGTCAAAGATATACGAACAGCAAATGAAAAAATGCTCAACTTTATTAGTCTTCAGAGACATCCAAATTAAAATAAACTAGACCTGGAATGATTAAAAAAGAAAACTGACAATAACAAGTACTAGAGAAGAAGCAAAACGAAGAGAACTATCATACATTGCTACTGGGAACACAAAATGGTACAGGCACTTTGAGAAAGTTTGGAAGTTTCTTTGAATCTTTTTTTTTTTTTCTTTTTGAGACAGAGTCTCACTCTGTCGCCCAGGCTAGAGTGCAGTGGTGCCATCTTGGCTCACTGCAACCTCCGCCTCCCAGGTTCAAGAGATTTTCCTGCCTCAGACTCCCAAGTAGCTGGGACTACAGCGGCACGCCACTACGCCTGGCTAATTTTTTTTTTTTTTAAGTAGAGATGGGGTTTCACTATGTTGGTCAGGCTGGTCTCGAACTCCTGGCCTCAACTGATCTGCCAGCCTCGGCCTCCCAAAGTGCTGGGATTACAGGCATGAGCCACTGTGCCCAGCCTTTTTATTTATTTATTTATTTTTTTGAGTCAGAGTCTTGCTCTGTCACCCAGGCTGGAGTGCAGTGGCATGATCTCAGCTCACTGCAACCTCCATCTCCTGGGTTCAAGCAATTCTCCTACCTCAGCCTCCCGAGTAGTTGGGATTACAGGCGCCCACTACCACGCCCAGCTGATTTTTGCATTTTTAGTAGAGACGGGGTTTCACTACGTTGGCCAGGCTGGTCTCGAACTCCTGACCTCAAGTGATCCGCCCCCCTTCGGCCTCCCAAAGTGCTGGAATTACAGGCATGAGCCACCGCACCTAGCCACCTTTTTATTTTTTTGAGACAGGGTCTCACTATGTGGCCCTGTGGCCCAGGATGGAGTGCACTGGCATGTCCACGACTCACTGCACCCTCGAACTCCAGGACTCAAGCAATCCTTCCACCTCAGCCTCCAAGTAGCTGGGACTACTACAGGTGTGTATCACTACACATAGGTTTTTTTTTTTTTTTTTTTTTTGAGACAAGTCTCACTCTTGTCACCCAGGCTGGAGTGCAATGGGGTGAACTCGGCTCACTGTAACCTCCACCTCCCAAGTTCAAGTGATTCTCCTGCCTCAGCCTCCCAAGTAGCTGGGATTACAGGTGCCCGCCACCATGCCCGGCTAATTGTGGTATTTTTAGTAGAGATGGAGTTTCACCATGTTGGCCAGGCTGGTCTCAAACTCCTGACCTCAGGTGATCTGCCTGCCTCAGCCTCCGAAAGTGCTGGGATTACAGGCATGAGCTACCACGCCCGGCCTAATTTTTTAATTTTTAGTAGAGACAGGGTGGTCTTTTTTTTTTTTTTTTTTTTTTTTTGAGGTAGGGTATCACTCTGTGGCCCAGGCTGGTGTGCAGTGGCGCTGTCTCAGCTCATTGCAACCTCCGCCTCCTGGGTTCAAGCAATTCTCGTGCCTCCTGAGAAGCTGGAATTACAGGCGTGTGCCACCATGCCCAGCTGATTTTTGCAATTTTAGCAGAGACAGGGTTTCACCACGTTGGCCAAGCTGGTCTCTACTGACCTCAGGTAATCCACCCATGTAGGCCTCCCAAAGTGCTGGGACTACAGGCATGAGCCATCATGCCTAGTCCAGGCTGGTCTTAAATTCCCAGCCTCAAGTGATCCTCCACCTTGGCCTCCCAAAGTGCTGGGATTTCAGGCGTGAACCACAGTGCCTGGCCCAGGTTGGTCTTAAATTTCTGGCCTCAAGCAATCCTCCCGCCTCAGCATCCCAAAGTGCTGGGATTACAGGTGTGTGCCACTGCACCCGGCCGGACGGGTTCTTAATAAAGTTCAACATACCCAGAAATCTGATTCCTAGTTTTTCTTTTTTTTTTTTTTTGAAATCAGCCAGCCAGCCACCCAAACCAGAATACTTTCAGAGAGACTCTTTGACTCCTAGGCATTTATCCAAATGAAATGAATACCTATGTTGACATGAAAAACTGTATGTGAACATTTGTAGCAGCTTTATTCCCAAATTCTGAAAACTGGAAACAACCCAAATATTCTTTAAAGGGTAAATGGATAAACAAACTGGGGCACATTCACACAATGGAATAGCACTCAGCAATAAAAAGAACAAATTAATGGTAAATAAAACAAAGTAGATGAATCTGAAATGCATTATCTTAAGTGAAAGAAGCCAGACTGAAAAGCAACCCAGACTAGGATTCCATAGATATTCATTCTGGAAAAGGCAAAATCATTAGCGATGGAGAACAAAGGTCAAGGGAGGCGTGAAGGGTTGATGAGGGAACATTTTGGGAGGTGATGGAGCTTCTGTTGCTTGACTGTGGTGGTGGTTACACAACTCAATGGATTCGTCAAAATTCACAAGTACAGACTAAAAAACAGTGCATTTTACTGAATGTACATTAAATAAGTTTAAACAAACATAAGCAAATAAATACTGATAGTGATATATTACAGCCTACTGATTCTAATAAATGTAGACAGAATGATGGAGTTAGAAAACCCAGCATGGATTCTTTATAGTAATAACTGATTCAGGCAAGACTCACCAACAGATGCTAGAACTAGTGGGTAAAAGTTTAAGGAGATTCAGGATATTTACATAGTCTCAAAGTATCTTCCCCCAAATTACTCATCATTTAAAAAAGGAAAAATAAATAAATTTCCACTGGACAGGCCTGGTAGAAACCACCTTAACGAAGTGGTCAGAGTTAACATTACTAGTTATAGGACAAAGTGACATCACACCCTTCTGATAAGACACATTGAAACGGACATATCATTACTTCTATAGCAATCTTCTCAAAAATACATGATCCAAAGAGGACACAAGAAAACATCAGACAATCCCACATCAAAGGACACTGTACAAAATAATTGGTCTGTACTTTTTAACGCCCAGGCCCAGGCCAAAGCCAAGGTCATGAAAGACTAAGAAACCAACCCAGATTAAAAAGGCCAGAGAGGCATGACAACTTGATACTGGACTAGGGGGAAAGAAACACTATGAAGGACATCCTTGAGACAAGAGATGAAATTTGAATATAAACTATGGATTAGAATGTATTATTGTACTACTGTACAATTTCCTGATATTTATCACTGTACTGTGATTAGGTAAGGAAACATTCTTATCTAATACATGCTGAAGTATTTACAGATAAAAGAATAGGATATGATGTTTTAGATATGTGTATATATATGAGAATGAAAATAATGCAAATGGGGCAAAAACAACTGATAAATTTGGTAAAGGATATAAGGGGTTTTTAAAATAATTAATTGCAACTATTATGTACATTTGAAATTAAATCAAAATTTAAAGTAACAACAAAAATCCCAAGGATGAAACTGCTTTCACAACCCAACACTATCTATTCCAAAGCTAGTAGAAATTTGATGGTTTGTTTGGTTTTTGTTTGTTTGTTTGTTTGTTTTTGAGACGGAGTCCTGCTCTACTGCCCAGGCTGGAGTGCAGTGACACAATCTCGGCTCACTGCAACCTCCGCCTCCCAGGTTCAAGCAATTCTCCTGCCTCAGCCTCCTGAGTAGCCGGGATTATAGGCATGCACCACCATGCCCAGCTAATTTTCATAGTTTTAGTAGGGACAGCATTTCACCCTGTTGGCTAGGCTGGTCTCGAATTCCTGACCTCAGGTGATCCATGCACCTCAGTCTCCCAAAGTGCTGGGATTACAGGCGTGAGTGACCTGTGTTTTTAAATTATTGGCATTACTAATTTAACACTGAGTGAATTTGCAAAAAATTAAAAATAATCAGTTTGCATTCACTTAATATCCGTTTAGAAGCCTGTGGTCCTGATGATTTCAGAAGTGTATTTCACTTCAGCATTTCCTCTAGCTATGGAAAATACCAATTTATCATCTACTTGAATCTTTTTTTTCTTATTCTGTTTTGCACTGTTCTCAAAATAAAGGACACAAGAAAGAACCAACATTGAAAACACAGCACACAAGGAATCCTGAGCATACATTCAACAGGACTATTAGATGACATGCATGCTAAAGCTACTACCGCATTACAAGTATACGAAAGAAAGTAATGCACTAAGATCTGTGTCATCATTAACTCATGCAATTTAATTTTATAATTGTATACGCAGGAAGATTTTTTACTGTTGAAAAATAAGAAATGGGCTCTGGAAAAAAAATGCTGAAGAGCAAGTAGTATATCGAAGGTTAAAATATCTGGATGAAGGAAAAGTTTGGGATGAGACTACATTTGAGAACCATCGAAAAGTACCTGAAATGGTTGCTGCTGGGATGAAAAAGCAGCAGAAACCTTTGGCGGAAGCTGGGTTGCTATAGCAACGGGAGTCCCAGTCTGCCCATCCTTTCCTGTCACAACCTTTACCTGAGAGGAAATATTTTGAGAAAAAAAGGCAACATAATTTTTACAACTGCTCAAAATTTTGTTAGAATTTTATTGCTGATAGCTCACTGACATTTGGGGTTTAAAAATGGAATGTTTTTGCATCAATTCCTGTGAAAGGATACTGAACTGACAGATTTATAGCACAACAACCTAACTCAAACTGCAAACCTTGCAGAAACTCCAATTTAAGTCAAAGTGCAATATCTTTAGATTCTGCAACTTCAAACTTTAAAAATGCATATGGCAGACAGACTTCAAGTAACAAAGCCCTACCAACTCCCTAGGAAATTTGCAGAATAGCCACTCTGTTATATGTAGGGTCAGAATGGCAAAGGTCTTTTTCAGCAGGAAGTTGGAAAAACGAATTTGTTTTTCTTTCTAAGCACAGGTAAGGGGGATTGAGCTTACAGACAACATTGGTATACAAACGTAACAGAAATGAATTTTACTATTTCAGGACAATAGAGGTGAAATCCTCAAAATAATCATATAAACCTGTTGAAAAACAAATATGGTCCATCCTGGAAAAGGTGTTAAAAGAAAACACAAAATGGCAAAGCCACACAAATACATCCATAGATACCAGTAAGGACTGCTTGAGCAAAGAGACTAGCTTTTGTTCAGCAAAAGCAGATTTCTTTGCAGAAGAGCTGACAAAGATTTAAATTATTTTAACTGTATCATAAAACAAAATAAGCTCCACCAACATAGTATACACTACACAACACAAAGGCACAAAATACAGTGTGTCACAGTCCAATTCACTCTCACCCTGGTTTTCAGGAAGTCTCAGACTCACCATGGTACTAAGAAATCTCAGGTAGGGGGTTTATTATGTGCCATTCCAGGCACCCAAAAAGTATACTCTCTAAAAAAGAGTCACTCTTAAATATCACTTAATAGGTATTTGTAAAAATGAGTTTAAAGTATGATCTCAAATCTTGAGACTACATCTAAAAATTGAATAACTTCTCAAACAGTTTTTTGCCATAATAACTATTTTAATGATGAAGGTCCCATATACATACATCTAGTGACTTATGGCTGGTTATTATAAAAAGCTAGTGACTTAAATCTGTTTGAAAACCATGCTGATGGTGTTTTTAAGGAGATCTATACGAGTAAAATGTGAAACTTGGAAAACCAGACAAAGGGTGCTGGGCTTTCACACGTTTGGCTGGTGACAGCTGTCAGCGTCAGCCAACAAACCACACACCCAGATACAAGGGGAAAAAAACTGGACACGCTTGCTGAGTTCTCTGAACCTGAGATGAATCCTTGGTGCTCAATGAAAACACTGGGTGTTGAAGACGCACTCATCATAGCGCAGCTCCGTCCCTTCCTCCTGACACACTTCTGCGCTCAACAGCTCTTCCTTCCCATGAAGGAGGCCAAACACATTCTTCACTTTTACTTATGGGTCAAATCCTTGCCCCAACACCTTAGAAATACCTTAGAAATACCGCAGGCTCAATAAATTATTACTTAATTCATTGTCGCATAGACTCTGATCATCTAGAAGATTTGTACTAAACAAATTAACTCCTGTTTCTTACCTCGTCATTGATAACCTCAGATTTTTCTTCCTCCTCTTCCTCCTCCTCCTCCTCTTCTTCAATGTCCAAATCATTCTGCCTAAGATATGCTTGTAATGGGGCATAATGTTTCTTCTTGAAAGCTAAGAAATCCATCATGTTCCCTTGAAAGTGTTGCAAGAAAAACAGTTCAATCAAATACTCCTTGAAGACCTCCTTCAGAGCCTGCATCTCCTGGTAATGATAGTCCAGGCACTGCTTCCTCATCTGTGCCATCTCCGGAGAGGCTGGGGGAATCTCCTCTAACTTCTTGGGAACCTTCTTCATTCCCGTGTTCCCCACAGACGTGAGTGGGAGGCTGGAAAGGCCTGGGGGCACGGCAGTCCTGGAAGGGCTGGTGGGCGGGGGTGGGGACGTCATCCCAAACCCCGCTGCGCCCCCAGCCCCGGGGAGCAGCACGCCGGGTGTCCTCTCGAAGCCCAGGGGCCGGGGCAGCGGCGGCCCCTGCAGCACCTGCTGCTGCTGAACCAGCTGGCCCTGGATGATGCTGCTGATCTGCGGTGGCAAGTTAGCCGTGGTGATGTGGCTTGGGCTGGCCAGGGGCTGCAGGCCGGCCCCACCCGCGGCTGCAGGGCTCTGGGGTCCCAGGTGGTGGATGGTGCCCCCTGACTGTGTGTGGGGCTGGGAGGGTCTCCGCTCTCGGACTGTGATGGGCGTACCCGGGTGCTGGAGCTGAACCTGGGCTCCCTGGGCGATCTGGGTGAGCCCTGACCCATCCTGAAACACAAAGTGTCCACCACTGGAGGGGCTCAAGCTGATCTGCCTCACCAGCACGCTGGCATCCACGAAGCCCCCTGTAGGGCTGCTGCTGCAGAGGCCCAGCCCAGGGCCAGGGGCACCTGCACGCACATTCTGCAAGGCCTGCCCCGGCCCCGGACTGGGCTGCGTGGGACTCTGGGTCTGGACCTGCTGGGACAAGGGGGACGTGACCTGAATGTATGATGGAGACCCATGCTCAAACCGCCGAGGCTGAGCGCTGAACTGGAAGCCTGGAGAGGTGGGGCTGGGGAGCGGCAGTGGGGCCAGTGTGATCTGCTGGTTTCCCCCGACGACAGGGCCCACGCTCTGCAGGGTGATGTTCACGTTCTGCCCGGTTGCAGGGCTCCTATTCATCAGCTGCTGTATTTGATAACTGGGAGACTGGGGTGCCGACGGGCTTGCTGAGGGAGCGAAGGGAGCTGCGGGGGACGGGGGTGGGTTGGGGTGGGCCGGCTGCTCCTCACCCTCGCTGCCAGGGCAGGCCCTGGACCTCTGCAGCTGATGCTGGACGTTCTGGGGGCCAGTGCCATGGTGCATGATCACCTCCCTTCTGTATCCAATGTGTCGTTCTCCTAAAAATTAAAATTAAAATCAAGTCACTTGAAGGCACACATAACTGTTTTATTGACACTTAACAGCACTGAAAAGACACTTTGAAAGTACATTCCCACCGCATCTGATTCAAACGACAGAGCTGACTCACATTCAATATGGCACAGCTGGAGAAATGTGTCCTCAGTCACTGCTGTGCCCAGGGTGGGCCACACGGGAGTGGGTGGGTAATCTAAACCACCTACTGAGGGAGGAACATACCGATCATCGCTGACCTCAACAGCTAACTTGTGTGGGCGCTTGGAGAGACCAGGCCATCCCTCAAATCCTCATGGCCGCCCTGTGGGGTAGGTACTACTCACACCCCATTTGAAGGACTAGGAGACTGAGCTACAGGAGTATCTGTGAGCTGTTCAAGGCCACGCAGCCAGCAGGCAGAAGAGCAAGGTCTGAAGCCAACATTCACGCTGTGGACTTTCCGGCTTCCGCCCGTCTCTCCCTATGGAGGGACAACTCCCTGCTCCCAGCTGCCCAGAGCCCAGGAGGCATTCTGTGACCCTTGCTGAATGAGGGTGTGCAGCACCACCTCGCCAGAAGCAAATACCCAGCCCTCCCCAGCCAGTAGTTCTTATCAACCTCCAGGACTACCTCAACTGCAAACTCTCCTCTTGTAAATCCAATTCAAAGACACAGAGCCCCATTTGTGTGTCAGGCCCGGGGCTACTGCAGGAGAGTAGAGACAGACACGGGTAAGACAGTCCTTGCCCTGGGGAGGCTGCCAGCCTGTGCCAGGAGCTAGGAGAAAACATGACACCAAGTCCTGGAGTGGAAGGTAGGGAACAGCCTCAGATCTCAACATTCTCCCTAAGAACACACGAAGAGAAGAAACTGTGAGAAGGTCTCAAGGGAGAGAGAAGGAGATGGCCAGGACCTGGCTCTCACTCTGGGGTGAGTTGCCTTTCTGGCTTTGCAAACTCTCTGGGAGGCTGTACCACAATCTCAAAGGAGCTGTAACCCAAACGCTGCTGAGCACAAGTGGATGAGAAACAGCAGGGGAGGAGCAGAAGGGGCCACTGAGGAAAGTCAGGTTTCAGGACAGGATGAAGCAGAGGATGGAGCAGACAAGGGTAATCCTGTGGTGAGACAGGGTCAGACCTGGGCTACAGACTCCAGTATCTACAGGGGAAAGGAGGACTAAAGATAAGCAGTGAGCCCCACCACTGCAGCCCCGTCTGTTCCCCACTGTGGTCGCTCTTTCTCCCCTAAGAGAAGCAAGGGTGCAAACGCAATGGTGAGTGGCACCTGGCACCCAAATCAGTGCCAGCGTTCCAAGAGGAGAGGTTGGACACTGTCCCACATCAAGGGGGCAGCTGCTGCTTCAATCTATTTAATAGCTAACTTCTGTCATAAAGGAGCAAAAATCTCATTCAAGTTTTCAAGGGAAGCAGATGGACTCTTGGTGGCACAGTTTAGCACTGAGCCAGTGGGTGAGGAGCCACACCACTCCGCAATGTTCCAGTTCACACTTAGGCCTGCCACAGAAGCCAGCTTGACCTGGGTGCCACCATTCAGACTTCTCCAGTCCTGCTGGACACACCCAGGTGCCCCTGTCTTCTTGAGGTGCCTTCACCTCAACCCTGGCTGGACAGCTATCAGGGAGCTTCTTCTTGCTTACTCCAAGACAAACAAGACCCCTTGTTCATCGCAAGGACATCACTGCTTATCTCTGTGAGAAAATGGACAACGGATTTTTAAAAACCATGAATCTACAGAAGATAAAAAATGGCCAGGCATGGTGGCTCACACCTGTAATGCCAGCACCTGGGGAGGCTGAGACAGGAGGATCACTTGAGGTCAGGTGTACAAGACCAGCCTAGGCAACATAGTGAGACCCCATCTCTACAAGAAAAATACAAAAATTAGCCAGCCATGGTGGCAATGTAGCAGCCTTAGTCTCAGCTACTCAGGAGGCCAAAGGAGACCGCCTGAGCCCAGGAAATCGATGCTGCAATGAAGAACAAGATTCCATCTCCAAAAAAAGAAGTTACAAAACGTATAAGGCTCTTCTAAGTCTTGGGTACCTGGCTGAAATACATGTATATATGAAATCAAAGACTACAGAATTTATAAATGCACAAGCATATTCCTAACAAACATTTAAAAAGTGCATATTTAAACTAGCAGCAGAAAGGCATGCTTTGATCAGATGGTTAGTTTCTGAAGATGGAGTCAGAAGACAGCACGCAGGCTGCAACAAACAGATCTTAAGGGAAGAGCAAGGCCACAGAGACACCCAAGAGCATGCCCCTCCCACCACCCGGCAGAGAGCCCATCAGAGTGGGTGCAGGGGACAGGAGCTCCAGGTGGGGGCAGTTAACAATGCTTATTACTTTCAAAACAAGCTTCTGTTCCTGATCTTACTAAACAAACATTATGATAGGAGATTAGTGTGAAACTGGCACAAAAGCTAAATTAACATAGGTAGAGTATATTCGGGATTATTTCCTTACAATACATTCCCAGAGTGTCAAAGGAGATCAGTAAGAGAAAATGAGGGCTAGAAAGAAACTCTCTCACATATAGTAATTCAGAAAACCAGGGGAAAGGTAAGGGTTAGGAATTTTAAAGTTATGTCATAAAAACAAATTAATGCATTGAGAAATTCAACTTAAACTCTCATCACAAACCATACATCAAAATAAATTACATGGTGGGGTCTGGTGGCTCATGCCTGTAATCCCAGCACTTTGGGAGGCCAAGATAGGCGGATCACTGGAGGTCAGGAGTTCGACACCAGCCTAACCAACATGGTGAAACCCCATTTCTACTAAAAATACAAAAATTAGCTGGGCGTGGTAGCACACGTCTGTAATCCCAGCTACTTGGGAGGCTGAGGCAGAAGAATCGCTTGAACCTGAGAGGCGGAGGTTGCAGTGAGCCGAGACTGAGCCATTGCACTCCAGCCTGGGCAACAAAACCAAAACTGTCTCAAACAAGCAAATAAATAAATAAATAAATAAATAAAGCATTTTTATAAGCTAACTTTCCAAGTTTTACATTTAATGTAAAAAAAAAAAAAGAAAGAAAGAAAAATCAAAACGTTCCTTCTGGTAGGTGACAGGAAAAAAAAAAAACCAAAACATTAAAAAACCGAACACAAAAGTGAGTATTTACTAAATCTCTGAAGGAAATTCAATTTCCTAACCTTAAAAATAATAAAGTTGTAACTGAAAAAATAGAAAGATTTGAAGATAATTTTTAAATGTTTAAAACTCAAAAAGTAAATCATCAAAATCTAAAACCAAATTATCTTGGAAAGAATATTTGAACTAGGTACGACAAAAAGCTATTACCAATACCATAAAAAGCACTCATACAAATCGGTAAGAAAAACATTAAAATCCCAGTAGAAAAATTAATTAAAGACAAAAAGAGGCTGGGCATAGTGGCTCATGCCTGTAATCCCAGCACTTTGGGAGGCTGAGGTGGGTGGATCACCTGAGGTCAGGACTTTGAGACCAGCCTGACCAATATGGTAAAACCCTGTCTCTATTAAATACAAAAAATTAGCCGGGCGTGGTGGCACATGCCTGTAATCCCAGCTACTTGGGAGGCTGAGGCAGGAGAATTGCTTGAACCCAGGAGGTGGAGGTTGCAGTGAGCCAAGGGCTTGCCACTGCACTCCAGCCTGGGCAAAGGAGTGAGACTCCTAAAAAAAAAAAAAAAAAAAAGGACAAAAAAAGACAGTTCACAAAAGGAGAAAAGCATGTACTTAACCAGCTTAGAGGAAAATGACCAACCTTGCTACTAAAAAGAGGAATACAGACTAAAATAAATATTTCCCTAGATCCACTTAGCCAAGACATTAAATCAGACAACTGGCACTCCACTAATCCTGCTAAAGGGAATTACAGAAGCAATTTGGGAAGGTGTAGAAAAGATTTCAAATGGGTTCAGAACCCAAAAAACGCCCTGTAGGAGTAGACTGCATACAGCAGTAGGAAAGTGGAATGAACCCATGTGACCCCAAAACCTTTGGCCTAGTAACCCTACTTCTAGAAATCTACCCGAAGGAAATTAACCTACCAACCTAAAAAACTGTACATAAACAATACTCACTGTAGAATAACAAAAAAAATTAAAAAGCATAATCAGAAATTTCCAATGTTGAAGTTCTAGATGGAAAATAAGTAATAAAACCAAAATTTCCAGATACATTAAGTGAAAAAAGCAGGTTACCAATTGCATAACACAATCACTAAGTTAAACATACAGAAAAGGACCCACTGAAACGTATCAGAATATTAAAACTGACCTTCCCCTGATGAGCAGACACATCAAACCATGATACAGCCATACAACAGACACAACCCAGCAACGCCAAGGAACAAACCACTGACACACCCACAACACAGTTGAGTCTCAGGTGCAAGATGCCAAGTAACAGAGGCCGAGGGCTGCGTGGGTCACTGGCATGACATTCCGGACAAGGAGAATGGTGGGGACAGAGACTAGAACAGAACCTGACAGGGGCTGAAGGCGGAGATGGAGCTGACTAGAGAGATGCATGAGGAAATGGGGAAGTAAAGAACCGTAGCTACAGCTTGATTTGTGATAATGGTTACAAGATGGAATGTGTCTCTCAAAAGTACACAGATGGGCTGGGTGCAGTGACTCATGCCTGTAATCCCAGCACTTTGGGAGGCCGAGGCGGGCGGATCACCTGAGGTCAGGAGTTCGAGAACAGCCTGGCCAACATGGTGAAACCCCCGTCTCTACTAAAAATACAAAAATTAGCTGGGCATGGTTGCATGTTCCTGTAATCACAGCTACTCGGGAGGCTGAGGAAGAAGAATCCCTTGAACCTGGGAGGTGGAGGATGCAATGAGCCAAGATCACACCACTACACTCCAGCCTGGGCAACAGAGCGAGATTCTGTCTCAAAAAAACAAAAAGTACACAGATGGCAACATTAAATGGACTAAGAAAAAAAATTCAACCATACACTAAAAAGCATAAACTTGGATGAGCACGCTGGCTCACGCCCGTAATCCCAACACTTTGGGAGGCTGAGGCGGGTGGATCACCTGAGGTCCGGAGTTCAAGACCAGCCTGACCAACGTGGAGAAACCCCATCCCTACCAATAATACAAAATTAGCCGGGCATGGTGGTGCGCACCTGTAATCCCAGCTACTCGGGAGGCTGAGGCAAGAGAATTGCTTGAACCCAGGAGGCGGAGGTTGCAGTAAGCCAAGATCACACCATTGCACTCCAGCTTGGGCAACAAGAGCGAAACTCCGTCTCAAAAAAAAAGCATAAACTTTTACCATATGTAAATTATACTTCAATTTTATTAAATGGTTCCTGACCTCAGTGATGTTATAGCCACATTAGAGAAACAAAGACAATCAACTATAATGCAAAGAAACTGTTTATCTAAAATAACACTTCTCAAAAACATAGTACAGGTATCCTAATGGATAGCAAAGCTACCAATGGTGGCTAAACAACTTTAAAAATTTTTAACGACTAAGTTTCTAATTTTAACTCAATTTTTACTCCTAATTTTTTCTCTTTTTTTGACATAAGGTCTCACTCTGTCACCCAGGCTGCAGTATAGTGGCACAATCCTGGCCCACTGTAACCTCTGCCTTCCAGGTTCAAGCAAACCTCCCACTTCAGCCTCCTGAGTAGCTGGGACTTACACGCCACCACAGCCAGCTAATTTTTGTATTTTTTGTACAGACGAGGTTTCACCATGTTGCCTATGCTAGTCTTAAACTCCTGGCCACAAGCAATCCTCCCACCTCAGCCTCCCAAATAGCTGGGACTATAGGCACACACCACCACGCCCATTTTTTTTTTTTTTTTTTTTTTCTGAGATGGAGTCTCACTCTATCACCCAGGCTGGAGTGCACTGGCGTGATTTCGGCTCACTGCGCCCTCCGCCTCCCGGGTTCAAGCGATTCTCCTGCCTCAGCCTCCTGAGTAGCTGGGATTACAGGCGTACACCACCACGCCCGGCCAATTTTTGTATTTTTAATAGAGACAGGGTTTCACTATGTTGGCCAGACTGGTCTCCAACTCCTAACCTCAAGTGATCCACCTGTTTCGACCTCCCAAAGTGCTGGGATTACAGGCACGAGCCACTGCGCCCAGCCAAATTTTTGTATTTTTTTGTATAGACAGGGTTTCAACATATTCCCCAGGCTGGTCTCGAACTACTGGGGCTCAAACAATTCTCCTGCCTTAATCTCCCAAAGTGCTGGGATTACAGGCATGAGCCACCACACCTGGCCTGGCCCCTAATTTTAATTCAACTCTCTACAGAGACGCTGACACACACACATTTTGAAATGTGTTGGTTTTTTTTTTTTTAATTTTAAGACAAATGGATAAAAAGGTATGATGAAGCAGGTATGGTAAAATGTTTAATGGAAACTAAGTGGCAGGTATACTAGTGTTCACCGTAAAATTTTCTCTTGTTTTTTAAGACAGAGTCTCACTCAGTCACCTAAACTCGAGTGCTGCGGCGCAATCTCAGCTCACTGCAACCTCTGTCTCCTGGGCTCAAGCGATTCTCATGCCTCAGCCTCCTGAGTAGCTGGGACTACAGGTGTGAGCCACCACAACCGGCTAATTTTTGTATTTTTAGTACAGACGGAGTTTCACCACGTTGGCCAGGGTGGTCTCAAACTCCTGATCTCATATGATCCACCTGCCTCAGCCTCCCAAAGTGCTTGGATTACAGGCGTGAGCCACCCCACCCAGCCAACCACAAAATTCTTTCAATCTCTGTGTATCTTTGAAATTTTTCATAATAAATGTTACAAAAAATACTTTCAATATAAGATGATAACACTAGATGTCACGTAACAAATTAAAAGCTACTAACCCAAGATCTATATGCTAACAAAACCTTCATTATTCTCCCACCAAAGGGCACATTACAGAAGTACCATACTAGTTCCTGAAATATATAAATTCCGAATGATACCAAGTGGGCTAAACTGAATTTGAAAATTGTCTAGGGCTTATCACACTGTATGTTACTACAGAGAACTGACCTGTCAGGGTGCTGTAATGGTGGATCAACAGGAAAGCCTCCCCTCAATGTCTCCAATGTCCCTTCCATTTAACAGGCTACAATTCCAAGGATTTTAAATCATGGAGGTAGTAGTGGGTCCTTAACCTTATGAACCAAAGCTCCTATACTAGAACAGGTGGGATCTATTTCAGCTTGTGAGAGAAGTTCAAGAAAAACTGAAGAAGTGCTTCATCAAACACCAAATAATAAGGTTATAAATCCCCAATCCATCATTCTACTGTTGTTTCTTGATCTTTATTTTTCCACGGCCCCGCTAAGGAACATCTGTATAAGTTTCTCTCCTAATTGCCTCCCCATGGAATTTTAATACTACAGCTGTACACAGATATACCACACTGTACATCTGTTCAGGAACTGGGATCTTCGGGAGGCCACAAATCACTGTAATGCCTAAGTTTTTTCACCCTTCTTCCAATAACTAATTTTCACTCCCTTGTTGGAGATATCGCCCTCACTGAGAATGCATGTTCTGATGTATGGAAAGAAACCCAGAAAAATGAATTCCAAATTTGGTAGCTGTGGGGAGCTGATGAATGGGGAGAAAGGGCAAAGGAACTCTTAACGAGCTCTATGTATTTCTGTGTTGTTTGGATATCTTTCAATGTGAACTGTTCATGTGTTACCCTTATTAAAAAAAAAGATGGAAAACAAAGAACTGGAAACAATCCAAATGGTCCATCAGCGGGCAACAGACAAACCGGTACGTTCACACCAAGGAGTACTCCTCAACAATAAAAAGAAACAGGCTGGGAACAGTGTCTCAAACCTGTAATTCCAACACGGTGGGAGACTGAGACCAGAGGATGTCTTGAGTCCAAGAATTCAAGACAAGCCTGGGCAACACAGTGAGATAGTGTCTCTACAAAAAATCAAAAATTAGCACGGCGTGGTGCCACACACCTATAGTCCCAGTTACCTGGGAGGAGATCACTTGAGCTCAAGAAGTCACAGCTGCAGTAAAGCTATGATCATGCCACTGCACTCCAGCCTGGGTGACAGAGCAAGACCCTGTCTCCACAACAAAAACAAAAACAAAAACAAGCTATTGGGGCCGGGCGCGGTGGCTCACACCTGTAATCCCAGCACTTTGGGAGGCCGAAGTGGGTGGATCACTGAGATCAGGAGTTTGAGACCAGCCTGGCCAACATGGTGAAACCCTATTTCTTTTTCTTTTTTTTTTTTTTTTTTTTTTTGAGACAGAGTCTCGCTCTGTCGCCCAGGCTGGAGTGCAGTGGCGCAATCTCCGCTCACTGCAAGCTCCGCCTCCCAGGTTCACCCCATTCTCCTGCCTCAGCCTCCCGAGTAGCTGGGACTACAGGCACCCACCACCACGCCCGATTAATTTTTTGTATTTTTAGTAGAGATGGGGGGTGAAACCCCATTTTTCTACTAAAAATACAAAAAAAAAGGCCAGGTGCAGTGGCTCACCATGCCTGTAATCCCAGCAAAGGGGAGGCCGAGGCGGGCAGATCACCTGAGGTCAGGAGTTCAAGACCAGCCTGGCCAACATGTTGAAACCCCCTCTCTACTAAAAATTAAAAAAAAAAAAAAAGTAGGCAGGTGTGGTGGCAGGCACCTGTAATCCCAGCTACTTGGGAAGCTGAGGCAAGAGAATCGCTTGAACCCGGGAGGCGGAGGTTGCAGTGAGCCGAGATCATGCCATTGCACTCCAGCCTGGGCAACAAGAACAAAACTCCGTCTCAAAACAAACAAACAATACAAAAAAATTAGCTGGGCATGATGGCAGGCACCTGTAATCCCAGCTACTCGGGATGCTGAGGCAGGAGAATCACTTGAGTCTGGCAGGCAGAGGTTGCAGTGAGCCGAGATCGCGCCACTGCACTCCAGCCTGGGAGACAGAGTGAGACTCTGTCTACAAAAAAACAATAAAAAGAATAATTACAGAAATTATTTTATTGCACATATTCTGCTAAAGAAAATGACAACACAAATAAGTAAAAAAGAATACAACTCATCCACGAACCCAGAGAGAAGCCCTATTAACACTTCCACGTGTCCCGGCGCGGTAGCTCACGCCTACAGTCCCAGCACTAGGAGGCCAAGGCGGTAGGATTGTTTGAGGTCAGGAGTTCGAGACCAGCCTGAGCAACACAGCAAGACCCCAACTCAAATAATAAAAAATTGGCCGGGCATGGTGGCTCATGCCTGTAATCCTAACACTTTGCGAGGGCGAGGTGGGCGGACTGCCTGAGCTCAGGAGTTCGAGACCAGCCTAGGCAACACAGTGAAACCCCGTCTCTACTAAAACACACAAAAAACTGGCCAGGCGCGGTGACTCATGCCTTCAGTCCCAGCACTTTGGGAGGCCAAGGGGGCGGATCACGAGGTCAGGAGTTCCAGACCAGCCGGACCAACATGATGAAACCCCGTCTCTACTAAAAATCCAAAAAAAAAAAAAAAAAAAAAAAATAGCCAGGCGTGGTGGCAGGCGCCTGTAGTCCCAGCTACTCGGGAGGCTGAGGCAGGAGAATCGCTTGAACCTGGGAGGCGGAGGTTGCAGTGAGCCGAGATCGCGCCACTGCACTCCAGCCTGGGTGACAGAGAGAGACTCTTTCTCAAAAGAAAATAACAAAACAAAATAAAAAGTGAGCCGGGCATGGTGGCCCAAGCCTTTGGTCCCAACCACTCGGGAGGTCGAGGCTCTAGTGAGCCGTCATCGCGCCACTGCACGCCAACCTGGGCAACAGAGCGAGACCCCGTCTCAGAAAGTAATTACTAATAAAGCACTGGGATACGTTACTTTTCTGTCACTGACACAGCGACAGCTGAGCAGAAGCCCGTGGGCCGCAGGTGTGTGACGAGAGGCGCCCCCGGGGAGGCAGCGGCAATTACTAAGGCTCCGCCGTGGAGGACCGGGCAGGTCTACGCCGAGAAGGAGCGGATTCGGACCTCACTGTAACCCCTGTGGCGGCGCGTTCCGGGACGCCCGGGACGCGGGGTCCTTAAGTTCTGAGTGAATTCGCCCCGTCGCGCCTCAGGAAAGTGGTTCTGGACGTCCCATCCCCGCATCTCAGCGTCGCGTCCGTGACCCCGAGGGAAGCCCACGCAAGCGCCAGGAGCAAGAGCCACCCCCTCAGCCCCGAGAACCAGGAGGCGCGGGCCGGAGTCCCCCGGTTCCCGCAACGCCGCCGCGCCGAGCTGCCCTCGGCCACGCCCCCAGCCCAGGAGCCCGGGGGGCCACGAGAAATGGGCGCGGATCGCGCGACCTGCGGGGGACGGGCGCTACGACTCGAAAGACCCGGGCCCGTGAGCCCTCAGCCCGGTCGCCCGCCCGGGGTCGCTCACGACAGCCGCCACGGCCTGGTCCCCACGCGACGCCCGAGGCCGGCCGGCGAGCGGGCCCTGTACGCCCGCGGCTGCGGCTACGCGACCCCGGACCCTGGACGCTGCCGTCCCGAGAGCCTCCCGCCCCCGTCCCGCGCCTCCGCCCTCACTTACCCTGGGCCTCAGGGCTGCGCTCCGGCCGCGTCAGGAGGGCGGGAGGATGGAAGCCGCGCCGCAGCCGCTCAGTGCATCCGGGGCCCCGGCGGGAGGAAGCGGCGGCGCGGCTGCTACGGCGAGCCGGAAGGGACGCGCGTCCGCGCGCCCGTAGCTGCGCTTCCGCGGCGCCGCTCTGACCGCGCGAGGGCGCCGGAGGTCGAGGGCGCCGGAGGACTAGGGCGCCGCGAGACTCTGCGGGGTGGGCGGGGGCCGAACCCAAGGCCGAGAGGGACGGAGGGGGGCCGGTCCCAGACAGACGGAGGCGGGGCCGGTCCGAGACAGACGGAGGCGGGGCGGGGCCGAGACTGAGGAAGGCGGGGGCGGGGCCGAGACTGACGGAGTCGCGGCAGCCCGGCTTTTCCACGCGCAGTTCGGGAAATGCGCCCACGTGGAACAGAAGTGGGCCGCCAGCTCTCACACTCTGCAGATTCACCAAACAGACCAGGCTCACATGCAAGACCCAAACCCTGTGTGGCCCAGGCTGGCCTCGAACTCCTGGACTCCAGTGATCCTCCTGCCTCAGTCTCCCGAGTGGGTGGGACCACAGACTCGCGCCACCACCCCTGGTTAATTTTTTGTATTTTTAGTAGGGGGGTTGGTTCACCAAGTTGGCCAGGCTGGTCTCGAACGCCGGACCTCAAGTGATCCGCCCACCTCGGCCTCCCAAAGTGCTGGGATTACATGTGTGAGCCACCACGCCCGGCCAAAAACGACAAAACTCTATTAAAAGACACAGACGTAGCTCACGTCTATAATCCCAGCACTTTGGGAGGCCGAGGCGGGAAGATCATTTAAGGTCAGGAGTTCCAGACCAGCCGGGCCAACATAGTGAAACCCTGTCTCTATTAAAAATACAAAAAATTAGCTGGGCGTGGTGGCAGGCGCCTGTAATCCCAGTTACTCCGGAGGCTGAGGCAGGAGAATCGCTTGAACACGGGAGGCAGAGGTTGCAGTAAGCCGAGATCATGCCACTGCACTCCAGCCTGGGCAACAGAATGAGATTCTGTCTCCAGATAAAGACATAGGCATAAATCTTCGGGGTTGTGGGTTAGGAAATGGTTTCTTAGATATGACACTGAAAACGCAACTAACAAACATAGATATATTGGACATCATCACAATTTAAAACTTTTGTGCTGCAAATGACACCATTTAAAAAAGATAATCCACAGAACAGGAGAAATTACCTTAAGTCCATATGTCTGACATGGAACTCGTGTCCAAAGTAAATAATTTACAACATAACAATTAAAAGGGCAGGCACGGTGGCTGTTGCCTGTAATCCTAGCACTTTGGGAGGCTGAGGCAGTTGTATCCCTTGAGCCCAGGAGTTCAAGACTAGCCTGGGCAACATAGAGAGACCCCATCTCTACAAAAAATTTAAAAGTCAGTCATGGTGGCATACACCTGTAGTCTCAGCTACTCAGGAGACTGAGGGAGAATCACTTGAGCCCAGGGAGGCTGAGGGTGTAGGAAGCCGTGATTATGCCATAGCACTCCAGCCTGAGTGAGACTCTGTCCCTCCAGCCAGGGCAACAGAGCAAGACTCCATCTCAAAAAAAAAAAAAAAGAAAAGAAAAAGAAAGTAAATTAGTGGTTGTCAGGGACTGTGGGGAGAGGATAGGCAGTAACTGCAAATGAATGTGGGGTTTCCTTTTTGGGTTGATAAAAATGTCATAAAATGAGATAGTGTTGATGGTTACACAACTTTATAAATTTACTAAAAGTCACTGAATGATATACTTTAAAAGGGTGAATGTTATGGTATGTATGTGAATTATGTCTGCATTTATTTTTTAAAAAAGAAATGTGGGCTGTGAGGTAAAGTGATGAATGCTTAACTTTAAACACACTGAAAATTTTTGGCTGGGCACAGTGTCTCTTACCTGTAATCTCAGCACTTTGAGAGGCTGAGACAAGAGGATATTGAACACAGGAGTTCAAGGCCAGCCTGGGCCTCATCTCTACAAAAAATAAAAAATAAATAAACTGAAATTTTTAAAGAGAAAACAATTTGGCTATAAAAGGGAAGAGACAGAGGGAAGGTTGGAAGGGGATAAGATTAGGTGGATAACAGAGGGGAGTGATTTTGCATGTTGAAGTGCCGTGAGGCAGTAGACATGCTGACGGTACGAGAAAAGACAGAGTGAAAGTGCAAGGTCTGAGAAGGCAGGAGAAAGACAACGGGGAAACCATCGAGGGCATGGGCACTAGAGAGGGAGACCTCTTCCACTGCAAAGCAGGAAGTGCAAGCCTGGGGTGGGATTCAAGAGGATGGGGAGTGGCATTTCCTGGCCCCCATTCTCTCCTGGAGTGGGAGTGACCCACCTGCTGAGAGCATGGGACAGTGGTCACTGGGGTGAGGAGAATGGAGGCAATCGGATATGCCGGTGAGAAGACACTGACTTAGAGAAGTGTCATGGGACTGTCTGCCAGTAGAAACTCTGGGTGACTGTTGAAATGGCAGTGACAGTGGACACAGAGCACAGCACCAATCACATTCTCCCTCATCGTCATAAATGAGCATTAGAAGGCTGGCAGTTGATTGGGTGCAGTGGCTCATGCCTGTAATCCCAATACTTTGGAAGGCAGAGGTGGGCGAATCATTTGAGTTCAGGAGTTCAAGACCAGCCTGGCCAACATGGTGAAACGCAGGCTCTACTAAAAATACAAAAATTAGTTGGTCATGGTGCTGCCTGTAGTCCCAGCTATTCGGGAGGCTGAGCCACAAGAATCACTTGAGCCCAGGAGCTGGACGTTGCGGTGAGCTGAGATCGCAACACTGCGCTCCAGCCTGGGCGACAGAGCACCGCTATGAAAAAAAAAACCAAAAAAACCAAAAAAAAACAAGGCCAGCAGTTGGGTAAAAACCACGGCTAGGGGCTTTCATGCCAAGGCACCGTCTGAAGGAGGCACAGAATCCTGGAAGTGGTGGACTATGGAATCCAGGCAGGGGCAGCCAGGATGAAGCGGCTAAAGGAGAAGAGAGGAGAGGAGTTGGTGGTGTGAGGTGTTGATTCAGCCATTAGTGCAGGATTCAGGACACAAGTAACAGGTGGTGCTGCCCAGTGGCAACACGGAGCACCACGACACAACGGTTTCCATCCTCACTCACACTGAGAAAACCATACTGCAACTCCCCACCTTAGGACTTACTGCTTCATCCCCAGGCATGAAATACTGAGTCCAAGTAAGTGAAATGATGGGTTCAGCAAATTTTTCAGACTGGCTGTTCCAATGAGAAGCTATTAATTTTGGTGAAAATCAATTTATCACTTTTTTCTTTCACTTTTTGCATCTTAAGAAATCTTTGGGCCAGGTACAGTGGTTCACACCTATGATCCCAGCACACTGAAAAGCTGAGGCAGGAGGATCACTTGAGGCCAGGAGTTTGAGACCACCTGTGCAACATAGCAAGACCCTGTCTCTTAAAAAAAAATTTTTTTTTTTTTGAGACAGTCTCGCTCTGTCGCCCAGACTGGAGTGCAGTGGCACGATCTCGGCTCACTGCAACATCCACCTCCTGGGTTCAAGCGATTCTCCTGCCTCAGCCTCCCAAGCAGCTGGGATTACAGGCGCATGTCACCACGCCCAGCTAATTTTTTGTATTTTTAGTAGAGATGGGGTTTCACCGTGTTAGCCAGGATAGTCTCAATCTCCTGACCTCATGATCCGCCCACCTCGGCCTCCCAAAGTGCTGGGATTACAGGTGTGAGCCACCGCATCTGACCAGTTTTTTTTTTTTAAATTGGCCTGGCATGGTGGTGCGCCTGTAGTCCCAGTTGCTTGGGACGCCGGAGGATAGCTTGATCCCAGGAGGTGGAGGCTGTACTGAACTATGATCGCACCACTGCACTCCGGCCTGGGCGACAGAACAAGACCTTGTCTCAAAATAGAAAAAAAGAAGAAAGAAAAACCTTTTGGCTACCACAGAGCAGTGAAAACATTATCCCGTGTTTGCTGGAGATGCATTACCATCCTTGCAAAGGCTCACGCACGCTTATATATACATGGAACTCTCCAGAAGAAGCCGCAGGGCACTAGTGAGAGCAGTGGCCTCTGGACAGGGATACTGGGAATTAGAGAATGAAAGGCAACTTCCCTTTTTTATAGTTTTTTATTTCCTTCCATATATACATATTATTTTAAAATGTCACATACCCCAGGATCATCAAAAGTGATTTAAATGGGTCACCCAGGCCGGGCACGGTGGCTCACGCCTGTAATCCCAGCACTTTGGGAGGCCAAGGCGGGTGGATCACCTGAGCTTAGGAGTTTGAGACCAGCCTGACCAACATGGTGAAACCCTGTCTCTACCAAAAATACAAAAATCAGCCGGGCGTGGCAGCGGGCACCTGTACTCTCAGCTACTCTGGAGGCTGAGGAAGGAGAATCGCTTGAGCCCGGGAGGCGCAGGTTGCAGTGAGCCGAGATCGCGCCACTGCACTCCAGGCTGGGCAACACAGCGAGACTCCGTCTCAAACAAAATAAAAATAAAAAATAAAGTCCTGTCTATCCCAGGTAAAATTAACATGCTTAGAACCAAGCTCCTGCTTGTTCTCCAAACCCATTCCTTTCCCTGTCTCCCGTTCCAGTTAACGGCCCAGCTCATCCATCCCTCAAACCCAAAGCCCAGTGGGCCTCACACCTGCACTCCCTGGCTCCCGAAGCAGTGAGCCCCACTGCTCCTCTGGCCAAAATCCCTAAAACCAGCTCCACTCTCTTGGGCACCCCACGCCCTAGGAGCTCACTGCCTGAAGCATCTCCCAATCCCACCTGTCCTGCCCCACTTCTCACACACGGTGTCCACCGCATCATGGGCACGTGCACATGTCACTCACGCACTGCTGGGGCGACAGGCGACTGCGCATTAGTCACATGCATTGTTGGCACGTCAGGCGCATGCGCATTAGTTGTGTGCACCGCTGGGGCATCAGGCACTCGTGCATTGGTCACGTGCGCCCACGGGCTGCAGGCTGGGAGGCCACGTGTATGCACGGCACTTCCTCCGCTGAGCCCCTCCCTGGGCTCCTGGCAGCCCGCCAGCCAAGGATCCCCTGCTCCTGGCTAACGCAGTGTGTTTTGTTCCACGCTAAGCGCCACTTCAAAAGCAGTCTTCCCCAGCCTCCCTTGCAGCTACGAAGGGCCGCTGGATGCACCTGTGACCAATGACGTGCAGCAGCGGCTGGTGGGGTCTTCCAGTAAGCTCCACTAAGGGCCTGTTCCGCGATGCACCCTTTCCTTCTGCCCTCTGCCCCAACCCCCACCTGCCTGGCACCGGGACAGTGCTGAGGCGAGTACCGACCTGCAACCAGGGCAAAGGCTGCACGCATGGGGCTGTCTAGGAAGAGGAGCCCGTGGCTGCCACCCCTCTCGGGGATGCGGCAGGTCAGCGGGGCCCCTGCTTCAGTGCCCTCCACAGCCCTGCCTCGGGACCACCCTGCAGAGTGCAGGATGCTGGGTTTTTTTGTTGTTTTTTTTTTGACGGAGTTTGGCTCTCTCACCCAGGCTGGAGTGCAGTGGCGCAATCTTGGCTCACTGCAATCTCCACCTCCCAGGTTCAAGCGATTCTCCTGCCTCAGCCTCCCAAGTAGCTGGGATTACAGGCGCCCACCATCGCGCCCAGCTAATTTTTGTATTTTTAGTAGAGACGGGGTTTCTCCATGCTGGTCAGGCTGGTCTCAAACTCCCGACCTCAAGTAATCCACCTGCCTCAGCCTCCCGAAGTGTTGGGATTACAGGCATGAGCCACCACGCCTGGCCAGTTTTTTTGGTTGTTGTTGTTTTTTTTTTTTTTGAGTGCAGTGGCAATCAGGGCAGCCTCGACTTCTCCAGACTCAGGCAATCCTCCCACCTCAGCCTCCTGAGCAGCTGAACTACAGGGCATGCCGCCATGCCCAGCTAATCTTTTGCAGAGACGCGGTTTCACCATTTTACCCAGGCTGGTCTGGAACTCCTGTACTCAAGCGATCTGCCCACCTCAGCCTCCCAAGTGCTGGGATTACAGGCTGAGCCAACCTCCTGGGCCTTTCTCTTTTGTTCAGCCGTATCTGTTCTCAACGGGACACCATGCTGTGCTCATCTCTGTGGACGAAAAAAATGTTAAAAAAGACTAAGAAAAAGGCAAACCAAGGATTGACTAAGCAAAATTTGTACTTGTTTAATAAGAAAATCACTTCTTTAAAAAAATAGTTCTTTACATGCTGAGGTTCATCTATGCAATGCAAGAGCTGAAAACAGATTCGAGAAAGGCTGTTCCTACAAGGGAAGGTCCTGAGGTTACAACGCCGGCATGGCCGGGAAAACATGGCTGCAGCGATCCCAGCTTCTTGCTGCCCACAGGGGTGGCACATCTGGGCACACACTGTGAGCTGCTCAGAGGCACTCTGGTGGGCAGCTCCCATCGCCTCAGTCAGTGTCTCCGTCCCCTTCACTGCCTTCCAGGGGACTGGGCACCTGCAGAAGAAGACCACATGGAGAATAAGAGGCAAGCACTCTCTCCACTGCTCCTGGATGCCCACAGGGGCCCATGACAGGCTTGGCACAGGAGCCTTGCCCCCACCACTCCCTCATCAGGAGCAGAGTCTGGTGTTTGTTCTCGGTCATTCTCTTAACCAGGTCAGGAACCTGTGCAGGGAAAGCCAAGGGCTGGGGACACTAGAGGGGCCTTTGTTGGGCTCCTTCACATCCTCACAGGTCGCACTGACCACAGGGGAAAATAAAATGGGGCCATTTGGAAACTCAACAAATGCAGGTGCCTCGGAAGTATATATGCCTCTCATCAGTGGAGTCCACAGCAGTCCAGTCTGGCCCAGGCCAAATCAGCACCTGCGCTGTATTTAGCCTGCACCGGGCTTGGGAAAAATTAACTACCAGCACTTAAAAAAGAGATTTCCCATACCAGTATGCAACGCTGGTTTCCCTTGATAACATTTAAGCATACGGTCACTGTCACATTCCAACATGGCCACCACCAGCTGCCACTGAGCCACGAGTACCCCCTTCAGATGAAACGAGGCTCCTGGCCACCGCTGGCCCCCCAACTCCCTGCCGTCCCTGGGCTGGGGGCCTCTCATCGCCCCATCTATAGGACGGCTCGCCAGGTGCCTGGCCCCTCGCCTGCCCACCTTACCTCCCTGGGGCCTGCACACAGTTGAATCTGCCACCCAGGTATGCAGGAAGGACTCTCTTTTCACAGATATCTAGATGACAGGAAGAATCTCCCTGAGCCCTGCCTGGGAATGTCACCCTTTGAAACCTCACTGGGCCACCATGAAAGAACTCAGGCTGGCCGGACGCAGTGGCTCACGACTGTAATCCCAGCACTTTGGGAGGCCAAGGCGGGTGGATCACAAGGTCAGGAGATCAAGACCATCCTGGCTAACATGGTGAAACCCCATCTCTACTAAAAATACAAAAAATGAGCCGGGCGTGGTGGTGGGCGCCTGTAGTCCCAGCTACTCGGGAGGCTGAGGCAGGAGAATGGCGTGAACCCGGGAGGCGGAGCTTGCAGTGAGCCGAGATCGCGCCACTGCACTCCAGCCTGGGTGACAGAACAAGACTTCGTCTCAAACAACAAAAAAAAAAGAAAGAACAAACTCGGGCTTTGGGGACATCTCTCACCCCAGAGCGAAGAACTGAGAATGACATTTTCATTCACTTAGCTTTTAGCTTCTGCACCTACAATCCTGTATGTTCCGGTTCTAAGCTACATTCCGCAGCTGTCTAGCTGCTGATTATGCTCCATGCCAGGTCCATAGTAGGTGTGCTGGCAGCAAGCCTGACCCTGGGACAGCCCTCCCAGGGTCGAAAAGCACCCCGTGGGGGAGCAAGTGGGTGGCGCAGGCATGCAGACAAGGAACATCTCAAGACCGCCTGCCCCTGCTCCTGCAGCAGCTGTGTGGCCTTGCGGGGAAGTGACACACTTCTCTGTGCCTCAGCTCACTCCTCTGTACAATGGGAACAATGTGGGCCTGTGTTCTGCTGAGCACTGCTGGGACTGTGCCCCTACCTTGGCGCCCGTGCCACCTGCCGTGAGAGCGGTGGCACTGAAGTTGTGGATGGGCAAGGTGCTCAGCCACTGGGCCATGGAGCGTTCGTCCCGCTCGGTGCCGATGATGGTGGGGTAGATGTGCTCCTCCTTGAAGGCTGCGACCTTTCCTTCCTCCTGCGCCCAGTCCAGCGGCTCATGCAGCCCATCGTTGCCAAAGCGCTGGTTGTACTTCTCGAAGTGCACCCTCTCCAGGACCAGGCCGAGTCCGGGCGCCTTGGGCACGTCCACCTTCTCTGTGCCCCAGCTGCGCTCCAGCACGCTCTCAGGGGCATAACCCTTCACAATGGCCACCACCAGGCCGACCATCTTCCGGATCTGATGCATCATGAAGCTCTGGCCCTTCACCCTGATCACCGCAAACTCCAGGCCCTCCCGCACAAAGGGTTCCTCGCAGTACATCTCCAGGATGTAGCGGCAGGCACTGGGATCCTGCGGCCCCTTCTGCGAGGTGAAATTGTGGAAGTTGTGCGTGCCCTTGTAGCAGGCCAGGAGCCTGTTGACCTGCTGCAGCGTCTCGGCGCTCAGGCGGTAGGTCTCATCCTGAACGTCCCGGTCCTTGTGCGCAAAGGCAAACGTGGGCAGCAGGTAGCAATAGGTCCTGGCATCACATCTGTTCTTGGAGTTAAACCCGCCCGTGACCCGCTTCAGTCCTAGGGGGGAGGTGGTCAGGGAGGAGAAAGGCAGGTGAGAAGTGCCTGGATGACCAGGGAGCAGCCTGAGCACGGCGTGAGCCCCAGCGTCTCCTTACCCAGAGCACCGACCAAGCTCCAGCAAGCATCGGCTTCTCTGGGGAGGGGGCAGCCACAGGCTGGGGAACAGGCACAGGAGGACGATGGACAGGAGGGACAGGTGCAGTGCTCTATAAGGTGACTGAATTTACAACCATTTATTGTAATTTTCCAATAGTGAGAAGATACGGAATGTCTCCAACACAAAGAAATGATACATGCTTGGAGTGATGGATATATTATGCTAATTGCCCTATTTGATCTTTATACATGACTGGAAATATCACACATAATTCTACATAAGTATGTATAATTATGTGTGAATTTAAAATAATAAAAGCAGCCGGGCGCAGTGGCTCATGCCTGTAATCCCAGCACTTTGGGAGGCCGAGGTGGGTGGATCACCTGAGGTCAGGAGTTTGAGACTAACATGGTGAAACACCATCTCTACTAAAAATACAAAAATTAGCTGGGCGTGGTGGCGTGTACCTGTAATCCCAGCTACTGGGAAGGCTGAGGTGGGAGAATCACTTGAACCCAGGAGGCAGGTGGAGGTTGCAGTGAGCCGAGATCACGCCACTGCACTCCAGCCTGGGCAACAGAACAAGACTCCATCATAAAAAATATAAAAATAAAAACAAAAACTTAACAGTGGGTAAAATCAACAGGGATTACTGAATCCTATTTATGACTCATATGTAAATGTTCTTAGTGGCTTTACTTCTAACAGCCCAAAACTAGAAATCATCCAATGTCCTTCAGCAGGTAACTGTATAAACAATCCGTGGCACACCCACAGAACAGAACACCCCGCAGCAATGAGAAGGAACAGACTGCTGACATACACAACAGCACGGATGAATCTTAAAATAATCAGGCTGTGGGCTGGGCATAGCAGCTCATG
This sequence comes from Homo sapiens, assembly GCF_000001405.40. Lineage (NCBI taxonomy): Eukaryota > Metazoa > Chordata > Mammalia > Primates > Hominidae > Homo > Homo sapiens. Next base: position 131,940,309 of record NC_000012.12, on the reverse strand, counting down.
CCTGTAATGCCAACACTTTGGGAGGCTGAGGCAGGTAAACTGATTGAGCCTAGGAGTTTGAGACCAGCCTGGGCGACATGGCGAAACCCCATCTCTACAAATAAAAATAAAAATTCAGCCGGCTGTGGTGGCGTGTGCCTGTAGTCCCAGCTTATAGGCTGAGGCGGGAGGATCCCTTGAGCCCAGGTGGTCGATGCTACAGTGAGCTGTGATCACACCACTGCACTCCAGCCTCGGCAACAGAACAAGACCCTGTCTCAAACACTTCTCTCCAAGCAGACCAGTCAGGCAGACAACAGTTCTGTTTTCTTGGGATGACACCAAAACAAAAAGGAAAAGAAAACAGAGAGCAAGACGACAGATTCACGCCCAGCCACACCTATCATTACATTAAATATAAGCGGCTTCTGGGAGGCCAAGGCAGGAGGATCACTTGAGCCCAGGAGTTCAAGACCAGCCTGGGCAACACAATGAGACCCCATCTCTACAAACTCAAAAATGAAGTGTGGTGGCACACACCTGTAGTCCCAGTTACTCAGGAGGCTGAGGACTGCTTGAACCCGGGAGGCGGAGGCTGCAGTGAGCCATGATTGCACCACTGCACTCCAGCCTGGGTGACAGAGCGAGACTCTCTCAAAAAACAAACAGAATAAATGAATGAACGAATGTATTATGTAAGTTGCCTGTACCTGCCACTTAAAAGGTAGACAGTCACATTTTAAGGAGGCCTAAAAATTCCATTTACCAGTCCTGCCGTAAGAGGGAACAACTGTTCATTTTAACCATGAATTTGGATTTTCACATCCTGTGTTTGCTTAAAACAAGGCGCCCGTGTAGCAACAAGCACTGCAAATGAACAGCTTTCTACTCCTGTCTAGTGGCTCCCGTTTCTGAAGGTCAGAACCAGCTGCAAAGCAACTCTGACTACGCTTCTGCATCAGAGACAGTTGGAAAAGGCAGGAGCATGCATAGCCTCGTGTCTCTGCAAGACCATCTACAACCAGGTGTGTGGCCGCCTGCACTGCAAGGCTTACCCAGAATCCGAATGTGAGAGGGAAGGTGGCTGTTGATCTTTTCTAGAATGTCGTCAATCAGCCACACCTTCAGGGATACCACCTGGCCGGCTGCGGACACACCCTGTAAACAAAGCAGAACGGGTGACGGAAGGTGGGTCCCTTGGGCCTCGCACGCTGGTCTCTGAGAAAGAAGGACTACGCGGACCTTACGTCATTTCACACATGAATTCAGCTGTTAAAAATGCATCTGGAGGGCCGGGCATAGTGGCTCACGCCTGTAATCCCAGTACTTTGGGAGGCCGAGGCGGGTGGATCACGAGGTCAGGAGATCGAGACTATCCTGGCTAACATGAAATGTTAGTCTCTACTAAATGTATTGTTAGTCTCTACTAAAAATACAAAAAATTAGCCGGGCATGGTGACAGGCGCCTGTAGTCCCAGCTACTTGGGAGGCTGAGGCAGGAGAATGGCGTGAACCCGGGAGGCGGAGCTTCCAGTGAGCTGAGATCGTGCCACTGCACTCCAGCCTGGGTGACAGAGCCAGACTCCACCTCAAAGGAAAAAAAAAAAAAAAAAAGATATGAAAATATGACTCCCAAAGATTGGGGAAAAGAGAAAACACAACTTAGAACCAAGAGCAGAGTGAGGAAGGGGTCCCCACCTGAGTCAGAACTGCAGTGGCCCTGGAGGAAAGGGAGGGGCCTTCTGAGGACAGGCAGTGCGTACACAGGTAGGTACACAGATAAAAACTGATCAAGTTTACACTTAAGACTCGCACACTTTACTGTTTGTTTATTTCACCTCTTTTTAAAAGTAAGTTTCTATAGATTTTTTGTTGGGTTCTTTTTGAGACAAGGTTTTGGTCTGTCACCCAGGTTGGAGTGCAGTGGTGCCGATCTTGGCTTACAGCAACCTTGACCTCCCAGGTTTGAGCAATCCTCCCACCCCAGCCTCCCAAGTAGCTGAGACTACAGACAGGCACCACGATGCCTGGCTAGTTTTCAATTTTTTTTGTAGAGACAGGGTCTTGCTATGTTGCCCAGACTGGTCTCGAACTCCTGGCCTCAAGTGATCCTCCCACCTCAGTCTCATAAAGTGCTGGGATTACAGGTGTAAGCAACGATGCCCGGCCAAGGAGATCGTTTTCGATTAAAGGAAGCTCAAGAGACATGACAACTGAATGCCACTAATGATCCTAGATTAGATCCCAGACCAGTTAACAAAAATAAAAGGCATGCCACATCAAAGAAGCTGAAGAAAAGAAAAAGAAAACAGAAAAGAGAGTTTCCTACTTTGGACATGTTAGATGATGGTACTCTATCAGGTTGATAGAGTGAGGTTGCTGAAGGATGTCACAGTCCCTTGGAGACTCATGCTAAGATGTTTCAGGGTAAAGGATGATGATGTCTCCAACTTACTCTCAAATGGTTCCATTTTAAGATAGAAAAGGCCAAGCACAGTGGCTCTCATTCATAATCCCAGTACTTTGGGAGGCTAAGGTAGGAAGATTGCTTGAGCCCAAGAGTTCAAGACCAGCCTGGGCAACAGAGCAAGACTCTGTCTCAAAAAAGGTAAAAAAAAGATAAATAAAAAGAAAGCAAAAACAAACAAAAAAACGGGCGGAGTGCGGTGGTTCATGCCTGTAATCCCAGCACTTTGGGAAGCCGGGGCAGGCGGATCGCCTGAAGTCGGGAGTTCGAGACTAGCCTTACCAACATGGTGAAATCCCATTTTTACTAAAAATACAAAAAATTAGCTGGGAGTGGTGGCAGGTGCCTGTAATCCCAGCTACTCGGGAGGCTGAGGCAGGAGAATCACTTGAACCCGGGAGGTGGAGGTTGCAGTGAGTTGAGATCGTGCAATTGCACTCCAACCTGGGCAACAAGAGTGAAACTCCATCTCAAAAAATAAAATAAAATGAATTTTTAAAAAAACCACACACAACTATGATAATATGGTAAAAACCTAACCTTGGTGAATCTGGGAAGACTATGTGGGTGCTCATGGCACCCACATAAGAATCATGTGGCATTATTAAGAATCATGGCATTATTCTTAAGACTTTTATGAAGGTATGAAATTTTCAAAATAAAAAGTTGGAAAGAGTAAAATAAACTGTTGAGATGTTACACTGGCCAGATCCACACATGGAACGTGGCAGAATGAAACGAGATGTTCTGAAACAAGATGACTTTAGGTAAATATACAACAGATTTCAAAGACTTAGCACCAAAAAAGGGAAAGAAAATACATCTCATTGCCAACCACTCTGTAGAAGCTGAAGTGAGAACACTCGAGACATCCTGGGGGGTCAACAGCTGAGGGACACCTGGTACCTCTGGGGTGTCCTATGTCTGGCTGTGGTGATGGCTGCACAGCTCTGTGAATATACTGGAATCACTAAACTGTATACTTTTTTTTTTTTTTGCCAGGCTGGAGCTCAGTGACGCAACCTCGACTCCCTGCCACCTTCGTCTTCTGTATTCAAGAGATTCTCCTGCCTCAGCCTCCCAGGTAGCTGGGATTACAGGTGTAAGCCACCATGCCTTGCTAATTTTTGTATCTTTAGTAGAGATGGGATTTTGTCATGTTGGCCAGGCTGGTCTCGAACTCCTGGCCTCAAGTGATCCGTCCACTTTGGCCTCCCAAAGTGTTGGGATTACAGGCGTGAGCCACCACACCCAGCTTGAACCGCACACTTTTTGTTTCTTTTGTTTTGTTTTGTTTTTTGAGACGGAGTTTCACTCTTGTTGCCCAGGCTGGAGTACAATGGCACGATCTCAGCTCACTGCAACCTCCACCTCTCGGATTCAAACGATTCTCCTGCCTCAGCCTACTGAGTAGCTGGGATTACAGGCGTGCACCACCACACCTGGCTAATTTTTGTATTTTTAGTAGAGACGGGGTTTCGCCATATTGACCAGGCTGGTCTTGAACTCCTGACCTCAGGTGATCCGCCCACCTCGGCCTCCCACAGTGCTGGGATTCCAGGCTAAGCCCCCGCGCCCAGCCCGAACTGTACACTTTCAATGGGTCAATTGTACAAGAGTGAATTATATTTCCTTTTTTGCTTTTTTTTTTTTGAGATGGAGTCTCACTCTGTCACCCGGGCTGCAGTGCAGTGGCACCATCTCAGCTTACTTCAACCTCCGCCTCCCAGGTTCACGCAATTCTCCTGCCTCGGCCTCCTGAGTAGCTGGGATTACAGGCATCCACCAACACACCCGGCTAATTTTTGTATCTTTAGTAGAGACGGGGTTTCACCATGTTGGCCAGACTGGTCTTGAATTCCTGACCTCAAGTGATCCGCCCGCCTTGGACTCCCAAAGTGCTGGAATTACAGGCGTGAGCCACCACGCCCGTCCAAAAGTGAATTATATTTCAATAAAGCTATTTTTAAAATCTGAAACAAAAACAGAATGTTAAACAGCAGAAATACACACACACAAAAATAAACAATAGGCCGGGCACGGGGGCTCACACCTGTAATCCCAGCACTTTGGGAGGCCGAGGCAGGCAGATCACCTAAGGTCAGGAGTTCGAGACCAGCCTGATCAACATGGAGAAACCCCATCTCTACTAAAAATACAAAATCAGCCGGGCGTGGTGACGCATGCCTGTATTCCCAGCTACTCGGGAGGCTGAGGCAGGAGAATGGCTCGAACCCAGGAGGTGAGGTTGCGGTGAGCCAAGATCACGCCATTGCACTCCAGCCTGGGCAACAAGAGTGAAACTCCGTCTCAAAAATAAATGAATAAATAAATAACAAAAATGTTAAACTGTTACTGTGTTTTCATCTGAAGGGCAGGGCACTCGGGTGTGACCGTGCCGGCCTAATGGATTTACTTCTGCAGGTTTCCCCATACAAGTGAGAAAACGTATTAGAATGAAACCATCTCTCTAATAACAGCAGAAATAAAAATAAATACAAGGACCCTATTTTGAAATGCTCTCTTCATCAGCTTGGACAAATTGTTACTTTTCTTCCCTGAAAACAACCAGAGAGCTGTAAATGGAAGAATCAAAAAGAAAATGAAAATAGTTAAGACCCACAGAACTCTCTACCTTGAGCCACAGATGCATCACCCCCACCCACTAGGAGTGAACTTGTGGATCCCTCTTTGTGTTCTCACCCACTAGGAGTGAACTTGTGGATCCCTCTTTGTGTTCTCACCCACTAGGAGTGAACTTGTGGATCCCTCTTTGTGTTCTCACCCACTAGGAGTGAACTTGTGGATCCCTCTTTGTGTTCTCACCCACTAGGAGTGAACTTGTGGATCCCTCTTTGTGTTCTCCCCTCTGTACGACGGCTCCAGAATGCATCCATGGATCCCCAGGGATCTGTGTGCCTTTTGAAACTAGGCATTTGTGGGAAAAAGAGCCATAGCTTTATTCAGATTCCCGGAGGATCCTGACCGGCAAAAAGTTATGTCTCTGATAGGCCCCTAATGCCTTCAGGCAGCCTGAGAGCCATGTGACAGAGCCAGGCACTCGGAAGAGCAAGGATGACAGGTATCACGTTCACTGATGCCTCATACGTGCTACAGAAAAGCTATCTGTTCTCTCCGGCTCTGCTGTCCCCGTCTGCCAAACGTTGGGTTGTGGGCGGTAAGCCACCCAGGTGCCGAGGCAAGAGACTGAAGGCACGAGCTGTTCCAGTGTAATAAAGAAAATAATTAGAGTAAGAAAAGTTATACTAGAAATAGGATATAGATATAATTATATACCAATATTATCAATCATTAGTTTGTAGTATTACTCTTTACTATTATAATAATCTCTGTTCTATAATTATAACCTAGGAAAAATCAGGCCATAGAGTCAGGAGCTGAAGGACACTGTGAGAGGTGACCAGAAGACAAGGGTGTGAGCCCCCTGTCACGCCCAGATAAGGGTCGCTTGAAGGCTCCCCGGACTACTGGTAGCGCCAGTGCCTGGGAAGGCACCTGTTACTTCACAGACCGGCAAAGGGAGTCTCCCTCTCCCCAGGGTAGTCAGAGAACACTCTGCTCCACCACCTCTTGTGGGAGGCCTGACATTACCCAGGCCTGCCCGCAGTCATCAGCGGGCTTAAACAGCTCCCTGTGGTGCTTCAACGGTCACGCTCCTTGTCCACTTTCATGCTCCACCTGCACACCTGGCTCCTGCTTTTCAGTTCTTAGAAGATAGCAGTAGCACAATTAGTGAAAGTATTAAAGTCTTTGATCTTTCTGATAAGTGCATAGAAGAAATGCTGACGTATGCTGTCCTTCCTCTCCGCCTCACCTACCACAAAGGGAAAGGACCCCTGTCCGGTGGACATGTCACTCGCGTGACCTTATCAATCACTTGAGATGACACACGCTCCTTACCCTGTCCCCTTGCCTTGTATACAATAAATAGCAGTGCGTCCAGGCATTTGGGGCCACTATCAGGTTCGGCCCATTGGTGGTAGTGGTCCCCTGGACCCAGCTGTCTTTCCTTCTATCTCTTTGTCTCGTATCTTTATTTTTCTACGATCTCTTGTCTCCGCACATGAAGAGAAAACCCACAGGCCCTGTAGGGCTGGACCCTACACTGGGTCCCTCCTTAGAGACATCCCCATTCCCTGTGGCGGGCCACTCTGTGCACACCCAATCCCATGGTTCAGTCCCAAGCACAGGAATGTGGCGTCACAGGACCACTTGGCATGTGCTTCCACACAGGCCAGCAGCAGCGTCCAGGGTGGACGTGAAAACCAATCGCAAACAGGAGTACTCAGCCTTGTGGTTCTGAAGGAACAGTGCTGGGTCACCAGCCCCATGCAGCTGAGACCACAAAACAGGTCCAGGGTGGTGGATTTGTGATGAGTGTGGACTTAGCATACACACAAAAACAGTATTACATTTATCCCATGAAGAGATTTTTATATGGATTACACGCCGAAATGAGGATATCCTGAATATACTCAGTTTATAATACAGTGAATTATTTATTAATTTCAAGCCAGATGTGGCGGTTCATGCCTGTAAATCCCAGTACTTTGGGACGCCAAGGTGGGAAGATGACTGGAGCCCAGGAGTTTGAGACCCCTGAGCAACACAGCAAGACCCCATATTAAAAAAAAAAAAAAAAAAAAATTTAGCCAGGCATGGTGGAGTGCCTGTCATTCCAGTGATACGGTTTTGCTGTGTCCCCGCCAAATCTCATGTTGAAGGTAATCCCCAAGTGTCTAGGGAAGACCTGGTGGGAGGTGACTGGATCATGGGCCCGGCTTCCCCCATGCTGTTCTCGTGATAGTGAGTGAGTTCTCCCAAGATCTGATGGTTTACAAGGGGCTCTTCCCCTTACCCTCCTCACTCTCTCGCACCTGCCGCCATGATCTGTTTCCTGAGGCCTCCCCAGCCATGTGGAACTGAGTCAATTCAACCTCTTTTCTTTATAAACTGCCCAATCTTGAGCAGTTCTTTATAACAGTGTGACAACAGACTAATACACCCACCTACTCGGGAGGCTGAGGCAGGAGGATTGCTTGAGCCCAGCAGTTTGAGACTGCAGTGAGCCATGATCATGCCACTGCACTCCAGCCTGGGCAACAGAATGAGATCCTGACTCTAAAAAAGGAAAGAAAAGAGAATGTTGCATCATACAAGTGTGGCTCTCTGCCTTTGCAGCCACACAATTACATCTGCCTCAGAGTGAGCCTGATTGGAGGGTCGAAAGCAGACATTGCGGCCGCCACTGTGCCACCTGCAAGAATGTGTGTCCCTGAGAACAGAATCAACACAAGAGAAAGCAAAGACCAGAGAGAACACAGAGTCCCACTGGCAGGGAGCATCTAGATCCAGCTATACCTGAGCCGACCAGGCTCCTGGACGTCTCACCTACATAAGGCGTAGGCTAGTTTGATTTGTACATCATTATGTGCTCAGAAACAGCATAACAAGCCAGAACACTGAGCTGGAAAGTGGGCCACGTGCTGCTCATAGCAGCGGGGGAGGGGCAGAGAAGGCCACCACCCACCTTGTCTGTCCGGGCGCAGCGCTGGAAGGACATTTTCCTCATGTCCTCACCATGATTTTCAGGAATACAGCCTGACCGGACGAGGGCGGACACCAAGTCATCTTCAATTGTTTTGAATTGTGAGGACCCGACATTCCTCTGGAAAAAGGAGACAAAAACAGATTTTATATTTTGCAGACAGAGGTCGCCATGATGTTGCCCAGGCTGGTCTCGAACTCCTGGCCGCTTACTCCTCTGGCCTCCTGAAGTGCTGAGATTACAAGTGTGAGCTGCCACGCTCATGTGAAAACACTGTTTTCTGCTCACTCACCCTGGGGCCGGGCTGCTCCATGCTAGGGGGTGGGTAGTGTGGAATGGAATCAAAACACAGGTTTGATTGAACCTGTGCATACACCTACTTCCACAATCTGTCAGTTACAAAATCAGTGCCGTGGGTGCTACCTATACTTTAAAAAAAAAACATTGACTATAAAGTAATCTATGGCCAGGTGCAGTGGCTCACACCTGTAATCCCAGCACTTTGGGAGGCCGAGGAGGGTGGATCACTTGAGATCAGGAGTTCGAGACCAGTCTGGCCAACATGGTGAAACTCTGTCTCTACTAAAAATACAAAAATTAGCCGGGCGTGGTGCCGGGCTCTTGAGGCAGGAGAATCGCTTGAACCTGGGAAGTGGAGGTTGCAGTGAACTGATAATGTACCACTGCACTCCAGCCTAGGTGACAGAGGAAAACTCTGTCTCAAAAATAAATAAATAAATAAATAATTAGGTATGCTTTTAATCCCAGTGACTCAGGAGGCTGAGGCAGGAGAATTGCTTGAATCTGGGAGGCAGAGGTTGCAGTGCACAGTGGTTGGCCGGGCTCTGTGGCTCACCCCTGTAATTCCAGCACTTTGGGAGACGGAGACAGGAGGATACTCTGAGGTCAGGAGTTCAAGGCCAGCCTGACCAACATGGTGAAACCCCGTCTCTACTAAAAATACAAAAACTAGATGGGCGTGGTGGCGAGCGCCTGTAGTCCCAGCTACTCGGGAGGCTGAGGCACAAGAATCGGTGGAACCCGGGAGGCGGAGGCTGCAGTAAGCCAAAATCCCACCACTGCACTCCAGCCTGGGCGACAGAGCAAGACTCTGTCTCCAAAAAAAAAGCAATCTATTACTTATAACTTTCACCATAAAAGCTGTTATAACAACTGCCGAAGTTAAGCATTATTTTCTTAAACTTTTGTTTCAGTCAGACACTGCACGCACTGCATGAACTTCTGTGGAAATGTTTAAAGATGTTTAAAGAACACAGAACTGCGCAAAGCCACAGTGGTAACTACAAAAAGGAACAAAAGGAATGTCTACCTGAGGCCAGTCGCAGTGGCTCATGCCTGTAATCACAACACAGGAAGGCCGAGGCAGGAGGATCGCTTGAGCCCAGGAGTTGGAGAGCAGCCTGGGCAACACAGCGAGACCCCATTCCTATAAATAATAAAAAACTTAGCAAGACACCATTCCTGCAAATTATAAAAAAAATTATTCAGGCCGTGAGGTCAAGGACACTTACAGCCCTCGATGTTCGGGAGGCTGAGGTGGGAGGATCTCTTGAGCCCAGGAGGTGGAGGCTGCAGCGAGCAGTGTGGATGCACCACTGCATTCCAGCCTGGACCACAAAGGGAGACCACGCCTCAAAAAGAAAAAAAAATACACCTACCTGAATGTACCCAGACCCTCTACCTTCCAGAAAAGGAAGTGGGCTGAGGAGAGAATCCTCACAACTTTAATACTTAGCTCTCTGTCCCCTTAACGCTCACGACAGCAGGCTCTTCTGAGCTGCCCCGAGCTGTCCACTGTTCTCAGCACCGAGCGTCAGTACACCTAGCTCATCTTCACACTCTACTTAGCAGGTGCTGTGAGCACTCCCATCCTAAAGATGAGGACTCAGGCACCCAGCAAGTGAACCCCGCCCCAGATAACAGCGGTTAGCGGCAGGGCCGGGCCTGATGGAAAGCAGCAGGAGCTCGCGTGCAGCAGGAGCAGTGAAAGCTGCTTGGGCCTGCACCTAAATCCTGCCGGACCCGCCGCTACCTGGGCGACCGCTCCTGCACCTAAACCCAGCCGGACCCACCGCTTCCCCGGCGGCCGCACCTGCACCTAAACCCCGCGGGACCTGCCGCTTCCCGGGCGGCCACACCTGCATGCCGTGGTAGCCCTTGCCCGAATAGGCCATGAGCAGCACGATCTTCCGCTTGGGCGGCTTCTCGCGCCGCTCCTCGTCGCCACCGCTCTTGAGCTTCTTCGCCGGATGTTCTCCGTCCTCCCAGACGCGGTCGCCCCCGGCCCGGCCGCTGCAGGACCTCCGGTCCTGGGGGCATGCGGCTCCGGCGGGCGGCGGCTCCGCGTTCCCGGCCATGCGCGGCGAGCTGCGGAGAAGGGCGGCGTGAGCGGGGGCCCGCTCGGCACCGCGCGGGGTGGACTGGGGTGGGCTGGGCTGGGCGGGCATAGCGGGGTCGCCCGGCGTCGCGGTCATTACCAGGACGGACGCGGTCCCAGGCGCAGGGTCCACCGTCCGAAGGCTCCCAACAGCGCGCGAAGCTGGAGGCCCATGCGCAGGCTACCAGTGCACCCGACCCCGCCCTGATCCCCGACCCCTGACCCCCAGTGCCCCAGCTCCGCCTCTGCCGACCCCTAACCTCTCGGACCCTGACGCTGCAGCCCTGTTCCTTCTGACCCCTGACCTCCGGGAAACCGGCGCCCCAGCCCCTCTCCAGCTGACCCCTGACCTCTCGGACCTGGACGCCCCAGCCTCACTCCTGCTGACCCCTGACCTCTCAGGCCCCGCGCCCAAGCCCCGTCTCTACTGCCCCCAGACCGCCCCGGGACCCTGACGGATCAACTCCAACGTCCCCTGACGCCCAGGTTAACCTCTGACTTCCCCAGCCTCTTCACCTCCCGCCCCGCCCGGTGGGCTTTCCTCAGGAGTCGAGGAGACCCGGGCCACCCGCGTCGGGACCAGAGAGGCTCGCTCCTGCCCCATTCGCGACGCGGCTGACTGAGCCGGAGCCGGACCACGTGGGCGAAGGCGGAAGTGGAACGACCGACTGCACGGCGGCCGAGCGCGGACAAAACTAATTCGGGAGAAGAGGCAGGGCGGGGACAGAGACGGAGGGGGTGATGGGGGCGGAGACTAGGGGGTGGGGGTGGGGTGGGGCGGGGATTAGGGTGTTGAGGGCGGGGCACCAGGCCCTCCTGCATCCAGCACCGCGGCCGCGCGACTGGTCGCTCCGCCGCCGCCTCCCGGGTGCTGTCGCCCGCCCAGCGGAGCAGGGGAAGCGCTGAGCCCACGCTGGCCCCGCTCCTCTCCGTTGCCGGGTCCGCTCCCACGGGCTCGGCCCCCAGACCCTCAGTGGCACCCACCCTGTGCGGCCCTCGTGTGGCCCCAGCCCCGCTCCCCGTCCCCGTTCCACAGACGCTGGGGCGCAGGGGCGGCTCCGCCCTGCCCTTCACCCGCACGGTAGAGGGGTCACGGCTCACCGCAGCCTCCGCCTCCGGGCTCCAGCGGTCCTCGCAGGCGCGCCCCACCACGCTCAGCTAATTTTTTCTTATTTTTTATAGAGATGCGGTCTCCTGAAAAGTAGCCACTCTTTTTTGTTTTGTTTTGTTTTGTTTGGGGGGCGGGGGACAGAGTCTTGCTCTTTCGCCAGGCTGGAGTGCAGTGGCGCGATCTCGGCTCGGAATCTCCACCTCCCGGGCTCAAGCGATTCTCCCGTCTCAGCTTCCGGAGTAGCTGGGACTACAGGCGCGCGCCACCACGCCCGGTTAATTTTTTTGTATTTTAGTAGAGACAGGGTTTCACCATGTTGGCCAGGATGGTCTCGATATCCTGACCTCGTGATCCGCCTTCCTCGGCCTCCCAAAGTGCTGGGATTACAAGCGTGAGCCACGCGCCCGGCCTTTTTTTTTTTTTTTTTTTAAGAGACCGGCCCACTATGTTGCCCAGGCAGATCTCGAACTGCTGAGCTCAAGCGATCCTCCCGCCTCCCCTCCCGAAGTGCTAGGATTCCAGGTGTGGCCACCGCGCCCACCACTTCCTTGCCTCCTCTCCCAAGCTTGCCCTCCTGTCTCCTGCTTTCCCTTAGACAAACTCATATGATCCTGGGCCCGCGCAGATAATCTGGCATAATCTCAAAATCCTTAATCCCATCTCTGGGGCCACAATTCAACCAACTACAAGCTTGAATTTGGGGAATGAGCCATGGAGGTGTTGGGGAGAGCGTGTTCCTGGCAGTGCAAGAGCCAGGAGGCAGGAGACAGCCGTCTGCAGCAGCCCCACTCCCGCCCTCCAGGGGCTGTGCCTTCTCCTACAGGTGAGGACTCAGTGGGGCCGGGGCACTGTGCCCACCTGGAGTATGCAGGTAGAGAAACCACAGGGCTGCGTGATGACTGGAGGGACTGATAGGAAAAGAGGACCAAGGGGTCCGGGGCCAGGTTGTGTGGGGCCTCGTGGGCCACCGAGGACTTGGCATTGGCTATGAGTGAGATGGGAGCCCCAGGGATCCAATCTGACACCCCTTCCCAAGGGGCACTCAGTGGGCTGCGAGTGGCTTGTGAGGAGCTGGTGGCCGAGGCAGGAAGGGGAGGCAGGAGGGAGATGCAATTGTCCAGCTGGGAGGGTGGCTCAGCTGTATAAGTGACCCCCCAGGAGGGCACCCCTCCACCAGCCCAGGCTCCAGGACTGAGGCGGGGGGGTTTGGACAGGCACCCAGGGGGGCCACAGTTCTGTGGCAGTGTGGGCACCAAGGCCTGGTCCCCCTGGCTTGGAGCCCCGCCCCCACATGGCCAGTGTGTGCAGGGATGAGGTCCTTCCTGTACTGCCATGGCTTCCCCTGGGCCCACCCTCACCACCTGGCTCTGGCACAAGGACCTTTACAGCAGCTTTATTTACCACTGCCCAAACGCAGAAACAACCGATATGTCGGCAGGTGAATGGAAAAACTGTGGTACCTACAGACAATGGAATACTATGCAGCTCTAAAAAGAAATGAGGCCAGGCACAGTGGCTCATGCCCGTAATCCTAACGCTTTGGGAGGCCAGGAGGGCGGATCACTTAAGGCCAGGAGTTTGAGACCAGCCTGGCCAGCGTGGCAAAACCCGTCTCTAAAAATACAAAAATCTCTCTCCCTCTCCCTCTCGCTCTCGCTCTCGCTCTCGCTCTCCCTCCCCCTCCCCCTCTCGCTCTCGCTCTCCCCACGGTCTCCCTCTCCCTCTCTTTCCACGGTCTCCCTCTGATGCCGAGCGGAAGCTGGACGGTACTGCTGCCATCTCGGCTCACTGCAACCTCCCTGCCTGATTCTCCTGCCTCAGCCTGCCGAGTGCCTGCGATTGCAGGCGCGCGCCGCCACGCCTGACTGGTTTTCCTATTTTTTTGGTGGAGATGGGGTTTCGCTGTGTTGGCGGGGCTGGTCTCCAGCTCCTAACCGCGAGTGATCCGCCAGCCTCCGCCTCCCGAGGCGCCGGGATTGCAGACGGGAGTCTCGTTCACTCAGTGCTCAATGGTGCCCAGGCTGGAGTGCAGTGGCGTGATCTCGGCTCGCTACAACCTCCACCTCCCACCCGCCTGCCTTGGCCCCCCCAAAGTGCTGAGATTGCAGCCTCTGCCCGGCCGCCACCCCGTCTGGGAAGTGAGGAGCTTCTCTGCCTGGCCGCCCATCGTCTGGGATGTGAGGAGCCCCTCTGCCTGGCTGCCCAGTCTGGAAAGTGAGGAGCGTCTCTGCCCGGCCGCCCATCGTCTGAGATGTGGGGAGCACCTCTGCCCTGCCGCCCCGTCTGGGATGCGAGGAGCGTCTCTGCCCGGCTGCCCCGTCTGAGAAGTGAGGAGCCCCTCTGCCTGCCAACCGCCCCGTCTGGGAAGTGAGGAGCGTCTCCGCCCGGCAGCCACCCCGTCCTGGAGGGAGGTGGGGGTCAGCCCCCACCAGGCCAGCCACCCCGTCAGGGAGGTGAGGGGCGCCTCTGCCCGGCCGCCCCTACTGGGAAGTGAGGAGCCCCCTCTGCCCGGCCACCACCCCGTCTGGGAGGTGTACCCAACAGCTCATTGAGAACGGGCCATGATGACAATGGCGGTTTTGTGGAATACAAAGGGGGGAAGGTGGGGAAAAGATTGAGAAATCAGATGGTTGCCGTGTCTGTGTAGAAAGAGGTAGACATGGGAGACTTTTCATTTTGTTCTGTACTAAGAAAAATTCTTCTGCCTTGGGATCCTGTTGATCTGTGACCTTACCCCCAACCCTGTGCTCTCTGAAACATGTGCTGTGTCCACTCAGGGTTAAATGGATTAAGGGCGGTGCAAGATGTGCTTTGTTAAACAGATGCTTGAAGGCAGCATGCTCGTTAAGAGTCATCACCACTCCCTAATCTCAAGTACCCAGGGACACAAACACTGCAGAAGGCCGCAGGGTCCTCTGCCTAGGAAAACCAGAGACCTTTGTTCACTTGTTTATCCGCTGACCTTCCCTCCACTATTGTCCTGTGACCCTGCCAAATCCCCCTCTGTGAGAAACACCCAAGAATGATCAATAAAAAATAATAATAAATAAATAAATAAATAAAAATACAAAAATTAGCCAGGCTGGGTGCAGTGGCTCACGCCTGTAATCCCAGCTACTCAGGAGACTGGGGCACAAAAGTCGCTTGAACCTTGGGAGGTGGAGGTTGCAGTGAGCCGAGTTCCCGCCACTGCACTCCAGCCCGGACAACATAGCGAGACTGTCTCAAAAAAAAAAAAAAAAAAAAAAAAAAAGGCCAGGCGTAGTGGCTCACGCCTGTAATCCCAGCACTTTGGGAGGCCGAGGCCTGCGGATCACGAGGTCAGGAGATCAAGACCATCCTGGCTAACATGGTGAAACCCCGTCTCTACTAAAAATACAAAAAAAAAATTAGCAGGATGTGGTGGCAGGCCCCTGTAGTCCCAGCTACTCGGGAGGCTGAGGCAGGAGACTGGCGTGAACCCGGGAGGCGGAGCTTGCAGTGAGCGGAGATCGCGCCACTGCACTCCAGCCTGGGCGACAGAGCGAGACTCCGTCTCAAAAAAAAAAAGGAAATGAGCTCCCAAGCCCTGGGCATAGTGTATGATTCCAACTACGGGACATTCTGAAACAAGAAAAACTACGAGGACAGGAAGACCGGGGCCAGCAGAGCTAGGCTGGGAGAGGGCAACAGGTGGAGCCCAGAGGACCTTAGGGTGATGTGTGGCGTGACACTTCTGCAAAGCCCAGTGTACATCGAGTGACCCCATGATGTGAACTATGGACTTCGGGTACTATGACAGAACCTGTAGTATTAGAAGTGTCCATGATTTTTAAAAATCTAAAATATGAATATTGGGTTCAAAAGCAGAGACAAAGGCACTGCACGAATGTGACGTGTTACTGACAGGGGAGAGGGCAGATCTCTCTGTACGTCCTACTCAATTTTCCTACAGATATAAAACTGCTCTAAAAAATGATATTAACACCAACAAAATTCCATGTTTGTAGTGACCGTCTGGGCATTTCTTTACGTTTCAGAAGTACCAGGAGGATCACGGCGCCCACAGCCTGGCAGCTGCTCCACCACACCTTCTCACTCGGTGCCGAGTGCAGCTGTTCCTGTCTGAGGAGGCTCAGTTTGGAAGCAGCCCCTCTTGGGACTCAGAAATCAAGGTCTCCGCCTTCCCCTTCCTCGAGAACACCAACCTCTCAATGAACTTTCACTTCTTACTGCGGTTAGCAGTTTTTAGCAAGTTATTTTTATCTAATAAAAACAATATATAGTTTTAAAAATGCGAACTCTACAGGAGTTCGAGACCAGCCTGGCCAACATGTGAAACCCCGTCTCTACTAAAAATACAAAAAACTAGCTGGGCGCATGCCCGTAGTCCCAGCTATTCGGGAGGCTGAGGCAGAAGAATTGCTTGAACCTGGGAGGCGGACGTTGCGGTGAGCCCAGATTGCAGCACTGCACTCCAGTCTGGGCTACAGAGTGAGATTTCAACTAAAAAAAAAAAAAAAAAAAAAAGTTGGGGCGTGGTGGCTCACGCCTGTAATCCCAGCACTTTGGGAGGATGAGGCAGGCAGGTGGATCACGGGGTCATATTGAGACCATCCTGGACAACATGGTGAAACTCCGTCTCTACTAAAAATACAAAAACTAGTTGGGCGTGGTGGCACTTGGCCTATAATCCCAGCTACTCGGGAGCCTGGAGAATCGCTTGAACCCGGGAGGCAGAGATTGCAGTGAGCCAAGATTGCACCACTACACTCCAGCCTGGGTGACAGAGGGAGACTGTCTCCAAAAAAAAAAAAAAAAAAAAACAGCCAGGTGCGCTGGCTCATGCCTGTAATCCCAGCACTTTGGAAGGTCAAGGCAGGCAGACCACAACATCAGATTGAAACTATCCTGGCTAATACGGTGAAACCCCGTCTCTACTAAAAACAAAACAAAACAAAAACAAAAATTAGCCGGGCTTGGTGGCTGTAGTCCCAGCTACTTGGGAGGCTGAGGCAGGAGAATCTCTTGAACCTGGGAGGCAGAGGTTTCAGTGAGCCGAGATCGCGCCACTGCACTCCGGCCTGAGCAACAGAGTTACTCATTTCAAATTAAAAAATAAATAAATAAATAAAAAGGGGGAGGCAAAGGATTTAGATGTTCCTCCAAAGACACACAAATGGCCGCCAAGTACCTGTGATGCTCCACGTCATGACCCCTCGGGGAAATGCAAATCAAAACCACACGGCAAGGCCTTGGAGGCCCAGCTGCTCAGAGGCTGCAGTGAACGAACCGTGTTGCTTCTTGGAAGTTAACACACAGCTCCACGTGGCCCCGAAAGCCCCTCCTAGGTGTATCCCCCAAAGGAGTCAAAGCAGGTGCCCAAAGCTATACCAAGGCAGATGCCCTGCCCTCTGGACTCTCTTCACCCTGTGCAGGACCCCCAGCCTGGCGGGAGAGGCTTCCTGTGGCGCAGGGGTTTGCATTGTCCCTCAACACATCCAGCTTCTGCCCTGGGGCTCTGCTCCCAGGGCTGTGTCGACCATTGTGGGCACCTGTGGAGGGGCCCTGGGCTCCTGCGCCTCGGCTGAGAAAGAAAATGACAGAACCCTGAAAACAGTGACAAGCCAACGAAGACAAGTGGTGACACCAGCCCAACAATTCCAAAGGTTTATTTCCTTACGTTGGTATTATACAATATAACGCAAAGGGCAGGAAATCACACAAAATTCGCTTTAAAATAGACAAAGGGTCCAGCACTATCAAGAGAACATTCAACCAGGGGCAGCAGTTGAGGCGCCCAGGACCTGCTTGGACACACGCACATGCGGCCGCGACGGAAGCAAGAGGACCAGGACACCGGGCAAGATCCCCGCAGTGCCAGCTTCCCAGGACTCAGGATTCCAGTCGGCCATGAAGCAATAAATACAAACATGCCCCACAAGGTGAGAATAAAGCCATCAAGGTGATGAGGAAGAAGTCACGGGGATTTTCTTCTTCTAAGTCCAAGCACAGTGGCAATATTTCAAGTATTGCAAAGAAAAACACACGTGTGTGTATTTTTGTCTGTTATGTGGCGTGTGACCCTGGAACCCCCCGCATGGGTCCATGGCCCCACCACTGCCTCCCGCAGACTGGGGACTCGTTCAAGTATCTACTGATTCAGGCAGGGCTAATCGAGGGCTGGGCAGACCAAGGGAGGCCCAGGCGGGGTTTGCAGGGCATGCCCGCCTGGAATCCGGAAGGCAGGCCTCTCTGCAGATGCCCTCCGTGGCCTTGGGCAAGGCAGAGGCAGGGAGGGACAGGGCTGTCATCAGGCCTACCCTGCCGAGGAGCTGACATCAAAACTGACTGTCAAAGCTGGACGGGGAGCTTTTGCACATGTTACTTTTTTCTTTGCATGAAGTATTCCCCTCATCTGCTTCCAGGCCCAGGTAGGGAGGGTGCTGGGCACACACCTGTCCTGCTGCTGCCACAGGGAGGGGCGGCAGGGGACAGCCACCAACACAGGTGTGCAAAGCAGCCTCACCCGCCCGCCACACGCCCCTGTGCCATCTGCCTCTAACCTGGCCCAGTCCTCGCCCTCCCAAAACCAATTCTTAAACACCTACAAGTTTTCTCCTTTAAAGAAAAAATGAGCTGCATAAAAATAAGACACGTTTTAGGAATAAAGTGTGAAAGATTACAAGACGTATCCAGGGCTGAGAGAACACGGTGCCTCTGCTGCCGGTCCCCAGAGGAACGCTTGAACAAAGAACTGCCTCTGCCTCTAGCGCAGGGCCCCACTCCCCCCGGAGCCAGTTCTCCCGCTGAGGTCCAGACCTGGGCAGCAACGTGGTCCGGTGCTCGGGCTTGGGGGGCCCTGGCATGTGTCTGCATATGTGTATGTACAAACACCAGGCCACTGCCAGGAATCGCTGCCCAGCAGTCCCTGGTGAGGTCCAGGTTCTGTCTCTATATGCATAAAGTGCTTGGGTGATTGACAAAGCTGGGTGGGTATCTCGGAGGGAGAGGCTCCTGGAGACTGGGGGACGCCGAGGCCGCAGGCTCTTCCTGGGCACAGTGCCT